>NC_000004.12:57899575-58225981 GCF_000001405.40 Homo sapiens
AGTTCTCGAGCATTGGCTTTCAGCTCCATCAGCTCCTGAGCCAAGATGGCAGAATAGGAACAGCTCCGGTCTATAGCTCCCAGCGTGAGTGAAGCAGAAGACGGGTGATTTCTGCATTTCCTTCTGAGGTATGGGGTTCATCTCACTATGGACTGCCAGACAGTGGGCACAGGTCAGTGGGTGCAGTGCACTGTGTGCGAGCTGAAGCAGGGCGAGGCATTGCCTCACTCAGGAAGCACAAGGGGTCAGGGAGTTCCCTTTCCTAGTCAAAGAAAGGGGTGGCAGACAGCACCTGGAAAATCGGGTCACTCCCACCCGAATACTGCGCTTTTCTGACAGGCTTAAAAAACGGTGCACCAGGAGATTATATCCTGCACCTGGCTCAGAGGGTCCTACGCCCACGGAGTAGGCGTAGCTGATTGCTACCACAGCAGTCTGAGATCAAACTGCAAGGCAGCAGCGAGGCTGGGGGAAGGGCGCCCGCCATTGCCCAGCCTTGCTTAGGTAAACAAAGCAGCCCAGAAGCTCCAACTGGGTGGAACCCACCACAGCCCAAGGAGGCCTGCCTGCCTCTGTAGGCTCCACCTCTGGGGGCAGGGCACAGACAAATAAAAAGACAGCAGTAACCTCTGCAGACTTAAATGTCCCTGTCTGACAGCTTTGAAGAGAGCAGTGGTTCTCCCAGCACGCAGCTGGAGATCTGAGAACGAGCAGACTGCCTCCTCAAGTGGGTCCCTGACCCCTGACTCCTGAGCAGCCTAACTGGGAGGCACCCCCCAGTAGGGGCAGACTGACACCTCACATGGCTGGGTACTCCTCTGAGACAAAACTTCCAGAGGAACGATCAGACAGCAGCATTCATGGTTCAAGAAAACCACTCTTCTGCAGACACTGCTGCTGATACCCAGTCAAACAGGATCTGGAGTGGACCTCTAGTAAACTCCAATAGACCTGCAGCTGAGGGTCCTGTCTGTTAGAAGGAAAACTAACAAACAGAAAGGACATCCACACCAAAAACCCATCTGTACATCACCATCATCAAAGACCAAAAGTAGATAAAACCACAAAGATGGGGAAAAAACAGAGCAGAAAAACTGGAAATTCTAAAAAGCAGAGCACCTCTCCTCCTCCAAAGGATCGCAGTTCCTCACCAGCAATGGAACAAAGCTGGACGGAGAATGACTTTGACCAGTTGAGAGAAGAAGGCTTCAGACGATTAAACTACGAGCTACAGGAGGAAATTTAAACCAAAGGCAAAGAAGTTAAAAACTTTGAAAAAAATTTAAACGAATGTATAACTAGAGCATTTCTTAATGATTTAGCATTTGAGTTTTTTGTCAGTGTCCAAAAAACAAGTTGGGAAATAAATTATTTGGCAGAATAAAAGAAACCAGGCAAAGTCTTTGTGTTTCGGTGGTTTGTAACTCACTTATAATATGTATGAACTATAGAGACATTCACAAGGATGTGCAATCTTTTATCAACAAAACTGGTCGTAATTTCCACTAGGATAATATAAACAGAAAATTTACTAATGAAGAAAAAGAGTAGTATGCTCTCTGATGTTGTTTCTGTATTTAGAGTTCTTAATGATCTGTTACTGATGATATTTAGCACTTTATTATACCTTAAAAGAGTTTAACATCATTGGAAATGAAACATAGAGAAAGAAAATCTAAGTAGATGAATTTAACAAAATAATGCTACATAATTTGTGCGTAACATTTACCTCTTATCCTAAGTCTCAAAATCTTATTTTAAAAATAAAACTCGAATTGCCAAGAACCAATATCTTTGCTTAAGTGCAGTAAGTTTAAATCCCACACTCCCAAGCAAAAATATATTAACAGCCCTAGTGTGAACACATGTATCTGAGAAAGATTTTTCCCAAGGAACCATGCTTTTTAAAATTGTATTTAATTTCAAATCCTATTATTCACTTGAAAGTAAAAGGAAATATTGATAACAACATAGTCATTTCCAGGTTAATGCACAAAAAGAAAACTATGAAGAAACTTACTTTAAGAAATTTCCTCTACCTGTAATTTTTATTTACAATAAGTGGTGTCATGTATGGAAAATTTTAACTTGATATATTCCTCAAAAATGATAGATAACAGCAAAAAATGGCAAAGAAAAAACACAATCATCTGGTTGTCTATTTCTTATGGTTACTGTTTAATACATGGAAGCAATCATTAAATATTCTGGAAACAGAATAATTTGTTTCATAAACTAGTTTTGGTAACAGTAAAACTGAAGCTTATATATTTTAGATAAACAAAGCTGTATGAGAGCCTAACAATTCAAATAAGTCACATAATGGTCTTCTAACATATTGCTAATTTTTCCAATTCTTTGGAATATTTTCCTTTTGTAAAGTTATATAAAGTGTATGTTTTATATTTTGGCAGGATAGAAATGATGAGCAGGAAGGAAAGATAAATTAATGTATACAATTTTATAGGTTTCCAGAAGGAAATTCAGTGCATGTAACTAGGGCCATGGATTCTTATTTTGGTGGCATTAGAAACGTTACTTTTTTGCTCTTGTGTTTAGATTTAAGGTCTATAAATAGGCTATTGAACCAAGTGTGACAGAATGAAGTGTTCAGTCCCCTAGTTCCCCACATTCATTTTCTTTTATCCAAATGGAGGAGATGTCTTTTTAATACAACCAAGTTAAAAGGTAGAGATTTTGTTACCATGATAACCCATCAAGTTCCACTATGAGAGGGTACAATTCTAGCCCAAAAATCCTCTGTTTATATTAAATACCCTTCACTGAAGAGAGTGAAAAATCTAGGAGCTTTAAGAATCTAAGTTACCTTTTCAGGGACAAAATCATACAGATAAAGGTCTTTATAAGCTTGACCTGAGGGGAAAAAAAGGCAGGATGGGTGGTAGCAGGAGAGTTGGTTAGAAAAAGACATAGGAAAGCAAAACCTTCAAACAACTTTTATGTGGAGGAATGAGAGAGATAAAAGAAAAATTGTGGAGGGGAGGAAATAAGAGAAAAGTGACATTTGAAAGACAATTTGATGAAATCAATTAAGCCGTGTTTTGCACCACTTTTTCCCACTCTGTATGAGTTAATGGTATGGACCGAGCTGTGCTCCTTCAAAATACATATGTTGAAGCTCTAACCCACAATGTGATGGTATTTGGACATGGTGCGTTTGGGAAACAACTGAATTTTAATGAGATCATGATGGTATATCCCTCAGGATGGAATTAGTGCCCTTATAGGAAGAGTCACTGGAGAATATTTTGTTTCTCACCCCACCCATGCGACAACACAGGCAGAAGGAGGTCATCTGCCAACCAGGAAAAGAGCCTTCTCTAGAAACCAACCATACTAGCACTCTGATCACAGACTTACAGCCTCCAGAACTGCGAGAAAATAAATTTCTGTTGTTTAAACCACTTAGTCTATGGTATTTTGTTATGGCAGTACCAGTTAAGACAGTTCCTAGTACATTAAATGTAAGATTTTTTTCCCTGATAATGCATTAGAGTTATTGTGGGGGAATAAATCAAAAGAACTTACTAATGCTGGTTACAGGGGCTGACTGGTAACTTCGATACTTCAATAAGTGAAAGTCATCAGCTGCTGTCCTTTTGATTTCAGTGGTGATTGTTTCATTTAGACTTGAAGGCAAGTTCAACTTCAGTCTTCTAGAGTAGAGGACGGTTCAGAAAAAGAATCCATAGAACTATTTCTATTTGTTTGATAGCACATTTTATTGAGTGCCCACAATGTTCCAAATCCTGTCCTGGGCGTTGAAGATCTAGCAGTGGCACAAATAACCAAAATCTCTGCCCTTTAGGGTTTACATTCTAGGAGGATATCAACTATAAACTCAGCAAAGATATCTACATAGGAAACATTTAAGATGTTAACAAGTGCTGCAGAGAAAGATAAAGCAAGAATTGTGACAGTTGAAGACAGAATTGGATTTAAAATACAGTGGCCAGAAAAAAAATGAGTCATTTGAGCCAAGTGCTGAAGGAGACTGGGGACACCTGCACAGATCTGGGAGAAGGGAGTCTGAGACATGGGTAACAACAAGGGCAAAGGCTCAGAAATGGCAGTATAGCTGTGTATGTGCAAATAGTGGGAGCCCAGTGTAGCTGGAGCCCAGTGACGAAGAGAAAATAAGAGAAGTGTTTGTAGGCATATGTGTTGTGTGAGAGAGGAAGGGGTTAGAAAATGGGCTGTGTTAATGTTTTTGTGTTGCATTTTCAAAGTAATGCTCAACTCAACTCAACTCAAATGATAATTTCCTGTATCACAATCAATAGAAGACTGCTAATTTCTAGGCAACTTTGGAAGTAAAACTGGGATTTTAACATTTTCATGTTAACAGTTTTTAAACAGATGGTTATTTGGTTAACCTGTAGCTCAGAATCCAGGTGCTGTTTTTTAAATAGACAAGAAGGTGCTATTTGAACAAAACCTTTAAGCTCCAATCATTTTGACAAAGCAAGGTAAGCCAGAGTTTATATTCAGGACCAAACCTATTCTCTTTGAGGCTGACGATGGTGTCCTCAATCTGTGCAATTTTCTGAATGTGGTTGATATAAAATGAAGCAAGAATCTACCTTAACAACATACTCAATACTCCGAATAAATGCTTTACAGTTATCATTAGAAAAAATTTATTTTCAGTCCTTGGGTACTGATTCAGGACTTTTAATATACAATTAGAATGTTTCATTGCTAAAGTGGCTATTCCTAATTAATATACTTGTTACAGAACAAAGGTTAGCATTTTAAATATGTATTTGAATTACTTATAATATCTTGAGAATGGAAATATCATTGAGGCAAACAGAAGCAAGGAGGATCTTTCCTCAGCTATAAAACCTGAGAAAGATGGGTGTGCAGTGGAAGTACTTTTGAGAGGCCTATGTACCTCATTGTTTTTGTGTTTTTTCCCATAAAAAAGTTTTTCAATGATCCTATACCTTATGAAGATTTTTTGAAGTATTATGGGAGTTATCTCACTCCAAATTTCACTCTGGATTAGTTTGATGATTATGAATATGTTCAGTATAAAGTTGGAAAAAGACATGAAAAGGACACATAATAACTTGTACATAGTAACATTTTCTTTTTTGGAGAAAGGCAATAGAGGTATGCACAGTACTAGTATGAGGAAGAGGGCAGCCTGCCCATTTTGTGAAATATATCTCAGACCCTACGTCCAGTATTAATTCATGTCATTAAGCCCTCATTATTTCTCACCAAGATTATTTTACTAACATTCTACCTGAACACCCTCCATTTCTATTTCTTGCATTCCTTTAATCCACCCTTTACATCACCATGGAATTCTAATAATAGAATATTTCTTCAAAATCCTACAAAGATTCATGAGTGGCTCCAGAACAAATTCTGGACTCTAACCTCAAAATCCCAACCTTCATAACCTGGCACAACCCTCTTTTTCCAAGCTAGTTTCCCACTGGCTGGATGCCTGCCTTAGCCCCTATCTTGTAGTAGTTCTGATTTATTTTCTTTGCCAGTAAATTTGTCATATGCCTAAGATTAGTTGCTCTTCTACATTCGAGACCACATAAATAATTTATGGGGCCTAGTGAAAAATCAAAATGAGTTATTTCACTTAAGACAATAGCCTCCAGTTCCATCCATGTTGCTGCAAATGACACAATTTTATCCTTTTTATAGCCAAATAGTATTCCATTGTATATTCATATACTACATTTTCTTTATCCAATCCTCCATTGATGGACAATTAGGTTGATTTCATATCATGCCACTGTGAATAGTGCTGTGATAAACATTCGAGTGTAGGTATTTTTTACATAATGATTTATTTTCCTTTGGGTAAATATTAAGGAATTGGCTGGAGGGAATTAGGGATGGAAGTAGGGCAAGAGAGATGAGAGACGGTTTACATTCTTGCAGCTCTAAAATCATATAACCTAGTCATATTTATTTTGTACGAATAACAAGTCATCTAGGAAAATCTCTTAGATGTGACATTACCATAGTAGACTCAAAATGTTCACACCTTGATATTTCATTGAAGGCAAAGATACAATAGCAATTGCACCATGGGTGTTGGTATGGGTCCAGAGCTTTGCAAGACAGCAATAGAGTTTCTTAAGTAAAATAAGCTTTACACACTCATCTCTGAAAAGATGGATATACTAAAGATCAGGTACTCTAGATTCTTACTGCTTGGAACAACAATTTAAATTTTCTAATAGTTTTTCTTATAAAGGTCCATCTTGTTATATAATACAGAATGTCTGGCTATTTAACTTCTACAAAAATGATCCCAATCTATCCTACATTATGGTTTTACTTTGTTGTAGGAATCTGATTTATAAATAACTAGACAGCAGGAAGAATAGGAAGCAATAGGGAAGGAAGAATGAAATAAGTCTAGTAAGAGGCAAAGAGTGCTAAAAAGATGTGTCTAGGAATAACTCACCTGGAAAGATTGGATATCAAAAGGCAACATTTTTCTTCCCAGTGCTATTGTTCTGATGAGCTTACACATGTATGCACAGTGTAGTCATGCTTAAAAAATTTTTTTTCTGGCCAGGTGCAGTGGCTCAGGCTTGAAATTCCAGCACTTTGGGAGGCCGGGATGGGTGGATGGCTTGAGGGCAGGAGTTTGAGACCAGTCTGGCCAACATGGCGAAACTCTGTCTCTAATAAAAATACAAAAAATAATTTAAAAAAACCAGACAGGCATTGTGGTGCACGTCTGTAGTCCCAGCTACTTAGCTCCTCAGAAGGCTGACCTACTAGAATCACTTGAACCTGGAAGGCAGAGGTTGCAGTGAGCTGAGATAACGTTACTGCCCTCCAGCCTGGGTGATAGAGTGAGACTGTCTCTCTCTCTCTCTCTCTCTCTCTCTCTCTATATATATATATATATAAAATATATATATATAAAATATATATATAAAATATATATAAAATATATATATAAAATATATATAAAATATATATATAAAATATATATAAAATATATAAAATATATATAAATATATATATAAAATATATATAAATATATATATAAAATATATATAAATATATATATAAAATATATATAAATATATATAATATATATATAAATATATATATAAAATATACATATATAAAATATATATAAATATATATAAATATATATAAAATATATATAAATATATATAAATATATATATAATATATATAAATATATATATAAAATATATATATAAAATATATAAAAATATATATATAAAATATATATAAATATGTATAATATATATAAATATATATATAAAATATATATAAATATATATAATATATATAAATATATATATAAAATATATATAAATATATATAATATATATAAATATATATAATATATATAAATATATATATAAAATATATATAAATATATATATAAAATATATATAAATATATATATATAAAATATATATAAATATATATATAAAATATATATAAATATATATATAATATATATAATATATATAAATATATATAAAATATATATATAATATATAAATATATATAAATATATATATAAATATATATATAAATATATATATAATATATAAATATATATAAATATATATATAAATATATATATAAATATATATATATATATATATTCTTGTAGTTCCCCTTAAGTAAAAACAGCCCCAAGGAAAATATTTTGTAGATGTTTATAAAAAATTTTATATCTACATAGAGAAGTAGCAAACTCTCCATCAGGAACGTGGGTCCTGGGTTCATTTTACATACCAGAAGCAAATTTAGCCACAACTCTGCATCTTTGAAAATGATAGGAAGGTTGATATGAATTTCTGTATTTTCTTCAAAAAGTTATTTCATGGATTAGTTAGCCAAAGTTATTGGAGTGTTCTGAGCATCCAATATGGAATATATATATATATATATGCAGGTTATAATGAGGGTAGGCAGAAGACCTAATTGATTTACAGCATGATAAGAAAATTAATGAATCCAGCAGAAGCAACCCATTATGCAGAGGCATCCAGGAGGAGTCAAAAGAAACTGTTTCCTCCTATTTGCAAAATGACCTTGAAAATTCATTACTTGACCTCACTGTTTGCATCAATAAATTTGGCTGTATTTGGAAAGAGTCTGAGGGAAATGAGGCATGACCAGACTACCAGCAGTGTTTACAAGGCCTGCAACAGTAGGACCAATGTTTTCATTATATGGAGGGTCTGTGTTGTGCCGTAGTATAATTAGGTTTGGTGTGGTTTCATTTTCAATTAAAGTGATCAGCTTAATTCACTTTTCTTCTAGTTACTAACAAGGTAAATTTGATAATATTTCAGGCTTATTAAGGATGTATCTTATCTTTGTAACTCTTTAGGGCATAGTTTTATTTCTTCTGGTTTCTAAATGTGAATATAGTTCTTGCCTTGCTCTAGATAAGCAAACACATGCAAGTCAACCAGTATCAAGGAAAAACCTATTGGGTTTCAAGAAAAGAGAGGAAAATCAAGTGGAAATACTTAGAGACAGATTGTAGACAGCCATGAGGTTATATCCTGGAGTTTTGATTTTACTATTTAGATGATGGGTAAACAAGCAAGTACATAGACTAGTCAGAAATATGATTTCTAAAAAGTCATTCTATTAGTAATACATGAGAAAATTGTCCTATCCACAAATATCCCTGTAACAGCGGTCCCCAACCTTTTTGGCACCAGGGACCAGGTTTGTGAAGACATTTTTTTCCAGGATGGGAGGGTGGGTGTGGAGGGAGATGGTTTCAGGATGAAATTGTTTCACCTCAGATTATCAGGGATTAGATTCTCATAAGGAACAGATAGCCTAGATCCCTGGCATGCACAGTTTGCAATAAGGTTTGTGCTCCTATGAGAATCTAATGCTGCCACTGATCTGACACGAGTGACAGAAGGTGGAGCTTAGGTGGTAATGCTCTCCTGCTAACTGCTTACCTCCCGCTTTGTGGCTCAGTTCCTAATGGGCCACAGACCATTACTGATCCTTGCCCAGGGGTTGGAACCCTCTGTCTTACAACATGGAAGTGATTGAGTAGACAACAGGTAGATCTATGATCCATTCGCTCACTTTGGCAAGTGGGGATGGAGAGAAGCAGGACACTTCCGGGTGAGAGGTTTGGAGAAGACAAGTGACTAGATGTGATCTTCTTATTAACAAGCTAATGACAGATCTGGCAAACAAACCAAATAGTTTTTGCTAAGAGGAGTGTCATTAATTTATGGAATGCTTTTAAAAGTATATACCTACTTATCTAGAATTGCTTAGAGTAAACATGACTGGAAATTGCTTAGAGTAAACATGCCTGGAATCTATGTGATATGGTTTGGCTCTGTGTCCCCACCCAAATCTCACCTAGAATTGTAATCCCACATGTCGAGGGAGGGAGATAACTGGAACATGGGGGTGGTTTTCTCCATGCTGTTCTCGTGATAATGAGTGAGTTCTCATGAGATCTGATGGTTTTATGAGGGGCTTTTCCACCTTCGCTTCCTTCTCACACTCTCTAGCCTACTGCCATGTAAGACATACCTGCTTCCCCTTCCACCATGAGTGTAAGTTTCCTGAGGCCTCTCCAGCCATGCAGAGCTGTGAGTCAATTAAACATATTTTCTTTATAAATTACTCAGTCTCAGGCAGTTCTTTATAGCAATGTGGAACAGATAAATACACTATGGATTAATGGAGCATAACTCTAGAAATGCCACATAAGGCATGCCATAATTTGTGTATAAAATGGAGATGTTTCACAACCTAAATGTTTTCTTCTATAAATGAGGTGACAAAACACGTTTTTTGGAAACTTCATCTGTTAACCTGAGCCATTGCATGCTTGGTGCTAGAAGAAAGGACCTAAATAGCTGTCATGAAAGTCCCAGAACTCTTGCTGCTTTGCCTGTACCTCATGAGTACTTGTATTCTTGGAAGTATTACTAGAGGTTGATACTGGGGAAGATCTCTAAATCCTGTGAGTCTGATTTTATGTGTTCCTTTATATTACCTCATGTAATATGAAATATTTATGAATACTCAGATTCCTACCAAAAAAGTAAAAAAAAAAATGTACAAAAATAAAACTTTCGACAGAATTGGAATTTAAAAAATAGAGAAAGACTTTAACTGAGTAATTCCATCTGCCCTTAGTGCTCTCCAACTTTATTCCTCCATTACTTTCTTTTTATATCTACTTGCAGATAGTGGGATAAGGATAACCATTCCATTCTGAGACCTATAGTCATCTTAGGAAATTCATTGTACTAGGCAGTTGGGGAAAGGCGGTATGAGACAGAGATGTGGGGAGATCTCTATTAGCATTTTATGTGTTGTACCTGGTCAAAGAAAACCACATCTGTGGCCAGACACGGTGGCTCGCGCCTGTAATCCCAGCACTTTGAAAGACCGAGGGAGGCAGATCACTTGAGGTTAGGAGTTCAAGACCAGCCTGGCCAACATGGTGAAACCCCGTCTCTACTAAAAATACAAAAATTAGCCAGGTGCAGTTGCCAGCCTCTGTAATCCCAGCTACTTGGGAGGCTGAGGCATGAGAATCGCTTGAACCCAGGAGGCAGAGGTGAGCCGAGATTGCACCACTGCAATCCAGCCTGGTCAACAGAGCAAGAATTCATCTAAAAAAAAAAGCCACATCTGATTATGTGGTGTATTTAGATAATTTGATTGCTGGGGCTGAGAGTTTCCCTTGTCAGACCAGCAGAGCTTCATTATGTGAATACCTGCAGGAAACAAAGTGAGCTCTTCAAGGGCCATAGCTGAGAGATAAAACCTGCTCTCCTAATCGTCAAATATTAGGCAATACTGTGTACCACATGCATTGTCAGAGATGAAAGACTAAGTCTGGATAGGTTTCTCCTTGCTCAAGAATAAGAAAAAAGAAAATGAAGGAGAATCTAGAGACAATAGGAAAGAGGATTTTACAACATAAAAGAAATCAAGCATTTTCAAAAAAACTTAAAACGTTTGTCTCTAAAAATTGTTTACTAGAGGAATAAATCATTACTTGTTGTTCTAAGTAAAAATTCAATAAGACATGGCCTGTGCAAAAGTAGAAAATAAAGTAAGAGGCACATAATAGATAGGGGCCATAGTAATATATGGAATATGTACAAATGAAATATATAATATAGATGTGATACAATCTTATAGAAATAAGAAAATGCTTTAAGGAAATACAAAGTTCAATAACTGAATTAATACATTAAAGACATTAAAATAGTATGGTTGGTATTGTAGGAAATCAAATTATTGCTTAGCAGACAAAGCTAAAAAAGTTTCTTAGATATACAAGAATAAAAGTGATAAAGACAGTGATGAGAAGGATTAAGACATATAATAGCATATGGAATTAATAGATCTTCCCAAGGAAGAAACCAGAACCAATTATATAACTACCCCACCAAGTCAGACATAACAGCTAAAAAAAAAAACCTTTCTTGTCTTTGTATAATATTTAATATAATATTTAATAGAAAATGTAAGAAATCAGGTTTTAGCTCAGCTAAATTGGTAATCATTAGTGAAACTAAATAGAAAGATATCCTCGGCCTGGTGCAGTAGCTCACCCCTGTAATCCTAGCACTTTGGGAGGCTGAGGTGGGTGGATTGCTTGAGCCCAGGAATTTGAGACCAGCCTGGGCAACAAAGTGAAACACTGTCTCTACAAAAACAAAAATTTAGCTGGGCATGGTGATGCATGCCTGTAGTCCCAGCTACTCAGGAGGGTCAGGAGGGAGGATCACCTAAGCCAGGGAAGTCAAGGCTGCAGTAAGACCTGATTGCACAATTACACTCATGCTTGGGTGACAGAGCAAAACCTTGTCTGTAAAAGGGAAAAAAAAAAAAAAAAAAGAAAGCAAAAGTAAAAGAAAAAGAAAAAAGAAATCTTTATATATACCCTTTTGAAAATACTAATCACAGATTTGTTGTAGTTGAGCAAGAGTGTAGCAAAAATGAACACCTTAATTAAAATCATTTTTATGTCATGAGGAAATAAGCAGTGATTTTTTTCCCATTAACTTAGTTTTAAAATATCTAGATTTCCTATGTTTTTAATAGGTCAAATAGTTTCATACCAATGAAATTTAACACTCAATAGGAAAAAAAATTAAAAATGATTCAAAAGATAAATGAGAGAAAAATAAATAAGCATGGAGCAAAAAAAAAATCCAATAAAATATATAACAAAATGTATAATAAGCAAAGTAATAATAAAAATGTGCAGTCCAACAGAACTGTGTTTAACATTGAATTAAAAGGTACACATTAAAAAATGGGTTAAAAAACAAAATTCAAATGCATTGTACTGGCATAAGAGATATCTTTACAGTAAGGATATATAAAGATAATATAATAGTCATGAATCCATATGTGACGGAAGTGAGTGTAAAACTGTATGAACCAAAAAATACCAAAAAAAGAAGATATGCATAAATATATATAAGTTTAAAAATCACATGAAGGAATATGACCTTAATAAGAGGTTACCATCTGTCTCTGGTAAAGTACATCTGATGAGCATATCTATTCACTTATATATGAAACAAAACACATAAATAGGTCTCCCAAGTTTCTGGAGTGAAAAGAAAAGCTCCACTAAACCACCATTTTTTCATAGGAAAAGTAAAATTATATAGACAGACAATATTTTAAAGATAAATTTTATCATATATAAAAATAAAATCATTTTAACAAAAGCTGTATCTAGACATAAACACATAGATTTAAATAGTTTCTACATTAAAAGATAAAGGAGAAAATAAATGGACTAAAAATTTAATCTTAGAAATTAGGAAATGGCTTGATGTGTGTGTTTGTGTGCGTGTGTGTGTGTGCACATATGCACACAGGTGCATATAAAACAAAAAGAAAGGATATAGAAGCAGAATTTAATGTTACCTAGTCAAAAAATCAATCAACATATTTTTTAAAATCATAAAATTTGTAATGAAATCTGAGATACTCAATCATCAGTGAGAAAAGTACTTGATAAATGAATCAATATCTGCATGATCTGTGTTTAAATGGGGGTAGATGAGTTTTGGGTGGAATAATTTGCTTTCAGCTACTCACAACAACATTCCAGATAAATTCAATATGAGATGTTTTTACAGACTAGTTTCATCTTTTGAAAAAGCTAATATATTAATATCTGGTTGTTATATGTTTTGGGATTTGCCCAGTTTAAAACGATAATTTACTTCAGTACACATTTGCTTATAATACTCACACCATATCAACATAGCTATAACAGAAAAATCTAGCCTTTTTGATGTCTTTCTCCTTACTCCAGAATATGAAATGTTTTTATTTCTAAAATGATCCATCAATTCACCTCTGCTCTTACTAGTAGCCTCTCACATCTCTTATGCTTTTATTCTATCAGTAATAAGCTTTTTTTCTTGCATCTCCAATTTTTTTCTTTCTTGCAATTTTATCTATAGTGTATCAGATTTGCTCTGTTCTTTAGAAAATATTTAACTCTGTCACCTACTTTCTGTTCTTTCAAGAGAAGGGTATACTCAATGTCTCTATTACTTACTCCCCACCCTGCCTTGCCTTGGAGCACTTTGTAATTTTGAACCATAGGTACATAAGAGGATAGATAGACATAGATAGATAGATAGGTAGATAGATAGACAATCTATCTCTCTATATATGCATATGTCTCAGAGACTGTCTAGCTCAACTATGTTAGTATTTTAGTTTTACTCATTGTAAATAGATTCCCTTTTTGTGGTAGTCTTTTAAATATTTTTAACCATCTGCCTATCTATCTATCTGTCTATCTATTATCTATCTATCTATTATCTATCTATCATCTATCTATGTCTAATCTCTATGCATCATCTAACATACAGATATGTAGGAGAATATGATGTAATGATAGTCAAGGAATAACATGTTGACGCTGCATGAATGAGTTCCTAGTAACTTTTATAAATTTAATCTTTGTTGAAAATTTACATTTATTTGTACAATTCTTTCATTACTGTTTGTTTCAACCATTAGACTCATCTCTTTCTTGTATACCTAGCAAAACATATTACAAATTTCACACAGTAAAATCTCAATATGTATTGATGAATGAAAAATGCATTTATTGAATGAATCATTGGTCAACTTAGTCAAATGCATTTTAGATATGAAATAAGATGACAAAATAATTTAACAGATTTTGCAGTATGGAGGTATCTGGGGACTTTAGCCAGATCTGTTTCAGTGGTAAATGCAAAATTCTGCATTTTTCATATTTAATAAGAGTTGAGAATGTGGTTACTGCTTATGTAGTTAATTCATTGGAAGAGTTTGGCTATGGACAGGCAACAAATAAATGGAGGCAGTATGTGGGGTTCAATTAGAACTGTTTATGCACTGAAATGAGATAAAAGAAACAAATTCTTAATATTTCCCTCAAACTTGGTTCAAACTATAACAGTTTCTTGTCTGGAATACTGCAAAAGCTATTTTGAGTACTCTATGCATATCTACTTATCATTTTGTTCTCCTGGAATATGGTGTTGCACTGCTGATGCACCTGATGCTGCCACCTCCTTGTATAAAACCCTCCAATAACTTCTCACTAACCTTAGGATATAAACAACTTTTCTAAATATGTCCCACAATGTTCTGCAACCTCTGACCTCTTCCCAGCCTAATTTATTCTACTTTCTCCCTTATTTTCTGCTAACATTGGCCATTTTCAGGACCTTAGAATACTTTTTCCATTTTATTTTCTTTTCTGGAAATTTGTCCCTTTTCTTTTGGTCCAATTTATATGTACAGATCTTTCATATCTTAGCTCAAATGTTACTTTCTCAGAAACTTCTTTTCTGATTTCCTTGATGAGCTCTCATTGCATTAATATTTTATAGCTTTTAACTCACTTGTAAGTTTGTGTTTATTTGTATCATTATTTGATTAATGTATAAGTCTCCCAACACACTGGAAGCTCTATGAATAGAAAGATTATACCTCTCTGTGGTCGTCAATGTAGTTCCAATACCTAGCATGGTATATAGCAGGGAATAAGTGCTCAGTAAATTTATTTTAACTGAATAAAAAACATTTGGGTTGTTCCCAACCCAAATGCCCACCAATGATAGACTGGATTAAGAAAATGTGGCACATATACACCATGGAATACTACGCAGCCATAAAAAGGATGAGTTCATGTCCTTTGTAGGGACACGGATGAAGCTGGAAACCATCATTCTGAGCAAACTATTGCAAGGACAGAAAACCAAACACTGCATGTTCTCACTCATAGGTGGGAACTGAACAATGAGAACAATTGGACACAGGGTGGGGAACATCACACACTGGGGCCTGTTGTGGGGTCGAGGGAGCGGGGAAGGATAGCATTAGGAGATATACCTAACGTTAAATGACGAGTTAATGGGTGCAGCACACCAACATGGCACATGTATACATATGTAACAAACCTGCACATTCTGCACATGTACCCTGGAACTTAAAGTATAATAAAAATTAGTAATTTTAAAAAAATGTTCCTTTAAAAGTTTGCAAGGAAGAGATTCCAAAACACTTGTACAAGAACTGGACTTTTGTTAAACAAGTTTCAATTTGTCTGTTGCAACAGAAGGAAGGAAAACATAGAAGTAGATGCACATTATTAAAGTGATTATGTAGGTTTGTTGTGGGAAAACAACGATATGCTTGTCTAATGATTTGCATTAGTATAAGGCAATTCATGCACTACATTGGTGGTATGGGGGAAGAGAATTTAAGGTATGAAATAGTCATCTTGGAAAAGAGAGAAGTGAACTTCCTTGAAATCCGATGTAGGAATGAAGAAATGAGCCAGACTGGATACCTTCTTTTTCAGTCTTTTTGCCGCCTCACCTTTTATCCACATTTCAAATGGATGATTAAATCTTAACCTAATCCATCTCTTTCTTATTGTTTATTCCCATCTTCATTCTTTCGGTGTCTTTTTTGCGATATAGCTCTTGTATTTCTGATCCCAAACACTAACTTTGTTTTTTAACTGCTTCATAGAAGAAAAATCTTCATGCTTTTGTCACAAAAGAATTTGTTAGAGTTACAAATAATCTTTATTACTGGTTTATAAAGAGAATACAAAATCTTAAGGCTTTTTGACTAACAAGCGGTGAAATTGCAGACTAAATTTAAATAAGGAACATATACTGGGTTAATTAGCATAGTACTGGTGTGTACATAGCAAATTAGGTAAGTAAATTTATTTCCTATTACAAACGTTTTTAATAAAGTTTTCTATTAAAATGTAGTAAATAAATGTAATTTTCCATTGAAAACTTGTTTTAAAAAGCACCTATGTAGAAAAAGAAAACAAATTGATAGAAAATTTAAGACAAAACATAGGTTAATAGGGTAGACTATCACAAGTAAGCTTTTTTTTAGCAAACAAAATAACCACAAATTCAATTTTATTATGACAAGACAGAGTATGTGCTAGAATAATAGGGACTCTAAATTCACAAGTCTAATGCTCTTTATTCATTGTGTCTTTATGGTAACTGGTACTTACGTGGTTTTCAAATAACTATTTTATCTTTTTAACAAAGGGTAATGACTAGTTCAGTACTTTATATTCTCAACAGTGCTTCTGAAAAGTCTTCTTTCCTTAGCCTTCTCGATTACAAAAACTGTCAAGTTTTTCCACTAATATTATTTTGACTTAGCTTACTGTTTTCAAAAGAAACTGTAACCAAAATTGAAACATCATATTTTGGGAGACTATAGGTAGATAGCTTAGATAGATAGATAGATAGATAGATAGATAGATAGATAGATAGATGAGATGGCAGATATAAACACCACACATATGTATATTTTATTTTCACACTTTGATACCATCTTGAAAACCTAATACCATTATTTCTCATTCTGCCCACTCTTTCTCAACTCTATTTCTAAAGTCATGTTGCATATTTCTTTTCCAATATCCTAAACAATGAACTCTTTGAATTTCTTGAAAATTGTATACTTTCTCAACATTGTTGAACATATAAGCAAATTCTTACTTGTCAGCATTATTATGAAACCTTACACAATTTCAATTTTCAAGTTTCCTATTTCATTACCATTTCCAAAAGATAGTTACCAATTTTTGTCCTGATCTGATCTGTTAGTCTACTTTTAAACATGAGTTCTGACTTATCAGAAATGTGTGAATATTGTTCTTTACCAATGGCATATATCCTCATTTTTTGCTGATTGAGATAAAATTGAGAGTCATATTGATATGGTTTGGCTATGATCCCATGCAAATCTCATCTTGAATTGTAACTCCCCTAATCTCCATGTGTCATGGGAGGGACCCCGTGGGGAGGTAATTGAATCATGGGGGTGGGTTTTTCCCATGCTATTCTCATGATAGTGAATAAATCTCACGAGATCTGATGGCTTCAAAAAGGGCAGGTCCCCTAAATATGTTTTCTTGCCTGCTGCCATGTAAGACATGCCTTTGCTCCTCCTTTGCCTTCTGCCATGATTGTGAGGCCTCTGCAGCCATGTAGAACTGTGAGTCCATTAAATGTCTTTTTCTTTATCAATTACCCAGTCTCAGGTATGTCTTTATGAGCAGTGTGAGAACGGACTAATACACATATTATTCTATAGAACCATTGCCCTAATAGCCAGAATATACCTATTTTAAGTAGGTTTAGAAAAATAGGTACTTTTTTTTTCTAATAACATGAAGCAGATCTTTTAAAAAAATTTTTCTGTTGGCATAAAACAGAGGTTGAGACCTGGGGAGAGCAGGTAGGAGACTCAGGCCACAGCATTTCAGTAAAATTTATCATTACATTACAATAAAATCTGTTATACAAATTTTTATTTTTGGTGATCTATCTGATGAAGTACTTCCCTGGGTGTACCAGGAATGTCCTCAGAATTAGTCTCATTGGGGTTGTGAATTGGTAAAATTAAGTATCGCAACATAAAATCTTACACAAATTAGAATTCATTGGAAAGAGGTTCAAAGGATACAGGTTTTAGCAAAAGCTATAGGAGCACATCTAGCTAGAGTTTTTCAGTTAGTGGTACTTCTGGAATTTTCTCCAAGTTGCTTAAGGAAAGGATACTCGGGTGATGGGAAATGGTTTCTGGCTTCACCTAGGTACAGTCTACCAGGCTGGGAAGTCCTGAGTGAGGGCTTTCTAAGCCTCTGGCACCTACAGTCATGCCAGCCAAAGCGCCAGCATAATTCCCTGGGTAGCTGCAAAAGCAGATGTGGGAACCACGCTGTCTCAACAGAATGTTCTAGGTTCCAAGCTGGATCTCCTGCTTTGCTACCAGCATCATGTTGCTGTTTTGCCTCAATTATATAATGATGAGCAGGCCCCCTTCTAGGCACTGTTGCAACATAAAAGTGATCAGTATGGGCAAAACATGTTTTTTCCTTTTTCTCTACAAAAAAAAAACAATGGGGAAGTTCTCCTGGATAATATCCTGCAGAGTGTTTTCCAACTTGGTTCCATTCTCCCCGTCACTTTCAGGTACACCAATCAGATGTAGATTTGGTCTTTTCACATAGTCCCATATTTCTTGGAGGCTTTGTTCATTTCTTTTTATTCTTTTTTCTCTAAACTTCCCTTCTCGCTTCATTTCATTCATTTCATCTTTCATCGCTGATACCCTTTCTTCCAGTTGATCACATCGGCTCCTGAGGCTTCTGCATTCTTCAGGTAGTTCTCGAGCCTTGGCTTTCAGCTCCATCAGCACCTTTAAGCACTTCTCTGTATTGGTTATTCTAGTTATACATTAGTCTAAATTTTTTTTTCAAAGTTTTAAACTTCTTTGCCTTTGGTTTGAATTTCCTCCTGTAGCTCAGAGTAGTTTGATCGTCTGAAGACTTCTTCTCTCAACTCGTCAAAGTCATTCTCCCTCCAGCTTTGTTCCACTGCTGGTGAGGAGCAAGGCGTTCCTTTGGAGGAGGAGAGGTGCTCTGCTTTTTAGAGTTTCCAGTTTTTCTGCTCTGTTTTTTCCCCATCTTTGTGGTTTTATCTACTTTTGGTCTTTGATGATGGTGATGTACAGATGGGTTTTTGGTGTGGATGTCCTTTCTGTTTGTTAGTTTTCCTTCTAACAGACAGGACCCTCAGCTGCAGGTCTGTTGGAGTTTGCTAGAGGTCCACTCCAGACCCTGTTTGCCTGGGTACTAGCAGCGGTGGCTGCAGAACAGCAGATTTTCGTGAACCGCAAATGCTGCTATCTGATCATTCCTCTGGAAGTTTTGTCTCAGAGGAGTACCCAGCCATGTGAGGTGTCAGTCTGCCCCTACTGGGGGGTGCCTCCCAGTTAGGCTGCTCAGGGGTCAGGGGTCAGGGACCCACTTGAGGAGGCAGTCTGCCCATTCTCAGATCTCCAGCTGTGTGCTGGGAGAACCATTGCTCTCTTCAAAGCTGTCAGACAGGGACATTTAAGTCTGCAGAGTTTACTGCTGTCTTTTTATCTGTCTGTGCCCTGCCCCCAGAGGTGGAGCCTACAGAGGCAGGCAGGCCTCCTCAAGCTGTGGTGGGGTCCACCCAGTTGGAGCTTCCGGGCTGCTTTGTTTACCTAAGCAAGCCTGGGCAATGGCGGGCACCCCTCCGCCAGCCTCGCTGCTGCCTTGCAGTTTGATCTCAGACTGCTGTGCTAGCAATCAGTGAGACTCCGTGGGCGTGGGACCCTCTGAGTCATGTGCGGGATACAATCTACTGGTGCGCCGTTTTTTAAGCCTGTTGGAAAACCACAGTATTAGGGTGGAAGTGACCCGATTTTCCAGGTGCCGTCTGTCACCCCTTTCTTTGACTAGGAAAGGGAACACCCTGACCCCTTGCACTTGCTGAGTGAGGCAATGCCTTGCCATGCTTCGGATCGCGCACGGTGCACTGCACCCACTGTCCTGCGTTGACTGTCTGGCACTCCCTAGTGAGATGAACCTGGTACCTCAGATGAAAATGCAGAAATCACCCATCTTCTGTGTCACTCAGGCTGGGAGCTGTAGATCGGAGCTGTTCCTATTCGGCCATCTTGGCTGCCCTCCCTAATCTAGCAATGCAGGCCAATATTCAGATTCAGGATATAGAGAATGCCACAAAGATACTCCTCGAGAAGAGCAACTCCAAGACACATAATTGTCAGATTCACCAAAGTTGAAATGAAGGAAAAAATGGTAAGGGCAGCCAGAGAGAAAGGTCGGGTTAGCCTCAAAGGGAAGCCCATCAGACTAACAGTGGATCTCTCAGCAGAAACTCTACAAGCCAGAAGAGAGTGGGGGTCAATATTCAACATTCTTAAAGAAAAGAATTTTCAACCCAGAATTTCATATCCAGCCAAACAAAGCTTCATAAGTGAAGGAGAAATAAAATACTTTACAGACAAGCAAATGCTGAGAGATTTTGTCACCACCAGGCTTGCCCTAAAAGAGCTCCTGAAGGAAGCACTAAACATGGAAAGGAACAACCGGTACCAGCCATTGCAAAACCATGCCAAATTGTAAAGACCATCGAGGCTAGGAAGAAACCGCATTAACTAACGAGCAAAATAACCAGCTAACATCATAATGACAGGATCAAATTCACACATAACAATATTAACTTTAAATGTAAAGGGACTAAATGCTCCAATTAAAAGACACAGACTGGCAAATTGGATAAAGAGTCAAGACCCATCAGTGTGCTGTATTCAGGAAACCCATCTCACATGCAGAGACACGCATAGGCTCAAAATAAAAGGTTGGAGGAAGATCTACCAAGCAAATGGAAAACAAAAAAAGGAAGGGGTTGCAATCCTAGTCTCTGATAAAACAGACTTTAAACCAACAAAGATCAAAAGACACAAAGAAGGCCATTACATAATGGTAAAGGGATCAATTCAACAAGAAGAGCTAACTATCCTAAATATATATGCACCCAATACAGGAACACCCAGATTCATAAAGCAAGTCGTGAGTGACATACAGAGAGACTTAGGCTCCCACACAATAATAATGGGAGACTTTAACATCCCACTGTCAACATTAGACAGATCAATGAGACAGAAAGTTAACAAGGGTACCCAGGAATTGAACTCAGTTCTGCACCAAGCAGACCTAATAGACATCTACAGAACTCTCCACCCCAAATCAACAGAATATACATTTTTTTCAGCACCACACCACACCTATTCCAAAATTGACCACATACTTGGAAGTAAAGCTCTTCTCAGCAAATGTAAAAGAACAGAAATTATAACAAACTGTCTCTCAGACCACAGTGCAATCAAACTAGAACTCAGGATTAAGAAACTCACTCAAAACCACTCAACTACATGGAAACTGAACAACCTGCTCCTGAATGACTACTGGGTACATAACGAAATGAAAGCAGAAATCAAGATATTCTTTGAAACCAACGAGAACAAAGACACAACATACCAGAATCTCTGGGACACATTCAAAGCAGTGTGTAGAGGGAAATTTATAGCACTAAATGCCCACAAGAGAATGCAGGAAAGATCCAAAATTGACACCCTAACATCACAATTAAAAGAACTAGAAAAGCAAGAGCAAACACATTCAAAAGCTAGCAGAAGGCAAGAAATAACTAAAAGCAGAGCAGAACTGAAGGAGATAGAGACACAAAAAAAGCTTCAAAAAATTAATGAATCCAGGAGCTGGTTTTTTGAAAGGATCTACAAAACTGATAGACCACTAGCAAGACTAATAAAGAAGAAAAGAGAGAAGAATCAAATAGATGCAATAAAAAGTGATAAAGGGGGTATCACCACTGATCCCACAGAAATACAAACTACCATCAGGGAATACTACAAACACCTCTATGCAAATAAACTAGAAAATCTAGAAGAAATGGATAAATTCCTCGACACATACACTCTCCCAAGACTAAACCAGGAAGAAGTTGAATCTCTGAATAGACCAATAACAGGCTCTGAAGTTGAGGCAATAATTAATAGCCTACCAACCAAAAAAAGTCCAGGACCAGACAGATTCACAGCCGAATTCTACCAGAGGTACAAGGAGGAACTGGTAGCATTCCTTCTGAAACTATTCCAATCAATAGAAAAAGAGGGAATCCGCCCTAACTCATTTTATGAGGTCAGCATCATCCTGATACCAAACCCAGGCAGAGTCACAACCAAAAAAGAGAATTTTAGACCAATTTCCTCGATGAACATTGATGCAAAAATCCTCAATAAAATACTGGCAAACCGAATCCAGGAGCACATCAAAAACTTATCCATCATGATCAAGTAGGCTTCATCCCTGTGATGCAAGGCTGGTTCAACATACCCAAATCAATAAATGTAATCCAGCATATAAACAGAACCAAAGACAAAAACCACATTATTATCTCAATAGATGTAGAAAAGGCCTTTGACAAAATTCAACAACCCTTCATGCTAAAAACTCTCAATAAATTAGGTATTGATGGGATGTATCTCAAAATAATAAGAGCTATCTGTGACAAACCCACAACCAATATCATACTGAATGGGCAAAAACTGGAATCATTCCCTTTGAAAACTGGCACCAGACAAGGATGCCCTCTCTCACCACTCCTATTCAACATAGTGTTGGAATTTCTGGCCAGGGCATTTAGGCAGGAGAAGGAAATAAAGGGTATTCAATTAGGAAAAGAGGAAGTCAAATTGTCCCTGTTTGCAGATGACACGATTGTATATCTAGAAAACCCCATTGTCTCAGCCCAAAATCTCCTTAAGCTGATAAGCAACTTCAGCAAAGTCTCAGGATACAAAATCAATGTACAAAAATCGCAAGCATTCTTACACACCAATAACAGACAAACAGACAGCCAAATCATGAGTGAACTCCCATTCACAATTGCTTCAAAGAGAAAAAAATACCTAGGAATCCAACTTACAAGGGATGTGAAGCACCTCTTCAAGGAGAACTACAAACAACTAACTGCTCAATGAGATAAAAGAGGATATAAAGAAATGGAAGAACATTCCATGCTCATAGGTAGGAAGAATCAATATCTTGAAAATGGCCATATACTGCCCAAGGTAATTTATAGATTCAATGCCGTCCCCATCAAGCTACCAATGACTTTCTTCACAGAATTGGAAAAAACTGCTTTAAAGTTCATATGGAAACAAAAAAGGGCCCGCATCGCCAAGTCAATCCTAAGCCAAAAGAACAAAGGGAGGCATCATGCTACCTGACTTCAAACTATACTACAAGGCTACAGTAACCAAAACAGCATGGTACTGGTACCAAAACAGAGATATAGATCAATGGAACAAAACAGAGCCCTCAGAAATAACGCCACATATCTACAACTATCTGATGTTTTACAAACCTGAGTAAAACAAGCAATGGGGAAAGGATTCCCTATTTAATAAGTGGTGCTGGGAAAACTGGCTAGCCATATGTAGAAAGCTGAAACTGGATCCCTTCCTTACACCTTATACAAAAATTAATTCAAGATGGATTAAAGACTTAAACGTTAGAACTAAAACCATAAAAACCCTAGAAGAAAACCTAGGCATTACCATTCAGGACATAGGCATGTGCAAGGACTTCATGTCTAAAACACCAAAAGCAATGACAACAAAAGCCAAAATTGACAAATGGGATCTAATTAAACTAAAGAGCTTCTGCACAGCAAAAGAAACTACCATCAGAGTGAACAGGCAACCTACAAAATGGGAGAAAATTGTCGCAACCTACTCATCTGACAAAGGGCTAATATCCAGAATCTACAATGAACTCAAACAAATTTACAAGAAAAAAACAAACAACCCCATCAAAAAGTGGGCGAAGGACATGAACAGACACTTCTCAAAAGAAGACATTTATGCAGCCAGAAAACACATGAAAAAATGCTCACCATCACTGGCCATCAGAGAAAGGCAAATCAAAACCACAATGAGATACCATCTCACACCAGTTAGAATGGCAATCATTAAAAAGTCAGGAAACAACCGGTGCTGGAGAGGATGTGGAGAAATAGGAACACTTTTACACTGTTGGTGGGACTGTAAACTAGTTCAACCATTGTGGAAGTCAGTGTGGCGATTCCTCAGGGATCTAGAACTAGAAATACCATTTGATCCAGCCATCCTATTACTGGGTATATACCCAAAGGACTATAAATCATGCTGCTATAAAGACACATGCACACGTATGTTTATTGCGGCACTATTCACAATAGCAAAGACTTGGAACCAACCCAAATGTCCAACAATGATAGACTGGATTAAGAAAATGTGGCACATATACACCATGGAATACTATGCAGCCATAAAAAATGATGAGTTCATGTCCTTTGTAGGGACATGGATGAAATTGGAAATCATCATTCTCAGTCAACTATTGCAAGGACAAAAAACCAAACACCGCATGTTCTCACTCATAGGTGGGAACTGAACAATGAGAACACATGGACACAGGAAGGGGAACATCACACTCTGGGGACTGTTGTGGAGTGGGGGGAGGGGAGAGGGATAGCATTAGGAGATATACCTAATGCTAAATGATGAGTTAATGGGTGCAGCACACCAGCATGGCACATGTATACATATGTAACTAACCTGCACATTGTGCACATGTACCTTAAATCTTAAAGTATAAAAAAAAAAACAATGGGGAGGGTTCTGAGGGGACGAAGCACAGCAGGTCTATCACCCTTTTTATCTAATATCTCCTTTTCTAATCACAAGCACTTAAATTCTTCACCATTGCCAGAACCGTAAACAATATGAGAGATGGAAATCAACACCTAGGACATTAAAAATAACTGAAAAATCAGACAAATAGGGTGAAAATGATGTTTTACGCCTTATTAGTTTTCAGTTATTTTAAAGGAAGTCAGTGCTCGGAAACAGATTAAGAACAAGGACACTAGATAGACTTGATCCTATAGCTCCTTTATCTTCAATTGGTTGTAACACTTGTTTTTAAATTGTTACCTTCCTTCTGGGTTTTTCTTTTTCATGTCTTGACTTAATGATCCAAATTATTTTTCTACTTAAATGTAAATAAGGCAAGCGTATTACTATATTCATGTAGTGATCAGATATGAAGGGTAATCAAAAGGAAAACAAGGGTACTTTTTTAGTTCTTCTCACATATTTTGTCTTGGGCAGCCCTCTCACCCAATGTGGCTAGCTCGAGTATAATTTTCAGTTAAAGACAAGGATATAGAGGCTTCGAGAAAGCATAAGACTGCCTAAGGTCACTACTCCTTAAGTAACATGGATGCGACCAGGATCAGGCACCCTCACTTTAAAGTTTAATATTTTTCCACAGTACTACCACACCACCATTTCATCCACTTTAGTAACTTGGGCAACTGATTCTAATACATTTATTGATTTACTATAGAAATTCTTCATAAGGAAGTTATAGAAATAGCAAGAGAAGTTAATTATAACCAGTTTTTATCTATGTAGAATCCCCAGGACATATGGATTCTCTTCCTTTCCTACCAGAAGGAAAGAACCAGCTCCAGTGTGTGTGTACTCAGCACTGCTGTCACTCATAAAGATGCCTGTTGGTAACTGGCCAATGATGTGTCAGCGAGGCTCTGCTTTCAAATTTTGAAAATTATTTTTTCCATTCTGAGAACATGTGTATGTTAGATTTAAGAAAAATAGAGGCATATTGCTCAGAAAACAGGTCATATACAAAACAGCAAAAAAAATAATAATAGCCCAAACATTTCTTACCAGAGGAGGCTTATGAATTAGTTTTCCACATAGAGAAATGTTTTAATATAACAGTTGATACAAAGAAAGAAGAAAAAGCAGTATACACTTAAGAAGGAGGGTGAGGAAGCATGAGGCATAAAGCATCTGTTAGTCTATCAAATCAAATGAAGGATGCAACATCTAAAAAAGTTTTGAGAGATGAGTGTGAAAACCTTGAAAATAAAAAGAGCCTAGAAACTGAAGCACATTCTGTGTTTGCAGGTAACAGCACAAAGGGCTCCTGAGGCTCATACCCATTTCACTGTGAAGAGTTGCCACACCATTATTAAGTATGAATTGTCAGTCATGTCCAAGTAACTGATATTTCCTTTTCAACACTGTTTTTAAAATAACTATTGTAAGAATCTTACCCCTCTTATACCATCATTAATTTCCAGGATAAAGCTAAGTGAAAAATTATTGAGCATAATTCACAGGCAATATCAACACAATTTGAATTTGCTTCTTATATAGTGTTAATGTTGGGTGCTATTGTTTTGTGTTGAACAAAGAAATAGTCTGGAAAGAAATTGAGTTAGATAACTTAGACAATTTGGTTATTGTAGTAGTGTTTAAAAGGTTTTTATTATATCTAAATCCTGAAAATATAAAATTATTGATTTGATTGTGTTCTTAGACCAGTACTGTTTTTCAGATTGCTTTCTTTATTTAAACAGATAAGCCTCCATTTTTAGAAGTTGTGTATCTAGAAATCTAGCCCTTCATAAAAAATAAACTTTAAAAGGATCACTTACTTTAACAAAAGAGCCTCCATGTCATTTCTCTAACAATTACATTTTTCTTATTGATTTATAATGCCTTAAACAAAAAAAACCTCAAAATAAATTTCCTTCTGAATTACAATTAGTATTAATATTAATACAAAAATTATTTTTAAATATCTATAGGGGAGATTTTATTAGAGAGTACACTGTATTATCTCCACATCTCTACTTCACCAGACCAGGACAGCTTAGGGAAAAAAATTATGATTCCACAAACACAGTAATAAATGTTTTTCTAATGATCCTCTCGACCCACTGATGCAAATCCTTGGAAGTCTCCTCCATGGTTTTACTCATCTGCAAGAGAGATCTCAGGGGTACTAACTAAGAACTCTTCTCAACCTCAGCACACTCCTCAGGCACCATTGTCAGGAAGCTACCCCATGATGACTCATCCCCGGGACCAGCTTCTATGATGGATCTGTTTCCATCGCCTAGCCTTGTAAGAATGTGAGTTATCCAAAGGGGAAAGAAAAGATTCAAATAATATTCCATGTCATATAATTAATTTAATGTTCTGTCCCTTGTATTTTAAAATATAAGCATTTCTCTTAAAGCCCAAGGGTTCAGAAGGCAGATTAGATATGATATAATTCAAGATACAGATTAATTAAGAAACATAATTTGCATTTTGCCATTGATTCTCAAGGTGTTTTCTACAGACCTCCTACATCAGAGCCACCAGACACTGTGGATGGTACTTATTACAATGCATGTTCCATGGCTCCATCACAGATTTAGCGTATCAGCGAGTTTGCAGTAGGGTCCGAAACCTGGGTTCTTAAGAATCCTACCATGTGATTCTTTTCGGCGTGCAGAAGTAGAAATGTCTGCATGATGCAGGCCTCTCTTAACTGGATAGTGACACAGGATATGGTAATGTTTTAGCAGCAGGGGTAGTTTATTTTAACGGCTTTGTGTTTTGTTGGAAATATTACTGGATGATAGAAATGTGTAAAAAACACTGTGGTAGCGAAACAAGACAAACCATTGCTCTTGAGCAAATGAAATAAACTATTAAAGATGGTGTCTTAGGGATGTTTATCTTCTGAACCTGATGTTTAGTTTTTATAGCTATTCATTTATAGTTATAAAAGCATTTTATTATTTAAATTCTTACAAGAAAAATAACTTTTTTCTTAATCTGAAGGTCCCTTGTCCTTAATATCACTAGTTTTACTGGAAAATAAAACTGATATATTAATATCTTTATTTTTATTTTTATTTTCAGTTCTCTTAGGAACTCTCAAGTTACAGAGGAGCAGACTGCTACTTTATATATTACTCACACACCTATGAGGTACCCATTCTTATTATCATTTCATAGATAAATGAACAGAACCTCAAAAAGGTTAATTAACTTGACCAAAGTCACACAGCAAATAAGTGGTAAAGTTAACACAGCAAATAAGTGGTAAAGTTAACACTAGCTCCAAGTCCAGGGGACTTTCTATAACATCATGCTACTCACTTGAAAAAGTGTATTTTGTTTATTCACTTTCAAATAGCCACTCTTGTCTTCTATGCCCCTTAAGCATCATGATAATCCACAAATGGTATTATTTAAAAGGACAGGTTGATCAAATGGTTTTAATGGCAGTATTCCTTTTTAATAGGAATTCTAGAATAAACTAATAAAATATCATTGGTGTGTGTGTGTGTGTGTGTGTGTGTGTGTGTGTATGTTGCAAAGTGAATGAGGGATGGTTATTTTATGAATAATATTTATCTAAATGGACAAATAATTTCCCATTATGTCACCCATGCACTCTTTCTTTCATGATGTTCATATCTTGTACTGCAACTTTCTAAAGGGAAAGTATGTTATGTCAGGCTAGTTGTACAAACATGCCTTTCTCACTTTAAAAGCATATGTGGAACTTTGCAAGTAACCAACCACAGGCTACTAAAATATTCTCAGATTTGAGCCTTCTGCGCTATTCCAATTAAGGTGGATCTTTCTCTCCACGTGGGAATTGCTCTACATAACTGATTACCAAGCACATCATGTAAATGGTTCTTAGAAACTGCAAACAGCCCATTATGGAGAATCCACCTTATTAACAAAGGTCATATTAGAATCTCACCCTGGTAACTAATCACGTCAAATGTACAGTACATCAATAGGCACATAGACTAGGAAGCAGCGTTTTCCAATTAAGTGAATCAGTTTGACCTTCTGAACTATAAATAAACTGCAGCAACAGCTCCTGATTAGGCTTAAAGAGTCCAACTTCCATCTCAAACAAATGCCTCAGAATTTAAGCATACTTAGAAAGTTAATCCTGTAAAGAGTCAATGAACGGATTTAAAATTTCAGCATTTATGCCTTGGACCTGAGTTTTCTCAAATTTCTGCAGTGCAGGCAGAATGGGAATGGTATCCGTCTAAATAGATAAACAAAGCCTGAATTAGTTTTACCCTCCCTCGGGATAACCAATTTAACAGGAGCAAACCCATTTTCAAAACAGAATAAAATATTTACTTCCCTAAGTAATTACAGGGCTTGGTTGGACTACTACCACTACATAAAAATATGCAATTAACTATACTCAGTGGAAACTTCAAGTACTTGTCAAAACATATTTTGACCCTTATTTATTTTTATCTGATGTCCATCCTAGAACTAATTCAAAACCCATTCACCCAATTTAAATCTGAAGTTAAAATGCAATCTAGTTACTTAATTTAACATCATTATACTTAGTAACAAGGCTGACACTGCTAACCCATCTTCAAAAGAAAGTACACTTGAGTTATTCTTCTAGTGTTGGTAATGGATTTCCATAACCTTTCTAAGCATTAGTTTTCTCATTTGTAAAATGAAGGACTTGGAATAAATAAGTGTCAAGCTTCTTATAGCTCCACAACTTCTATGTATCTCTGCATGTACATGGCCTACCAAAGTGCAGGCATTGTTTAATCAGATAGAAATGATTAATTTTCAGCAGTATTCATTGCAATTTTAAGAATTTATGGGAGAGAAATGATAAACAAAGAAGAGTATAAATTCCCTCAAGTCAGATAAGTAATGCCTAGTATATTTTCCTATGAGTAATAAAAGAGATGTAATAATTAGGGATACAAGCTCATTTTATATACAGATAATTTTAGAATTTTTATATGAATCCTTCAGTGTCTCAAAATATCTTTGAATAGCTATGTAGGCTTTTTCAATTTATGTTAAAGTCCGGACTCTGATAGGAGTTGGCAGAGACTCAGTTCCTTCATATAATTTTCTCTTTTAGTTATGCAGGAACACTGCAAACAACAAGCCATACTTAGAAATTTCTCATATTAAGTCCTACCACTTAAATTGGTGAGATCTTCACTTATTGGATTTAATGGTGCCAATTATTCCTAGGCAGGGAGAGAGGAAGGGAGAGAAATCTTCTTTTACCAAAATCTTTGGTTAAATACACAGAGTATTTATTTCAAATTTTGAGAAAATATAATGTGATATTGAAATTCAAAATTGATCTTCATCCCATGAAGGTTGAGATTCAAAATTTTGCTTGACTGGTGTAACGGTTGGAAAATGAGCTCATCATCTAATATTCTTGGGTGAAATCTTGGCTTTTGATAATATATTTCCCTCCAGTTTTGCACATATTACAAAAGAACTTACCACGACATGCATAAGTGTCTGAAGTGAAACTGTGAAGTTTCACTAGTTCTTTACTTTTTTCTCCATTTATGTACTGTTGTGTGCCCCTGGGGTGCTTTCATCCTCCAGATAGCACCATTTTTCCATCTCAAAGAAAGACATCTGACAGGTAGATTCACACAGAAGCTCTTGTGACTTAATATATTCTTCTTTCCAGAAGAACTAATATATTTGAAAGAGGGTTAGAGGGTTAACTCCAGTGGCTGAATTGCAATTAATAATATGCTACCCAAATAAATAAAGATATGTCTGATCAAAAGAATCTTCTGGATACCCTTCTTATTCTGTAACACAGGCAGGTGGCTATTATTCTTTCTTCTCACAAGGCTCTGAGAAGGTGCTGAGACAATGTAAGCTCATAAGGGTTGGTAGTTTTATTCACTTTATTTACTGCTTTTACTCAACACCCAGAACAGTTCCTGACACAGAGTAAGAACTCAATAAATATAAATTAAACATAAAAATGTTTGCTGCCAAAATTCATACATGTCAACCCATGGGTGGTAGGGACTGCAGATACTTGGTTGTGGAACACATTATCTTGGGAACTCCAGGTATAAGTGGAAATGGGCTGCAGAAGTGTAATGAGAAAAGGTGATGGAGACTGGCATGAGTGTACCAAAATCATTTTCTCTTTCTTCTGAGCAGAGAGCTACACTAAATTTCCCAGCCTCTCCTGCAGTTAGATGTGGCCATGTGAGTGGGTTTTAGCTTCTTGACATTGGGCTGAAGTGATTTGGACAGCAGCCAGTTTTAGTTCTTCGAAACCTCCTGTAGGATCCTTTAAACTTTCTCTTACTCCTTGCCCAGATAAAAGAAGAGCCATCAGAACACTCCAAGCCCTATGAGAAGACAGAAGGAGGCCGGATACTGAATGAAGATAAAGAAGGCCCCTGTTGAACAAGAGTGTGTTGGAATTTTTTGTGGGTGAGGAGTATCCGTTATCACCTTTAATTGTAAAAGGGAGCAGAAAGGACCATTCAGAGGAGCAGTGGTGAAGCAAGACAGAGCAACGGGCACCAGGACAAAGGGTCTAGAAATGTGGTTGGAAACATTGGTAGACTGGGGCATAAAAGAAGTAGGCAAATAGATTATGTAGAGTCAGAGTTTGATGTTAGGAGATGAGGAGAATTGGTCATCAGATCAGCAAATGAATGACTATAACTGCCGTGCTGTTGTAACCATAAAAGATTGTTAATGAATGAAAGCTAAAGAACCATAACAGTGTGCTTGAGAGAAAAATATTTAAAAATATTAATAAGACAGATGCTTGATGAGAATGGCACAGTAGTGACTTGACATATGTCTTTGAAATCAAAATTTGATCCTTATTCCCTAAGTTCCCTGTTTCTCAACAAAAAGATGATGAAAAATGAAAGGAAATAAAAGGAATCTGATGAAGTGCAAAGTCTACTTGGAAATAAACCATATAAAGAATGATTCTATTTTTTTATGTTGGAAACTTTAGCAATTTTAGATTAAAAGATTCACTGCTGCTACTGATGTGGAATAGGCTCTGGTTCCTAGGGTACCAGGCAAATGCTTTAAGAGAAGAGGAAGTCACAAGTAAGTTTGTCTGCTTGACTAGTTATTTAGAAATATAGTCTGCCAGTATCTGTGTGTGCTCTGAGATTCAAGAAGAACGTGAAAAATTAGAGGCCTCCCTATTAGAACAAGGGCAAACATAGAGACCACTCCTGTCAGTTAAATGCTTGTCTTCATTGCAGTTGGGTAGCTTCAGCTTTGTTATAGGCATTTCCTTTTTTCTGAAAAAAATAGGCATTTTAGGATTTTATTAAGATGAGTTTTCAGGGACAGAGTAAAATAGAAGAGGACATTTTTCCAATGAACTCTGAGGCAAATGTTTACTGAAGAACAGCCATTAATTAATCTGGGGACAATAAAACCCTTTTCCTGTCCTATCTCCAGTTAATAATGCATGACTAAAAGTTATGTTCTAACTGTAAATCAGGACAAACAACACATACCACAAACTTATTTCTCTCTCAAGTCCAATAGTTTGATATGTGTGATGTTATAAAATTCCCACTTCGGGCTGCACATCTAATGCTATCTTTGAAAATGTGCTAACAAACTTGAAAGTACTGGGGCTTTTTAATACATTTTTATTACAATGAGAATTTTGAAAAATGAAATCTGACGCTTCTTACTCAGAACATAATGTGAATGCAGAATAGGAAATAAGAGTATGGAAACAGAATTTATGCCACACGGTAGGACTGTCTTAATTCATTATCTAGAATAGAATACTTTTTCTTTCACTTATTACATAATCATTTTTATGTTGCTTGCACATTTTTACATGAGAATGTGTTTTTCTCGAGAAGATTTTATATAGTCAAACTGACTCTGGGGAAGAGGGGCTGGGATAGCCCATTAATAATGTGTGAGGAACTCTGATGCTGCCTTCAAAAATGTACAGACCATTAGAAACTGTATTGAAGCGAAACTCTAAAATTTTAAGGAAGATATTTTTGAACTCTGGGAAGAACTGGTGAGTAGAAAATTAACTCATCATTTGGATTTATAATAAGCTGGTTCAAACAAATTGGGCTCGTTTAAAAATATCACCAATGCTGAAAATTATGAGTTATAAATTCATGAACTTATCATAACCAGAAACTTAAAGACACACTGAATACTAACCTCAAGACAGTCCAGCTAAGCTACTAAGTGCCTTTGTAAATTGGATAAGTTACTGAATCCCATTGATACCTATTTCTACACAGTAAAAAGGAAAAGTTAAATTAGGCTTGTGTTTTTCAAAATTTGATGCATTAGAGTTTTATAAACTGGAGACTTTGTGGGGAGAATACTGGTGTGGTAGTAGGATCTAAATTGAATGGCCAACTGTCATAACGGGAATTAATATAATTTGTGGTTATCTCATGACTCCAGTGATTCTAAGAATAAAAAAATAGGATTTCTGATGAATCCGGTGGTTTTCTTCTTACCTTAGAAAACAGACAGTCATCACAAAGACATAGAAGGTGCAACTTAAAGTGAGGGTAAAGGATAAATCAGACTGATTATCTTAAGCCTAGTTGTCATCAGAGATGAGGTCAGAAAGGAAAGCACTATGAGCAACTTTGGAATGGTTTCCCTTGGTGAGGGGTCTTCTGTATAACCTCAATAGGGGAAAACTTCACCAGTCATAGAAACTTTCACTGTGGCACCCGTGGTTTATAATGTTTCAGGAACATCTGGGCAACATTCTGGGAGGGATTTTGTGGAGGAAAGTAACAATGGAAGCAGGGATTCAATCAGCCAGAAGTAAACAGAGATGCAAATTCCAGTTGTGCTTATTTAAACAGGCATTTCCAATCACAATGGTAATGGTATCATCATCTATGGCAATCAGTTGAGACTGAGAGAGGAACAGAAAGTTAACTTTAGGGCCTGCAGTGAGATGGAGTCACGTTTCTCAGATGACATTAGTGGCAACAGCAGAAAGACTGGCAATTGCACTGGTGCTCTGGTAAGCAGTGCCAGTTTGTTGATACTGGCAGATTTGGTAGAGGTTGTAAGTTACAGGATGCCTGGTATGCCTCAATTATAAATGGTGCAGGATGCCTGGTTTGCTCCAATTATAAGTGGTGCAGACCTTATTAGCAGTTTCAAGAATGAAGATGGTGTGGTGGGACTGTTGGGAAGCAGCATTCAAGTATTAGTGTTGGTGTGGATCATTTGGAGACTCCTGGAGCATTGGTGAGGGGAGTTCTGGTGATATCATGGAGAAAACGGTTCTGTTGGTGGAGTCAGACATGCTGTTAGGAGAATGAAAGAGCATTTGTTGTTGCTATAAAATTGATAAACCTAAATTGAAATCTGCATGGTCAGAGTCATACATGATTTCTCTAAATGGCTAATGGTGTATCAAGACTTAATGGAACACTGCCTTTTGGTATTAGTAGATATGGCAGAACCTGAAGCTGAGTTTCACGTTAAAAATGTGTCATTATTTGTAATTCTATTATGTAATTTTTTGTTTCATTTGTACAACTCCTAAAATACAATCAGTGAAGAAACCAAAAAGCCAGTATGTAGTTTCTTAGCCTTAATTTTCTTATATAAACTATTAATCAAGATGGCAATGGCTTTTGAATCAAAGGGCTATAATCAAACAGCTAGAATTCTGCTTCCAGCTATGATAAAGTAACTAAGATGAGAGTAGCATTCATGCCATTAAACCACCAAAAACTGAACACATTATATGTTCTTCTGAGCGAAGAGAAATTTGTGGGACAATCCCATAATGCCTTGCTCCACCTGGGGACAAATTCCTGTGTGGCCTAATGAGCATCAGAGACCAGCTGGGCTGAAGGGATAAAGATCAGTTTAGGGAGGTTGAAGTGATGAGAATTTGTAAGGAAGGAAGCATACTATGAAAGAAAATTCAATGGGGCTAGGGAGCAAGATTTAAATGAAGTTACTTTCAACTTCTTTGGTGAGTATTGAGCTATTAATGCAAAGATTCATTCTCATACTTGTACCAGCCACTGTTAGTTAAACACACAGTTAACAGAGAGTGGCTGGTACAAGTTTGGAAAAGGAAAAATGACATTTGAAGTTAGGCAATGCTAGGGGACTTTTTTATTTTCCTGTGGCCAAGTTTTATTTATTTTCTTTTTTCTTTTTACTTTTACAACTGTTATTTTTAGCTTCGTGGGATTGTGCAGGTTTGTTACATGGATAAATTGTGCGTCATTGAGGTTTAGGGTACAAATGGCCCCATCACCAAGGTGGTGATCATGGTCCTTGATAGGTAGTTTTTCAACATTCACTTCCCTCACACGCTTCCCCCACTAGTAATCTCCAGTGTCCATTGTTTCCATCTTTATGTCCGTGTGTACTCAGTGTTTAGCTCCTACTTATATGTGAGAACATGCAGTATTTGGTTTTCTGTTCCTGCATTAGTTCACTTAGGATAATGGCCTCCAGCTTCATCCATGTTGCTGCAAAGGCCATGATTTCATTCTTTCTATGACTGTGTAGTATTCCATGGTGTATATGTAACACATTTTCGTTACTCATTCCACTGTTGCTGGGCATTTAGGTTGATTTCAAGTTTTTGTTATTATGGATACTGCTGCAGTGAACACACAAGCGCATGAGTCTTTTCAGTAGAACAATTTATTTTCCTTTGGATATATACCCAGTAATGGGAATGCTGGGTTGAATGGTAACTCTGTTTTAAATTCTTTAGGAAATTTCCAAACTGCTTTCCACAGTGGCTGAACTAATTTACATTCCTACCAACACTGTATAAGTGTTCCCTTTTCTCTGCAACCTCGCCAACCTCTATTTGTTTGTTGGTTTTACTTTTTTAGTAATAGCCATTCTGACTGGTGTGAGATGGTATCTCATTGTGGTTTTGATTTGCATTTCTCTAATGATTAGTGAGTGACATTGAGCATTTTTTCATGTATTTGTTGGCCGCATGCATGTCTTCTTTTGAAAACTGTCTGTTTATGCCCTTCGCCCTTTTTTTTAGTGGGGTTATTTGCTTTCGCTTGTTGAATTGTTTAAGTTCCTTATAGATTCTGGATATTAGACCTTTTTCAGATGCGTAGTTTGAGAATATTTTCTCCATCCTGTAGGTTGTCTGTTTACTCTGTTGATAAATTTCTTTGCTGTTCAGAAGCTCCTTAGTTTAATTAGGTCCTTTATTTTTGTTTTCGTTGCAATTGCTTTTAAGGACTTAGCTAAAATACTTGCCATGGCCAATGTCCAAAATGATATTTCTTAGGTTTTCTTTTAGGATTTTTATTGTTTCAGATCTTATATTTAAGTCTTTAATTCATCTTGAGTTTTTTTTTTTAATGTGTAGTGAAAGGTGGGGGTCCAGTTTTGTTCTTCTGCATATGCCTAGCCAGTTATCCTAAGTGCTAGGATGCTTCTGAGAACTAGTCCTGCTGGAGTGGTGAGATATTTCATAAGCTACTGGCATCCAGCTGAGATGCCAGAAAGACTGCACAGTAGAAGTATGGACTACTTTACAGTAGATAAACAATGTAAGTTTTTAAGTCTTTCTCTAAATTTATTTTGAAGTTATAGAACAAATAACCAGAGTAATTGTTGATGTGTATTTATTATCACCAAAACAGAGGTTTAGGAATTATAATAAGTTTAACAAATAACTTGGAATAAAGTTACTATATCAAAAAATTCAGAGCAAAAATTAGAAGATTCTAGATTAGATTTAGATATGGTCTGGCTGTGTCCCCATCCAAATTTCATCTTGAACTCCCACATATTGTGAGAGGGACCTGGTGGAAGGTAATTGAATCATCGGGCAGGTCTTTCCCATACTGTTCTCATGACAGTGAATAAGTCTCATGAGATCTGATAGTTTTAAAAACAGGAATTTCCATGCACAAGCTCTCTTTTTGCCTGCTGCCATCCATATAAGATGTGACTTGCTCCTTCTTGCCTTCTGCCATGATTCTGAGGCCTTCCAAGCCATGTGGAACTGTGAGTCCAATTAAACCTCTTGCTTTTGTAAATTGCCCAGTCTCAGATACGTATTTCTCAGTAATGTGAAAATGGACTAATACAGTAAATTGGTACCACTACAGTGGGGCACTACTGAAAAGATACCAGAAAATGTGAAAGCAACTTTGGAACTGGGTAACGGGCAGAGGTTGGAACAGTTTGGAGGGCTCAGAATAAGACAGGAAAATGTGGGAATGTTTGGAACTTCCTAAGGACTTGTTGAATGGCTTTGTCCAAAATGCTGATACTAATATGGACAATAAAGTCCAGGCTGAGTTGGTCTCAGATGGAGATGAGAAACTTGTTGGGAACTGGAGCAAAGATGACTCTTGCTGTGTTTTAGCAAAGAGACTGGTGGCATTTTGTCCCTGCCCTAGAGATTTGTGGAACTTTGAACTTGAGAGAGGTGATTTAGGGTACCTGTTGGAAAAAAAAAATTTCTAAGCAGCAAAGAATTCCAGAGGTGCCTCGGGTGCTGTTAATGGCATTCAGCTTTATAAGGGAAACAGAACATAAAAGTTTGGAAAATTTGCAGCCTGACAATGTGATAGAAAAGAAAATCCCATTTTCTGAGGAGAAATTCAAGCCTGCTGCATAAATTTGCATAAGTAACTAGGAATGTTAATTTCCAAGATAATGGGGAAAATGTCTCCAGGTCATGTCAGAGGTCTTCACAGTAGCCCCTCCCATCACAGGCCCCGAGGCCTATGCAGAAAAAGTGGTTTTGTGGGCCAGGCCCAGGGTCCCCATGTTTTGTACGGCCTAGGGACTTGGTGCCCTGCATCCTAGCTGCTCCAGCCATGGCTGAAAGGGGCCAACATACAGCTCAGGCTGTTGCCTCAGAAGGTCCAAGCCTCAAGCTTTGGCAGTTTCCATGTGGTGTTGAGCCAGCCAGTGCACAGAAGTCAAGAATTGTGGTTTGGGAACCTCTGCCTAGATTTCAGAGGATGAATGGAAATGCCTGAATCTCCAGACAGGAGCTTGCTGCAGGGGTGAGGCTCTTATGGAGAAACTCTGCTAGGGCAGTGCAGAAGGGAAATGTGGGGTTGGAGCACCCACACAGAGTCCCTACTGAGGAACTGCCTAGTGGAGCTGTGAGAAGAGGGCTACCATCCTCTAGACCCCAGAATGGTAGATCCACTGACAGCTTATACCGTGTGCCTGGAAAAGCCACAGGCATTCAACACCATCCTGGGAAAGCAGCCAGGAGGGAGGCTGTACCCTGAAAAGCCACAGGGGTGGAGCTGCCCATGACCGTGAGAACCCACCTCTTGCATCAGAGTAACCTGGATGTGAGACATGGAGTCAAATGAGATTATTTTGGAGCTTTAAGATTTGACTGCCCTGCTGGATTTTGGACTTGCATGGGACCTGTAGCCCCTTTGTTTTGGCCAATTTCTCTCATTTGGAATGGCTGTATTTACCCAAGGACTGTACCCCCACTGTATCTAGGAAACAACTAACTTGCTTTTGATTTTACATGCTCATAGGCAGAAGGGACTTGCCTTGCCTTGGATGAAACTTTGGACAGTGGACTTTGAGTTAATGATGAAATGAGTTAAGATTTTGGGGGACTGTTGGAAAGGCATGACTAGTTTTGAAATGTGAGGACATGAGATTTGGAAGGGGTCAGGGTGGAATGATATGGTTTGGCTGTGTCCTCACCCAAATCTCATCTTTAATTTCCATGCATTGTGGGAGGGACCCCATGGGAGGTAATTGAATCATTTGGGCAGTTCTTTCCTGTGCTGTTCCTGTGATAGTCAATAAGTCTCATGCGATCTGACTGTTTTAAAAAGAGGAGTTCCCCTGCACAAGCTCTCTTTTTGCCTGCTACCATCCATGTAAGATGTGACTTGCTCTTTCTTGCCTTCCACCATGATTCTGATGCCTCCGCAGCCACGTGGAATGGTGAGTACAATTAAACCTCTTTCTTTTGTAAATTGCCCAGTCTCAGGTATGTCTTTATCAGCAGCATGAAAACGGACTAATACAGATTTCAAGAATGCAAATTTCAGTTCAAATATTTGCAAAGACATGGGCTAAAATTGAAATAATAAAATATAAATATAAAAGTGGCATAGAGTAGTAAACAACAAGCCAGGGAGTCAAAACCCTTAAATAAAATCTAAAGAAAGAGAAGAGCAATAAAATAATGAGAGATGTTTTGAAATATATGAATGTATTCTTATGTTTTATACTTGCTTGTGACTAACCTTCCTTTTGTTCAGACAGAGGCATCTAATGCCTCAGGGAGTATAAGACTTTTAGAACAAGAATTAAAAGAGAAGGAAAAAGACATCATTCAGGCTTTTAATTTCAAGCATCTCAAGTTTATTATATGTTATCATGTTGAAATTCAGGGATTGCTGAAATTGATAAAAGTTTTATCTCCAAACCAGACCTGTCATATATGTTGGTTCAGGTTAAGCCTAGCCCACAAGTGTCAAGGAATACTACTCATGTCACTGACATTTTTATGCCTTTAAGATTGTTCTGTATTAGAAACCATGAAATTGCCAATATTTCATTGTTTTAAGCTATAAAAATGGGAAGTCTATGTAATTGAAGTTAGTGTTACATTTTTAACCTTTTTCACTCTATGTTTGGGCAATGTATAGGCTTATTATGAAAATTCCTTGCACATGACATTAAAAGGTCTTGTTCTAATAAAAGTGATTCATGACAATAAGTTTTCTAGTCATAATATAGAAGTAAAATATCTTATTCTTGCAGAATTTATGTATTAATACACCACTCTGTTTTGACTTATGCAGGAGGAATGCATTTGATAGCAAAGCTTGTTAATCTAACAAAATTTAAAATAAAGCTGTGTTTCTACACAAGAATGTCATCTTTTTATTTTCTTGAAATTAAAAGAAAAAAATTTCTATTGTAAATGAGCCAGAAAAGTTGATATATAATATTGTTCTTTATATAACCTGCCATTTATGTATAGGACTAAAATGATATTGCAGAGTTTACAATGTAAGTGGACAAGTAACTTAGTCATATAAATCACTATTTAATAATTAATAATCACTGATTTTCAATAATCACAAAATGAACATTGCATAGATATAAATGATCACATTTATAGTTATAAATTTTCAGCTAATTGTCTTGGCCAGTTGTTTTGGAGCAATTGTTCTTTTGTTGTTGTGAAAATTTTGTCAGTATAAAAATTGCTTGTTGTTGAAATTTATGAGTTTATCATGCACTATTCTTTTAAATTCTTACACATTGTAAAATGGTTTCTAAGCTATTATATATTATTTTCTCCACTGTCAGGATAAGAAGATAAGTTTTAGAGAATAAAATGGGAAGCCATCAGAAAAGTAAATGAAAGAAAATCTTTTGAATCATTTGAATACATTTTTGAAGAAAATAGATGGAATGCTATAAAAAGGACAAGATTTCTGAGCCATTATATTCAGTATAATGTAGCACTAATATGTCATTGATGGAGAAGGATATGAATTTAGCGTCTATCTTCATGTCAGCCGTAAATGATAAAACTGAAGAAAAACCGAGAGAAAATATACATGAAAAATCCATTAACCAAATGTATTTTCTGAAGATCTGGATACCTGACAATATAATCTGAATATTAAACAATGGAAAAATTTTAAATTGCCAAATGACAGAAAAGACTTCAAAAGCATTAATGAGTTCTTCCAAATTCTTAAAAATATAATAGATTCTGGTTACTTCATTGCAAACCAAAGTATTTTATATATTTTTATATTACAAATTAGGTAGACAGAAAATATTCACCCGAAGACTGAGAAGGTGGATAATGTATGAAAAACATAGGCAGTATTTATTAAATTTTCTTGGCAAACATGAAGAGAGCAAAAATAATGGTAAGTATTCAAAATTGAAATCGGATAAACTATTGAAGCTTTCTAAACAGAGAGTAAGTTAGAAAAAGAAGGATGTTGGCAAGCACTTTAGAACAAATTATATACACAATTTATTTTTTACTAAAGCAACTACTAGTGTTCAGAGTATAATCCAGGAAATTCTATGATATATTATGGGATTTTCTTCTATTGCAGAAAGTCTATCAAAACAAGTATTTTTGGCACTTTATTCAGTCAGAGGCATAATCTTAGAAGGATCATAGACCTTCTTAGTAGAGTACTTAAAGAAAAATAAAACCAACTTACATTTAGACAGAAAAGGTAATCTGAGATTTCAGAGATAGAACAATGCTGCCATATCATTGGAAAAGAGGATAGAAGATCTTCAAAATAGTTCGAAGGATGTACATTTCTTGTTCTGTGCGTTCTCTGAATTTGGTGGTAATGAGGTAAAAAGCTTTATTGATTCCAGTATATTTTAAAAACTTTTCAGCTTAAACAAATGTTGAAGTATACTAAATTTGAAACCATTGCCAAAATGGCAATGGAAAACTCAAAGTGATGCCTTCATGTCACAGAACATTAATTAAAGGATATTACTTTAATGATTTTTTTTTTTTAGAAATTGTCGTTGTATGAATAAAGATCTAGATTCTATGGTGCAAAAACAGATATATTTTAAAAATATATACTTTTTACATTTCTTTGGTCTGTACTAAAAATTGAAGCAAAATTAATGCATGAACAAAAGTCAAAATATGAAAGCCTCTGAAACCATTGAAGAGATTATGAAATTCTTTGAAGAAACCAATTTGTTGATGTTTAAAAAGATATTGTTAATGCTAAATAAATTATACATTATTGTTATTGACATCAATTTATCCAATTCAAAACACACTAGGAAAAGAATAAAGAGACTCCATTTGACTGTAAAGCTCACAGTCAGCACATCTATAACTGAAATATAATCTCAAAATTATTATTTCCATAGAATATAATTTCTTCCTTAAAAATAAATTTGCTGGCCGGGCACAGTGGCTCATGCCTGTAATTCCAGCACTTTGGGAGGCCAAGGTATAATTCCAGCTACACGGAGGCTAAGGCAGGAAAATCCCTTGAACCCAGGAGGTGGAGGTTGCAGTGAGCCGAGATCATGCCACTGCACTCCAACCTGGGTTACAGAGCGAGACTCTGACTCAAAATAAATAAATACAATACAATAAAATAAAATAAATTTGCTGTGTGAAAATAATTAGATTTTTTTTTGTGTTTTAAATGGCATATATATTTACCAATGAAAATAAACACAGTAAGAAATGTGCTATTGATAATATCTCTATTCTTGAAGAACTAAAATACTTAAATTTTATAAAACCTAGTACAGTTTCCATTATAGTTTTCAAATATATTTAGACACAAATATTTTTGATACCCTTTAAAATACCTTTGTAGCACCAACTATATTAATGTTGCCAGTGAAGAAAGTAGTTACTAGTAAAATATATTAAAAATTACTAAAAGTTCACCATGTCACATGGCTTAAAACCAGCCATAATTTTTAAATAGGAAACAATTATTGGAGCAAATACACATGGGAATTGTAGTAAACTCTTTTATTTCCATGAAAACAAGGCATATAAGTAATTTGTTGATAACAAATTATTTGTTGGTCATCCTAGTGACCTTAAATTTTAATGATTTTAATTAAAGTTTCAAAGTTGTTATTTTTGAATTTCAAATCATATAATTTGTACAAAATGACTTTATATTTCTTTTCACTGTTAGTGTTAAGAAATTAAAAATATACTAAACTTCACTCATTTTTTTCACTTCAGTAAAAGGTGATTTTTTATTTGTTTGCCCACAGCCATTCTGCTCCAGATACTTCCTTTTACATTTCAAGAGCCTTGCCTGGCGGACTCAAATCAGAATTTTATTGTAAGTCATAGGGTAGATGATATGATATTTAATATAAGGAAAGAGAAAGAGATGAAGGAGAAACTGCTGTGCGTGGTAAATGGAGCCAGAGGAAGGGTGATTTATGAGAATGTTGCCTGAGATCATCACTGAAATGAGAAGAGAAAAGAGAGTTCCATTGGAGAGCAGGAAAAAAAAATATGGTATTACATTTGATTTTTTAAATTTACTGTGTATTTTAGAAACAAAACAACAAGAAGGCTTAAAGCTTTGTTAGCCCAAAGCACTGTTTGAAAACTGGGATAGACTAAGATACTTTTAGTGGCTCATTGAAGGTCTCATCACGCTGCCTCATTCTTCCCATTATTGAGTGGGAATTGGGATTCCCACTAATGTATCTGTATTAGAGATTAGATACATTTCTGATAGAAACACAACTTACAGGCTGGGCGCCGTGGCTCATGCCTGTAATCCTAGCATTTTGGGAGGCCGAAGTAGGTGGATTGCCTGAGCTCTCAGGAGTTCGAGACCAGCCTGGGGAATACGGTGAAACCCCGTCTCTACTAAAAATACAAAAATGTTTGCCGGGCGTGACGGTGTGCACCTGTAATCCCAGCTACTCGGAAAGCTGAGACAGGAGAATCGCTTGAACCTGGGAGGCGAGATTGCAGTGAGCTGAAGATTGCACCATTGCACCCTAGCCTGGTGACAGAGCTAGACTCCATCTCAAAAAAAAAAATAATAATAATTTACACATTTACCCATCTGAACTGTAGGGTGTAAATTTAAACTCATGCTACACTAACATTTACTTAATAACTATTATGCTGTTAAGATGTGCTAAGCCTTTTATATCTATTCATTTAATATTCAGAAAAGTTCATGAGGTGGATTTAGGGAGATTAAGCAAATGCCCAAATTATAGAAAATCATTTGCCTGGTCAAAGATTTGTGTTCTTTGCACTTTGTACTGCCTCTTAATAACAAAAAATTGTTTGCATTTATTTATGGAGGAAGAATATAGATGGGGATGAAGGAGGAGAAGGGGAAGAGAGGAAGGCTCTGCCACAAAGAGGGTGAGATGGAGAAAAAGGAGACAGTTGAATAGCGGGAGGGAAAGGGAAGAAGGTAAGAAGATAAAGAAGAAAGGAGGGAGGGAAGGAGAGAGAGAGGGAGGGGAGAAGGAAGGAAAGAAAGAAGTCAGGGAGGAAACAGCCACACTACTTGCAGTTAGAGGTATAAATATTAAAGAGAAAGACCTGAAGAGATCAGAACAACTGAAATTTCTTTTGTGACCGTCCACTCAGACAAAGCAAATGATGTCTGGAATGAAAGAGAAAAACAAATACATCTCAAAAGTGTAAATGATTGGATTCTAAAGGTGAGTTTTTAAATTTCTCTTGCTCCATGATTGGATCCTATTCTATAAGGTAATGTGTAGAAGAAATATTAGAGTAGCTTTTAAGAATTAAAAAGACTAAGAGAAATGCCAAAAAAGAAGATAGAAAGTTGTAATTCTGATTTTCACCATGGTAATACAGGTCTAGAAAAAAATAGCTTTATCAGATGGATTTATAACTGGTGGATAGTGTTCAAACAGGATCACTTAGTCCTTCCCACCCAGCAGTGAGATCCCAGTCCAAAGACTTCTGCCCTCCCTCCCCACACAGGGAGCTCCCCCAGCAGCCTGCTGCGCTCCACAGGCTACCCAGTACACCCATGTACACGCTTGCACACTGAAGCACAGAGCACTGCCTATATCCAGCCTGGCCAGGCCCTCGGCACGCCAGGCATGTCTGCCGGATGGAGAAACAGGAAGCCTGCGTGTGCGGCCAGAGTGCGCCAGAGGCTGGGTGGGGGATGGTTTGATTTCACACTGGAGGGGGACTTTTAGCACAGAAACAGTGAGTTTGTCTCTCAACATTTGATAGCAAATAGTCTACATTTTATATAGTAATGACTTATGTGGAAGGGGAAGGGACACAGAATTTGCAAATTACACAAAACTGAAAGGGATAGAAAAACATTTCATGGTGAACACTAAATGCAAATTGATGTCAATATGTTGCTTTGATAAATTAAATGTTAAAAAATAAACCATCTTGAACTTTATTTAAAAAAGGGACTCCTCAGATATAAAATAAAAGCTATGAGGCTTATACACGTGGGCTTTCAGATGACCTGACCTTCAATATGAATTGTTGTTGTCATGCGGCTGCTGGTAAATCTACCTTGAGCCTCGATTTTATTAAAAAGAGACATTTTCTCAAAAGAGAAAAACATGACTAGTTCTGTACACCATTCTTTCAAGGAGACAGAGGAAAAGGAACAAACAGGGTATATTTGGAGATAGTGACCAATGCAGGGCCAAAGCGAATTGCAGACCTTTGAGAAACCAAGCTTCATCCAGACTGCCTTCTTAAAAGCCTGTAAGGTGAAAAGCCAACGTGCTTACTCCATAGAAGCTCTAGTTCTGTGGAAATAGTGTTAATGCATAAAGATTGTGGAGAAACTGATTTTGACTTAAGGCAAGGCCATATTTCTCACAATCACAACTGATTGAATAGTAGGTTTCCCATCACAGAAGGTCTTCAAATACAAGTTTGATGATCAGCTGGGGCAAGGTATTTTGTATCGTTCATTGCTTTTGTCACCTGTTCCCAAATAACCCTTGGCACACATTAGCCACCAAGAAATATTTATTGAATAATTAAATAGAAAGGAGTTACAACCAATATATATTAAGCAGTCATTATTGGTCAAGCATAGCTAATTTTCCAAAACGCTATAGTAGGAACAGTTATTTTTATTTTGTAGCTCAGAGGAATGAAGCTAACAAAGACAAAGTCATTTGTCCAAGCCACCCAGGAGATAAGTGATTAGAGGCAGGATTATAATTGCAGCCTATCTGTCCCAAGTGTTTCAAGATTCAGAAGATTGTTGGCCCAGATAATTTACAAGGTTCTTTCACCAAACATTCCATTATGTATGCCAACAGGAAGAACTTGAATTTACCAACTGTTAGTACATTAGAACCAATTTGTTCACTGTATTTGTTAACATTCACATGGCGGGTAGGGATATGGTCTCTGAGGCAATTACATATAAATTGTGGACATTTTAATTAATTAGTAGGAAAAAGTTCAGGAAGGCAGCCAGGTAGAGTAGTTTAGTATGAGTTTGAGTAGCTGGAGGCCAGGGTAGGGCTGGGGCTTTATTCTTTTTTGGGTGTCTAAAAGAAGTGTATAGAGATAGCAGAAAGTGCAACCAAAGACAAATTACACTATTTTGTAATCTTGCCTGTTTTAAAATGCTCATTAGATTTTGATTAGTAATGCAGACTGTGAGCTGTTGAGGCCAAGTTTCATGTCTTATTAATATTTGCATGCCCCGAGACTTGCACAGTGACATGCAGCTGGAATGGTGCTGATTTGAATGGACAACTTTCACTTGTAAAAAAAACCCCTTGCTTATAGTAACTCTGAAATTTACCAGCAGCTTATCTTTAAGATTTATCTCAAAGTTTTTTCTAGAAAGCATTCCATGACTGACTTGCATAACTACCTTTGATTGTTTGTTGTTGTTTTAAAATTATTTATCACCCTGTGTTTCCCTGTAAGAACACCACCGTGACTCATTATAATGCACTGCTTAATTATCTGCAAGCTCCCCCACACCAACCCCAAACACACACATAAGACTCTAAACTCTAGTGTGGTGGTGTGGAGATGATAACCAAAGTAAAACCTCCATGAGGCAAAGTTAAACAGGTAAGGCAAACTTTATTCAAAACTATAGAGAGGGCAGAACTGTTCAAACTTTATTCAAAGCTATAGACAGGGCAGAACTCAGTCTGAGCTCCATTCTGCTGAAACAAAGGGCTAGAGAGTTCTTCAGAGCTGGCGTGGGGGTAATGATAGACCATGCTGGCTAATTGTCTTTACTCAAAGGAAAAGGTAAACTTTCTCCTATCTTCATAACAGAAGGTAGTTTTGCAGCTTGGAGCAAGGTGGCTGCTTAAGTTAGGCTCTGATTTTACCCCCGCTCCACACAAAAATGAGACATAGAGACACCATCTTCCTTTCTTACATTTCATAGGGATGGCTCTCAGGTCCTTAAGAAAGGCATTGTTTGCATGTTCTCACTCATAGGTGGGAATTGAACAATGAGAACACTTGGACATAGGAAGGGGAACATCAACACCGGGGCCTGTCGTGGGGTGGGAGGAGGGGGGAGGGATAGCATTAGGAGATATACCTAATGTAAATGACGAGTTAATGGGTGCAGCACACTAACATGGCACATGTATACATATGTAACAAACCTGCACGTTGTGCACATGTACCCTAGAACTTAAAGTATAATAATTAAAAAAAAAAAACAGAAAGGCGTTGTTTGGTTTTAAAGTTAACAGGAGGCTTTCTAAAAGATTTACATCTCTAATGGGCAAATAAAGAATTTACAATGACAAGTTTTCTAAAGTAAATAATCTATTAAAAAATGGCAAGGGGTTGGGGTGGGTGGCATTCAGGGACCTAAAGTCAGGAAGAAGCCTGTCTGAAGTTTAGTTAAGCTGAGGGCAAGGTTAAGGCCCTCTTGGTCAGTGCACTGTAAAAGTTGGCTGGATAAACAAATAAATAAATGAAGTTTATTCTTTAGGGTCATAATTTTAAGTGTGTTAGTTAATTGTAAGGTAATTAAAACAAATTTAAAATAATGTTTCAAAAACTTATTTTATGTCTCTCACCTATTTGATATTGTATTTTGTAGAAAATGCCACCCCCAAAAAATTATATACAGAATATGTATAAACTTTAAACAAAATTAAAATGACTCCTTACAACTTTTCAACTAGAAACTTTATTTATAAACTATTTACTATGGTACAGCACACAATGATATGTTAAAAGCCTTTAAAAAATTAAAATTAAGCTTTCAGAAGCTATTGTATTTTCAACATTTTGGTTTATTCTGAAGTCAAAAACATGTACCAGACACTGAAACATTATGCATAAACTTTCTCTGCAGTAGCTGTGGCTATAAAATAGAAATAATAATGCTTTCTTTTCTTACCTTGATGGGTTGTTTATGAGGAGCAAATGGGAATGTGAAAACACTTTAGTATTGTAAAAATAAATGCTAGGAAATATTAAAATGATTAATGAACATAGTTGGTTATGAAAGTTTTTTCATTTTCTTAACAATAATATCTAAGAATGTAATAAGAAATAGAGATCCAGGCTATCTCCTAGAACATGGAAAATAATATTTGGTAATCATTACTAAAAATAATTGGTAGGTCAGAGTTAAATAATATGTTTAAATATTATTTTTTTACATTAATAAAGTTAAAATATTTTTAAATATGTTGATTATTGGCCTCTGAAAACATGATAATATATAGAAGAATAACCATCAGAGAGATAAAACCAAATGCTTGTTAAGATCACAGGCTTTATTTAGACTCAGGTAATTTGTGTTCAAATCCCAGATCTACTATATACCAGGTTTATAAACTTGACCAAATTACATGAACTCTCTGAGCCTCTCTGGTTTCTCATCTGTGAAATAGGAAAGATATCTACCTCCCAGGGCTGCTGTAAGACTCAAATGGGATGAAGTAGGAAAAACATTCAGCACAGTGATTGACTCGTAGAAAATTCTCAAAAGCTTCAGAACACACACACACACACACACCCACACACACACAGTTAGACATAACCATATATATAGTTATAATGCACATCAATGATAAACTGGATAAAGAAAATGTGGCACATATACACCATGGAATACTATGCAGCCAAAAGAAAAAAAAAGGATGAGTTCATGTCCTTTGTGGGGACATGGATGAAGCTGGAAACCATCATTCTCAGCAAACTAACACAGGAACAGAAAACCAAACACTGCATGTTCTCACTCATAAGTGGGAGTTGAACAATGAGAACACATGGAGACAGGGAGGGGAACATCATACTCCGGGGCCTTTTTGGGGGTGAGGGTGTAGGGGAGGGATAGCATTAGGAGAAATATCTAATGTAGCTGACGAGCTGATGGGTGCAGCAAACCACCATGGCACGTGTATACCTATGTAACAAACCTGCAGGTTCTGCACGTGTATCCCAGAACTTAGGGTATAATAAAAAAACTATCAATTAAATATATATAATATATAGTTATAACATATATGATATTATATAGTTATAATATATAATATGTAGTTATATATTATATATATAGAATCCTAACCTGTGCAGATTAACTTTTGGTTCCATTCATTGGAACTTCCTGTGCTCTTGAAACAATTCCTTTTTTTCATTCAAGTGCCAATATTTCCTCTATAGTCTTTATTACACAATTATTTGGCATATAAATCTTCCTGTTTCACTGTTAGTGCAGAAATTTTAGAAAGCCCTATATAATATACCATTAACTTTAAACTGCTTAAAATAAAGACACTTTATCAAACCACACTTGGAGCATGCATCAGAGGTACTGTAGTACAGAAGCGAAGACGCTGGATTGAGGTTTTTGAGCCTTCAGTTTGCCATTTATAATCTGTCTTTAGAAAAGCTACCTGTCTTCCAGAATCCCAGTTTACTGATCTGTGACCATTTAGATAATGAAAACCACCTGAAAGGATTATTGTAAAGATCAAAGGAGATAATGCATTCTAAAACACTTTATAAAAGTAAAGTACTTGTTTAAGCCATCCTGCAGAAAAAGGATGAACTGCCATCCAAAATTTGGTTTGGTTGTCAAGACTGATGATCACACACACACACACACACACGGTATAAATATGATACATAATGAGGCTATCAGGGGGAGAACAAAGCAGGCCTACCAAGTGGGTCAGAAGTGGCTTAAGAGAGCAAGGAAAAAATACTGGCTTGGGGTTTCTGTGATGGGTAGGGGATGGTACTGGGGTGAGGGTCCCATGCAGGCACTGGTATACATGCTTTGAACTTCCTTCCCTCTCCCTTGAGGACAGCACTGGCTTCCCACTATAGAGGCTGAATATGTGACCCCGCCAATGGGAGCTGAGAGAAAGTGAGCAGGAGGGACACTAGGAATGATTTTACTCTCTAATAAAAGGAGACACATGGGAGCTAAATGATCCATTCTTAACATCAGGATATTTTTGTAATTCAAATTCATAATTGAGTAAACTAATACATTTTAGAGTTGCTCAGGAACATTTCTGCAAGAATCCAAAATACCCATGTGTTCCAAAAAGACACTGTGCCACTTTACATAGAGAAAAATAAGTGAAAGTAAGTATTATATTTCTCTGTGACAACTCATTTTAATATCATTGTCTACTTCTTGATAATCAAAAGTTCTAATTGTTAGCAATAAAGTACCTTGGTAATTAAAATAAAATGAATACCATGCCACCTGATAAATACAATTTGTAGAGTAGACACAAAATTTCAAATGGTAGAATCTGGGTGTGAAGGATTTTTTGGCAATGATCAGTTTGGACATACTGATTTAAAGTGTGACTTTTTTCTTGGAGACTAAGCATTTTAAAAATGGGATCGCAGTAGGCAAAATGAAATGACTCCCCAAAGATGTTATGCCAAAGGCCCAGAATCTGTGAATATGTTATATTACATCACAAAAGGGACTTTGCAGTCAGTTAGAAGAAGAGAGGTTTAGGTGGGAAGTCTTGCATTCTTCAGATGTTATCACGTATTTGTGTGCCTCATCCCATACTCATAATCTTAACCCTGAAGCCAGGGAGAAATATAATTATATATAACTGGCTTAATGGTTACTCAACCCCCCCAGCCAGCCTTATTGAGATGGTATCATGGAAATATAACTTTTGAATATTTGACAGTTTTCCAACCAAATGTTGTCACCTACAATCTCCAGAACTTATTGCAGTTGTTATAGCTGATTAATGATGGAGCATTATAATCACCTATCTTTTCCATCGTCTCTCAAATTCGCTATGTAAATTCAACAGCATGCATTCTCATGCACTTATTTTAATGTACTGAAGAAAAATGTATTATTTCCCTTATCTGTTAAAGCCCAGGAAAATAAAGAACCGTAGATCTTTCTTCACTGTCAAAGTTCTAACATCACTTTTTAAAATTTATTTTCTAGTATTAATTATTGGAAAGATATAAGCAGTGAATAAAAAGTTTATTGTAAGTTTTTTTTTGAATTTAAAAGTATCTCTTCTATTTTGGAAATCTTTTCATATTTTTCTTGTTTTGGTTTATTTATTTATTTATTTATTTTGAGACAGTCTCATCCTGTCTTCCACACTGGAGTGCGTGGAGAATTCTCTTTTTTACCCCACACTCCTGGTGACTCTTATTCCACCTTCCCTGTTTCTCCTGTTGTTTTTTTCCTTTGAGACATTTGAGGGAGAAATGTTAAAAGCTGAAGCGCTGTTTTTCTGGTTGGTGGATGCAACTTCTAATGGGTGTCCTTTGAAAATACGTAATGCTAGCAAAAGTGGTAGTGCATTATCATATGTCCAAGGTTATAGCTCTGATTTCTCCATCCCATCACCTGACTAAGGGCCCCTCAATCCAGAGACTATAAGGAAACAGAAGTTAAGAAATTCATTTTTTTCCATTTATTTTTCTTATTTCTCCTTTCTCAAATTACATGCCAAATTTTCTTGAATAAATGTTTAAAAATTGTATGTTTCTTTTCAAGTAAATAGAGTAATTCAAGAAATGAGGTTGCCTTAGCTTTTTCCTGAGGAATGGTCTCTGTCTCAGAGTCCATTTCTAGGTATATACAGATCATTTCATAGTTATATAGCAGCCATAAATAGCTGAAACGTTATCAGATTAAACTTGTTTCATAGATACAACTCTTGCTGGTAAATTATAATTCTGAAACTATGTCTATAGATTAGTGTCTGTCTTAGAATACCATGAAACCTGACATCTTATTTCATCATTTTGGGTTACTGATTCTTGTCTTATAGTCTTTGTCATTAACAATGAGATGAAGAAATCAATAACTGATTTTCCCTACAGAAGCCATTAATCTTATGAAATTAATTCCCCCTGATGTATTCTGAGAGAATTTGTACCGAAATTACAAGATTGGGAAGTCTATATTATGTCAAAATTTATTCATGATGGAAAACTTTCTGATATTTGATTATTAAATGATTACTCTGCACTCTTTTTAAACTTTGAACTTTTTACTGTTAATTGCTATGTCTCCTACGCATGAAGCAAACTGTCAGCATTATATTGTCTGTAAACATAAAGATGCTACATACTCTTATAAGCTATATTTTCTAGTTCTTACCTTCTAGGAAGTTTTTAACATTTGGTTCCATTGTATACCATAAGAAAAAAACATTTTTGTATAGTGTACAGCAATAAGAGTGGTGAAAAATGTCTCCAGGTATCTCATTTAATAATATTATATATAACTTATGTAAATTATACAGTTGGCATGAGATTAGCATTTTGTTGCACAACGTTTGGTTTAAGGGACTAGGGAAAATTTGGGTGAACAGATATTTTTTGCAATGTTGAAGAACATTATTATATACCCAGAAATGAAATTTGACTAACAGAAAAAAATATGTAATTTGGATAGAAGTATTCTTACAATTTTAATCCAATAAATCAATATAGTTATGTTCCACTGTAGTACTTATTCACTTCTCTCTTATGGCAGAACTAGTTATTTTGCATTTCTATCTTGTCTATTAGAATATTAGTAACTGAAGTGTATGTCATATATATTTAAGAGCAAAGAACAGATCTTCCACATATGAATGTGGAGTTAAATTGAATATTGTAGAAGAGGAGATGGAAAAATTGATAGAAGTTGGAAAAAATAGACCAAAGTCAACTTGTGGTGCTCATCATTGATGCTTGAAGCTCAAATGAACATTTAAAAAATTGGAAGTTGTCATGCATAGTACCAAGCACCTCACTTATTAGTAAGTCTCCTCTCTAGCAACTTCAACTTTACAGACTCCAGATGTACTTGACATACCCTTTTGTGTCAAGTATCTTTTTGGGGAAATTACCCCTCCCTCATTCTTGGTCAATCAGGTTAATATGGGGTTGATCCCACTTTCTAGGTCTAGGAATGACAAAATCTTGTGCAAGGCCTATGCAATCACAGTACTTTCATGATACACTAATGACTTAGTAAAGTTGACTGAAATCCTACTCAAGGATTGTATAGCACTATCAAAAAATAATATCCCTTTTGTTCCTGGGATTGTTCCCTATGTGAAAACTTATACCTTGAGCTACTGGTGATCATCATTGTCATCTCATAGGGAAATTTAGCCCAGAAAAATGCCAACACAGAGGAAAGCAGAGCAGATTGATGGAAAAAATTATGACTTGTCTGGAGATCATTCATTGAATCTACAACCCATGCAGCCAGTTTCACCCCTGGGACTTTAGGTTTATTGCATATGCAAATAGATGAAAGCTGACCAATATTATAAAGGGAAATGAGCTCTGCCTTTTAAGTAACATTCCTAAAATATGAAATGTACTGAATAGAGATAGATTGACTGTCAATGAGAATTTTCCTCCCAAGGCTGCAATGTTGGCATTTTTATGTACTGTCTATTTTAGATAAAAAGTCTAACCATGTGTTTTTCAAGGCTGACGTTTGAGATCCCTAGAATTTCCGGACTATGTAAATCTTCATGGGAAAGTTACTGTGTAGAATAGGAGTCAAAATATAGAAGTTGGTCTCAGAGCTACAGGCAGTAACTGGGTAAAACCTTGGGTTATTTCCCTTTTCGCATAGAGTTATTGTATCTTTAATTGTAGCTGGAATAGTGTTATAATGAAACTAGAATTTTAAAATTCTGCAGGAAATGTTTGTGTATCATAGTCAATACAGTTGTGGAACATAGTGGATTCATTGACCAACCAGTGCATAACTTTTTGGATCTACCATTCCACCATCTTAATCCATGTACCTCAAGGGAGCTTGGCTCTCCCTCTATGTTCAGGGCAAAGCATATGGCACAGGGCTATCTGAGTACCATAAAAATTAGTTCAAGGATGGGTATATCAACCAAACTAGGCCACCTCAAAACCGTCCCCCTCAAAAGTGTTACAATAAGTGCCCACCTCAAAACTGTTACAATAACTGTTAGGAAATAAGAGCACTGTCTTTTTTCAAGTTTTGTTATCTAAGATGTTAGAGACTACTTTTACCAAAAGGTGAGGAAGCCCACTTCAAAATGAAGCTAAAAGAGGACATCAGAGCTGAGGAATGAAGAAAAAATGATGGGTGAGAAAGAAGGAGAGAGAGAAAGAAAGAAGGGAGGAAGAGAGAGGAAGAAGGAAATAAAGGAAAGGAAGGAAGGAAGGAAAGAAGGAAGGAAGGAAGGAAGGAAGGAAGGGGAGGGGAAGGGAGGGGAGGGGAAAGGAGAGGAGAGCAGAGGAGAGGAGAGGGGAGGGGAGGGGGGAGGTGAGAGGAAAGGAAAAGAAGAGAAGGAAGGAAAGTGAAGGGAAGGGAAGAGAAGAGAGGAAGGAAGGAAAAGGAAGGAAGGGAGGAAGGAAGGAAGGAAAGAAAGAAAGAAGCAGAAAGTAAAAGAAAGAAAGAGAAAGAAACAAAGAAAGAAAGAGGGAGGGAGGGAAGGAAGGAAGGGAAAAGAAGGAAAAGGAAGAAAGGGAAGGGAAGGAAGGAAGAGAAGGATAAAAGAAAATTAAATGGCCATATTCTTGTATCTAGCCCTTATTGAAGAAAGGCGTACTTCTGGTATTCTCAATAATATGAGACACTATGTTTTCATTTAGGTCTAATAACATTTGAGTTGTGTTGCTATTCAACCAAGAGAGTATTTAAATTATAGAGATAATGTTTTAAGAGGTAAACTATCAAGTAGATAAAAGAGATGTCAAAAGGTTCAACTTCTGAAGCTTATGTGTTTTACCCATATAGAAATCCCTTTGGTCTTAGCTCATAACCAATATGATACTATAACTTCCTAAGCAATTCTAACAAATTTGATTTTTTTTTATTTTTCAGTTTTAAGTAGTTTTAAAAGAAAAACTTTAGATGCAATAAATTTAACAGACCTTACTTGAATAAAATAAAAAATTATGAATCGGGAAGCACTCAGAACCAGAAGAGGTTCAGAGAGCTCCACTCACCAATGTGAACAGAGTTTTTATAGGCTGAACATGGAAGTAAAGTAGGGAGATCACCTGACTGGCTCTAGCTAGGTGTCTGCATTATTGGGGTAAGGCGTGATGAGGCATTTGCCTGATTTGTGCATGGTCTTGTCAGTTGGCAGCCTGTGATTGGCTGAAGCTCATTTGCCTGTGATTGGTTGAAACTCAGTTCTTTGTTACCAAAAATATACTTCTAAGTTAGGTTTTGGTTCATTTATGTACTAAGTTAGGTTAAAATTTGTTATATAAGAACTTTGAGTATGGAGATAGCCTGAGGCTAATGGTCTCCTGCTTATTTAACAGTAGGTAAAATCCAGCTAATTTGTTATAGAACAAATGTTATAGGCAGGCATATTGATGACAGTAAGTGATAACTGACCACATTAAAAAAGATACAATCTATGAAAAATTTTACAAATACTAAAAAGCATTCATAGCTATATGTGGGCAATTAAAGCATGAATAAAGTCATTTAAATAATTTCTATCATAATGATTATTACTATTATGACTTCCATTTCTTGAGGGCAGGTACTGGCTTCATGTTATTGTTACCTCATTTAGTTTTCATAACCATCTATGAAGTAGGAATGATTATGTTCCCCATTCTTCAGCTTAAAAACTGAATCACAGAAAGGTGCTCTTAAGCACCAAAAATTATTGCTGAATTAGTTATGGTAGATAAATAGGCAAAGATGCAAGAACAAGTACATCCCAAGATTTTTGTGGCTTTAAGTTTGTTTTTGCATACTTAACAGTTTTATGCAGGTAGTAAGGTCTGCATAATAGATCTTTTTCACATAATTATTTAGTGTCACAATCTCTAAAGCTGGAGGCTCAACTATTTCTAATGCATGACTTTGAATATTCTAGTTAGAGAATTAGGCTTCACAGAGAAGCCTATGAAGGAAGTATTTATGGGCAAGATCTTGAAGTAGCCCATATTATTTTCACCAACATTTCATTGGATAGAACTTATTCACTGTGAGAGAAGCTAGTATGTGTTGTCTAGCTGTGTGCTCGTAAGAATGAACCACCTTTAGTGGTAGCTAGTGATATATGCTACATTTGCCATCCTTGTTTAATTTTAAAATTGTAGTTAATATAATGTTAACAAAATTACAGAGAAAGGCATCATAAAGAGAAAGAATAAAACAGTCCTACAATTTTTTAAAATTATTTTTAATAAGCTTCTAGAAACTAGAATAACATTCTGGATGGGAATTGTCAAAAATAAAGATAGAATAAAACTGAAAATTCACAAAAGATAAATCACGATTAAGTTGCTTCAGTTTTTACTATTCAGGAGGTCAAGTAAGTTGTTAAATGAGCATAAAATTTAGGATCAAAGAGACCTCAATTTGAATTAGTGTTCTAATACTAGCTATTTGATATTGGATAGTTGCTGTCTTCACTGGCTTAGGCTGCCATAACAAAACACCATATATTGGGCACCTTAAAGATCAGAAATGCATTTTCTCACAGTTCTGGAGTCTGGGAAGTCCAAGACCAATTTAATTCCCCCCAAGGTTTCTCTTCCTGGCTCACATACCTTCTTACTGTATCCTCCCATGGCAGAGAGAATATCCTCTTCTTATAACAGTACCAGTTGTATTGGATTAGAGCCCCACACGTATTCCCTCATTTAAACTTTATCACCTCTGCAAAGACCATATCACCAAATATAGCCACATTGGACATTAAGGCTTCACATATAAATTTGTGGTGAGGGAAGGGGGCACAATTCAGTCCATAGCTGGTGCCTACCTTTTCTGAGCTTCAAAGAAGTAACTACTTTCTCTGAGTTTCTTAGTTGGAAAATGGAGATAATAAATACCAAATACAATTCTTGTAAACACTGGTGTTCATATAAATAAAGAAATTGGCACTGAGCAAATAATCACTGTGTATTAATTGATGTTCTTAATATCACTGGGTTCAGAAAGCAATAGAGTAGCTAATTCACCTTAACAGTATTATTTCACTCAGACTATATATTCCTTCTGAGGACACGATTGACCCTGAGCATGGGGTTTTTGGGGATGAAGGAATGGTGGCGAACAATTAGTTTTTCATGGGAAAAAACAAGATTGTAGTGGCTGGGAACCAGGCAGTTCAGGGATGTGTTTTGCCCTGTGAAACCAATAAAATTCAGGTAACAACTCTTTACATTTCTATGGTAGCCCAAATTATCTGCTGTGTTTTTGTATTTACTGGGTTAAAGTGGCTTCTAGACTTGATTTCCAGACTTTCTCTGAACCTAATTTTATGTATCTTTTATGGGAATATTTATTTATTTGCTCATCAAGATTTCAGCCAGAATAAAGACTGTGTGAAAAAAGCAAATCAAAACAAAATAAAGTAAAACAAAATAAACCATCACCATCCCCTCTACAAAAACAAAAATAGACTAACGTATAAAACTCATTTTTTTTCTTGAGGATTTAATTTGATTTTTCTCATTTTTTCTGGCTTTGAGATCTGTACCACTCAATTGTGAAAAATCAAATTCAAATGCTTTGAGGTATAAATATTTACAGTGATTTCATTTCTTTAATGCCAAATATTAAGTGGATATTGGATGGGTGTATGGAAGGTTAGATAGATGGATGGATGTTTAGATGAATGGCTGGATATATAGTGAATGTTTAATTCAGCCTATAACTCAGGATATTTGAAACTAAAAATGCAAGCACAGTATGGGAATAATTGGTTGCTTTTAAAATAAGTGTTACAATATACTTTCACCCTGATCTTCCAGTCACATTAAATTCACTTGATTATGAAGTACTCTCTGTTACTCTCTAGTAGCTCTTATTTTCTACTTGTTTACTTGGCATTTATTTGTTTATTTATTTATGTAGCCTAGAACATTTTCCCTTACTCTTTTCTCTTTTATGACTCACTTATTTGTCAAGTCTCAGAGTATAGGGTGCTCCTTCCTGGAAATCCTCCTTCACTCTAGATTCAGAAGAAGCAGTCATCTTTTTGGATCTGATAAAGCTGGGTAGTTTCTCTGCTAAGCATATTTGCTTATTTGTCTCTTCCAACATGAAATTCAGTAAAAGAAATCAACAACCACAAGTCATTAATTTTTTCTCTTTGTTTAGTATTTATCAAAGAACATCAACTTCAGTTTTTAACTGTAGTAATAATTCTTAGCATTGTTTTCCATAGAGGATGTCCCCAAAACTTCTCTCCAAGCCTCATTTTTCCTTACTTACTAGAAATGCCTTTCCACATCCAGGCTGAAGGGCTCTTGACTCTTCTGCTGCCTTCTTGTTTGTATGATTTCCTTTTCTTTTCTCTTCAATATATCTTCCATTGCAGGGTTACTCTAAGAGTGATGTGCAGACTCTTGCTCATTCTAGAAATAGAGGTTACCACCGGCAGTGAGAAAGTACAAATTGAGAGGAAACATTTAAAAACTTTTATAGACAATTAATTGAGTTTCCTTGATGAATCCAATATAAAAATTGGATTGATTTTTGCCTTTGTAGTTTTTAGAATTTTATTTTTATATTATTTTATTTGTATTGTATTACAAAATATTGGCCTGTGACAAAGTCTGGGGAAAAAGCTGGCTCTTCACCACAGACAGTTTGAGAAGCATTGTTCTAGTTTCTTCTTGGATTTGATATTCAAAATATTTAGCCACATTTACAGGGTATGAAACATCCAATCAGAATGAAAGCTGAACAAAAACTATTTTTTTGCCTTCTGAAGATGTGTTTCTCTGAATATTGACTCGACCTTTCCTTCTTCTGGAGCTCTCTGTTTCCTGATTTCCCCAATCCTATAAAACAGTTTAGAAACTAAGCAAGGAGAACCTTTGCATGGCGGGATAGCAGAAGAGTCCAAGAAGCCAAAGGCAAAGTCTTCTTTCTCAGCCTGCTAAGTCTGGTGAGATAGCAGGTAAGAGAAACAGAAAGGGTCAGAAGCAGGAATTGGCAAGTACTTACAATTTAACATATTTTCTTCTATACTTACTACAAAATATAAATTTATTTTGGAGGAAAAGTACTAAAGACATAAAATACGTTTATATATAAAATTAATCTCTTGTTACAGATTTGAAAATTTTAATAGAACTGAAGAATTTTTAAAATTCTTTAAATGACTTAATAATTTAAGAATCTTTAAATTGTAAAATGCAACCATTTTTAAGAGATAATAGCAGATACCCATTCAAGGGGAATGATGTTAAGACATATAATGCAGAAAGGTAAGAATAAAATCTGTATTGAATAATCACTTTATTAGATTTTTTTATTTCATACTTCTTTATTTATATAGATTTTAAATAAGTCCACACAAATCAAGGTGTAAACCAGAATAAAACATATACATCAGCTAGTTTACTTTTTATGTATACCTTTACTCTCTGTCATTTGGTTGTGTCTAATTTTATAATAAAAATTTCATGAGCACTCCAGCTATCGTCCTTTTAATTCGAACATGCTATATATTATGTTTTAAAACAATTTTTAAATGCTTTATTAAGTTGTTAAATTCTTATATGGCAGTGTTTCTACATATAAAATGCTAGGACATAAACTTTCTTGGGAGATATTTATTTGTAAAGCCATTGCATCCCATTTTGAAAATGGCTTCAGATTCACCTTTTTTCTGTCTCTTTTGTTTTCTAAAGATATTTCATTGAGACCTACATAGTTTGCTTCTTGAAAGCTTTTATTATACAGAAAATTGCATTATTTAGAAAGGCATAAAAATAACATGGTTAGCCACTTTCATCTAATATCTTCCATTTGCTCACATTATCTGTAGATTTCAAATGTTGAGTCATACCCATTGACTATGATAAATTGAGCATTTTATTAGATAAGTGGGCTATATGAACCATTCTACACTCACATCTGCTTCCTATGTCTTTCTCTTTCTGGGCAAACCCATTCATATCTACCTTCAATTACCATCACCATTCAGGGAGCTCCCAAATCACCTTAATCCCTACTCTCCTTATTGACAATCTGAATTTTCAAGCACCAAATTAGTATCTTTATTTGCCTATACCTGCGATTCTTAAACACAATATATTTGAATTAAAATGGATTTTGTCTAAGCACTCTCATATTCCTGATAAAATAATCTACTCTGTTTCTATGGTCATTATTTTTATTAATAGCCAGAGATACAAAAACCTATGTTTCTCCCTTTCTCCCACAAACCTCATTAGTCATCAAATCTTCTTGATTCTACCTCAGAACATTTTTTTATATCCCTTTTTGTCTTTTCTCTTTACACTTCTATTTCTTTCTGTCTACACTTCCTGCTTTTAATTTCTTGCCATTCAATTTCTCTCTCCAATCTACCATGAGGATTTTCTTCCCAAATCACAGGTGAGTTCATAATGACCTTTCTTCTTTTCAGAACTCTTCTAGTTTTCTATTACTTGTAGAATAAATTCCAACTCTTTCACATGAAATTCAAGGCCTTTCAAGATGTATGGTTTAATATAAACCTGAATCTTAGTGAATTCAGTATATTTCTTATATCTAGGATTTGCCATTTCACGTCTCTATCTTTTGAAATATTTTTATTTCCAATCCTTTCCTTCATGTCATCATTCTCTTAAACTCTCAAGGCTTACCTGAAATGCCTCCTTATTTCCTGTATTCAGGAGGCTCATTCTTATGAAATCCCAGGGAAATTGGTTTGTATCTCTACTCAGCTTTGGTTTTATTATAAATATCATGTAGTTTTATCACAGATACATTTAATTTACTCAAATCAACTGTATGTGTGCTCACACTTTCAACAGTACTGCCGAGTCCACCTCTACCTGCCATTCTTTTCAAAGAAAATGTGAGCTGAGAGTTGTGGATTCTTAAGTTTCCGACATAGATTTCAGTTCCCACAGGCTTTTGATAGGAGCATCCTGCTGAGTTATGGTCTGATGTGGTTCTAGTTTGGGAAGATGTAGCAATGTTTACATATTTTAGCAATGTCCCTAAACACTAGCCCAACAATAAAGGAGCACTTTTTTTAATGGGTCAATCCTTCTGTTACTACAGGACTAATTGAGTGGTGCAAGTTCATTTCTAATATATTTTCCTAAGGATAGTTTCATTTTTTTTGTTTTTTTAAGATGGAGTTTCGCTGTTTTTGCCCAGGCTGGAATGCAATAGAGCAATCTTGGCTCACTGCAACCTCTGACTCCCAGGTTCAAGTGATTCTGCTGCCTCAGCCTCCCAAGCAGCTGGGATTACAGGCGCACAACACGACACCTGGCTAAATTTGTATTTTTAGCAGAGATGGGATTTCACCATGTTAGCCGGGCTGGTCTCAAACTCCTAACGTCAGGTGATCCACCCGCCTCGGCCTCCCAAAGTGCTAGGATTACAGGGATTACAAGCGTGAGCCACCGTACCTGGCCTCAGTTTTTAAATAAAAAGCAAATCTGCAAACTTTTGGGTTTGAGACTTTTAGTTTTAGGGTTGTGGACTTCCCAATGGAATGTATATGTTATTTGTTTCCCTTATAGCATATATCGTAATTGCCTATTCATTATTTAATATATAATCTTTAATCTGAATTTATTTTGAATTTGTCTAATCAGCATGAGTCTAATAAAGACACCAAATAGTCTAAACAATGTTAGAATTCTTCTATTCCTCTATCTCTATTGTATGGTGGGTATTTAACATTTCATAATCAATGGAAACATTCTACAAGAAACTCTTACTACTGCTTTTGTGAAACACCAGAATGCGTAAGCATCTTAACTTCTTACTCCCGTAAATAAAAGTGCTAGGTTGATGTGATTGAATTTGCATGAAATTCAAGGAGAAAGTTCATCTCAGCTCTTAAAAGAATCATAAAACAGTGCCAAGGGACTCACAAATGTGGTGAATTGGTCTCATCTGGATTGAAACTCACAAATTATAGGTAACTGTGTCTTTCAGGAATATTGTCTTTTTAGTTTGATAGAAGAAAAGAGTGATTTAATGTACTTACATGAATATATATATAAATATATGTATAACATTATCACATCTCAGTAATAATAAACTTTCCTCTATGATGTTGTGACATTTTAATACCTTTGCAGAAAAAGATGACACAGAGTCATCTGCAAGTTGTAACATTTCAATTTTACACTTTGGAGATTTCATCTTTTGATGGAATTTCTTTTATAACCTGACTAATGTAAGGTTATGTTGTCTCTCATTACCACCTTTGATCATCATTTCAGCAGAGCAGGGCTAATGTCATCATCGTCATTAAGCTCTGGGAGAATTTCCTGCTGGGTTTTTAGATAATCACAATATTTTTCATTTTATAAAAAGCATGAAGGGAATTTGTACTTCTCTGTTCTTATTTCTTATTTTGAGTGTTTGGGGTGGAGGCAAAAAGGAATGGTAAAATAAGTGTCCTGGATAAAAAAAGTAATCATTGCTGTATTTTTTAAGTAATTTTTTCTTTCAGTAGGATTGTCCTGTGTGTTTTTATGGATGGGCCTTTGTCCACAAATGAGGCTTTGAATTTAGGAATTAGGTTAGATGTTTATCTAAATTGTCATATTTTAACCAGATTTTGAAAACCTCATCATGAATAGACAAGTGCAGTGACTAACAGAAACCTAGCCTGAAACTGGAAGTTTATGGTTTTTAGAATTTGGCCTGTTCCTTTGACAAAATTCAACAACCCTTCATGCTAAAAACTCTCAATAAATAAGGTATTGATGGGACATATCTCAAAATAATAAGAGCTACCTATGACAAACCCACAGCCAATATCATACTGAATGGGCAAAAACTGGAAGCATTCCCTTTGAAAACTGGCACAAGACAGGGATGCCCTCTCTCACCACTCCTATTCAACATAGTGTTGGAAGTGCTAGCCAGGGCAATTAGGCAGGAGAAGGAAATAAAGGGTATTCAATTAGGAAAAGAGGAAGTCAAATTGTCCCTGTTTGCAGATGACAGGATTGTATATCTAGAAAACCCCATTGTCTCAGCCCAAAATCTCCTTAAGCTGATAAGCAACTTCAGCAAAGTCTCAGGATACAAAATCAATGTGCAAAAAATCACAAGCATTCTTATACACCAATAACAGACAAACAGAGAGCCAAATCATGAGTGAACTCCCATTCACAATTGCTTCAAAGAGAATAAAATACCTAGGAATCCAACTTACAAGGGATGTGAAGGACCTCTTCAAGGAGAGCTACAAACCACTGCTCAATGAAATAAAAGAGGATACAAACAAATGGAAGAACATTCCATGCTCATGGGTAGGAAGAATCAATATTGTGAAAATGGCCATAATGCCCAAGGTAATTTATAGATTCAATGCCATCCCCATCAAGCTACCAATGACTTTCTTCACAGAATTGGAAAAAACTACTTTAAAGTTCACATGGAGCAAAAAAAGAGCCCGCATCTCCAAGTCAATCTTAAGCCAAAAGAACAAAGCTGGAGGCATCACGCTACCTGACTTCAAACTATACTACAACACTACAGCAACCAAAACAGCATGGTACTGGTACCAAAACAGAGATATAGATCAATGGAACAGAACAGAGTCCTCAGAAATAATGCCGCGTATCTACAACCATCTGAACTTTGATAAACCTGACAAAAACAAGCAATGGGGAAAGGATTCCCTATTTAATAAATGGTGCTGGGAAAACTGGCTAGCCATATGTAGAAAGCTGAAACTGGATCCCTTCCTTACACGTTATACAAAAATTAATTCAAGATGGATTAAAGACTTACATGTTAGACCTAAAACCATAAAAACCTTAGAAGAAAACCTAGGCAATACCATTCAGGACATAGGCATGGGCAAGGACTTCATGTCTAAAACACCAAAAGCAATGACAACAAAAGCCAAAATTGACAAATGGGATCTCATTAAACTAAAGAGCTTCTGCATAGCAAAAGAAACTACCATCAGAGTGAACAGGCAACCTACAAAATGGGAGAAAATTGTCGCAACCTACTCATCTGACAAAGGGGTAATATCCAGAATCTACAATGAACTCAAATTTACAAGAAAAAAACAAACAACCTCATCAAAAAGTGGGCGAAGGATATGAACAGACACTTCTCAAAAGAAGACATTTATGCAGTCAAAAAACACATGAAAAAATGCTCATCATCACTGCCTGTCAGAGAAATGCAAATCAAAACCACAATGAGATACCATCTCACACCAGTTAGAATGGCAATCATTAAAAAGTCAGGAAACAACAGGTGCTGGAGAGGATGTGGAGAAACAGGAACACTTTTACACTGTTGGTGGGACTGTAAACTAGTTCAACCATTGTGGAAGTCAGTGTGGCGATTCCTCAGGGATCTAGAACTAGAAATACCATTTGACCCAGCCATCCCATTACTGGGTATATACCCAAAGGATTATAAACCATGCTGCTATAAAGACACATGCACATGGATGTTTATTGAGGCACTATTCACAATAGCAAAGAATTGGAACCAACCCAAATGTCCAACAATGATAGACTGGATTAAGAAAATGTGGCACACATACACCATGGAATACTATGCAGCCATAAAAAGGATGAGTTCATGTCCTTTGTAGGGACATGGATGAAACTGGAAACCATCATTCTCAGCAAACTATCGCAAGGACAAAAAACCAAACACCGTGTGTTCTCACTCATAGGTGGGAATTGAACAATTAGAACACATGGACACAGGAAGGGGAACATCACACTCTGGGGACTGTTGTGGGGTGAGGGGAGAGGGGAGGGATGGCCTTTGGAGATCTACCTAATGCTAAATGACGAGTTAATGGGTGCAGCACACCAGCGTGGCACATGTATACATATGTAACAAACCTGCACATTGTGCACATGTACCCTAAAACTTACAGTATAATAACAATAAAATAAAATAAAATAAATAAAATAAAATAACAAAGAATTTGGCCTGTTGTTCTATTATTTTCCACATTTCCCATTCCAATTGTACTATTGAGCATACGATTGACCCTTGAACAACGCAGGGGTTAAGGGCGCCAAACCCTCGTGCAGTTGAAAATCTGCATATAACTTTTTTCTCCCCCAAAATTTAACTGTTGATAGCCTTCTATTGACCAGAAGCTTTATCAAGAGCATAAACACTCAATGAACATACGTTATGATATTTATGTATTACATACTTTATATAAAATGTACATTATATATTTAAGTATTGTATACTCTATTCTTACAGTAAAGTAAGCTAGAGAGAAGAAAATGTTATTAATAAAATCATAAGGAAGAGAAAATATATTTACTATTCATTAAGTGGAAGTGGATCATCAAAATGTCTTCATCCTTCTCATCTTCACGTTGAGTAGGCTGAGGAGGAGGAGGAAGAGGGAAATTGGTCTTTCTGTCTTAGGAGTGACAGAGGTAGAAGAAAATCTGTATAGGAAGGACCCATGCAGTTCAAACCCATGTTGTTTAAGCGTCACCTGTATATTATAGCTTTATTATTACTAATGTTATTTTTTGGGTTGTTTTTGGTAGAACTTTTTGCATAATTGGAATGTGATAAATATTACATGACACTGTTTTATGTATGCAAATTATATCTAACTAGGCTTGTATCAATGTCAAAGGAATCTTATTAGTATTTGGACTGCTGTAGAATGACAGTGCAGTCTGAATAATTCATTGGCTGCTGAAAGGTCAGCCTGACTACTTCCACAAACATTTAGGAAGGCACATTATGTTTCAGTCATAAAGTACTTAACCATAGCTTTGATTATTTATTTACACCACCATCATATGAGGTCAGTAAGAATTACCTTTTCTACTATGATTCTACGATTAGGGGAATAGAAGGACATGAAAATAGATGGAAACTGTGGTTAGCCAATTACCCAAAGTTATAACCAAGGTCACAGATTGAGTAAAAATTTCAAATTACATGTCTAAGCCACTATATGTCGTTTCATTCTTCAAGCAAAGGAGGCAGCTTACTTCTTCTATGTGGTATGTTTGCTATTTTTCATCTCTTGGAGAGAGGTGACAGCGTGCTGGCAGTCCTTACAGCCCTCGTTCACTCTGGGCACCTCCTCTGCCTGGGCTCCCACTTTGGCAGCACTTGAGGAGCCCTTCAGCCCACCGCTGCACTGTGGGAGCCCCTTTCTTGGCTGGCCAAGGCTGGAGCCCACTCCCTCAGCTTGCAGGGAGGTGTGGAGGGAGAGGCGCCAGCGGGAACAGGGGCTGCGTGTGGCGCTTGCGGGCCAGCTGGAGTTCCGGATGGGCGTGGGCTTGGCGGGCCCCCCACCCTGAACAGCCGGCTGGTCCTGCTGGCCCCAGGCAATGAGGGACTCAGCACCCGGGCCAGCAGCTGCGGAGGGTGTACTGGGTCCCCCAGCAGTGCCAGCCCACCGGCGCTGCACTCAATTTCTTGCCGGGTCATAGCTGCCTTCCTGCGGGGCAGGCCTCGGGACCTGCAGCACGCGATGCCTGAGCCTCCCACCCCCTCCATGGGCTCCTGTGCGGCCCCAGCCTCCCCAACGAGCACCACCCCCTGCTCCACGGCGCCCAGTCCCATTGACCACCCAAGGGCTGAGGAGTGCGAGCGCATGGTGCGGGACTGGCAGGCAGCTCCACCTGCAGCCCCAGTGCGGGATCCACTGGGTGAAGCCAGCTGGGCTCCTGAGTCTGGTGGGGATGTGGAGAATCTTTATGTCTAGCTCAGGGATTGTAAATACACCAATTGGCACTCTGTATCTAGCTGAAGGTTTGTAAACACACCAATCAGCACCCTGTGTTTAGCTCAGGGTTTGTGAGTGCACCAATCGACACTCTGTATCTAGCTGCTCTGGTAGGGCCTTGGAGAACCTTTGTGTCAATACTCTGTATCTAACTAATCTGATGGGGAGGTGGAGAACCTTTGGGTCTAGCTCAGGGATTGTAAATGCACCAATCAGCACCCTGTCAAAAGAGACCACTCGGCTCTACCAATCAGCAGGACGTGGGTGGGGCCAGATAAGAGAGTAAAAGCAGGCTGCCCGAGCCAGCAGTGGCAACCTGCATGGGTCCCCTTCCACACCGTGGAAGCTTTGTTCTTTCGCTCTTTGCAATAAATCTTGCTACTGCTCACTTTGTGTCCACACTGCTTTTATGAGCTGTAACACTCACCGTGAAGATCTGCAGTTTCACTCCTGAAGCCAGTGAGACCACGAGCCCACTGGGAGGAACGAACAACTCCAGACATGCTGCCTTAAGAGCTGTAACACTCCCCGTGAAGGTCTGCAGCTTCACTCCTGAGCCAGTGAGACCATGAACCCACCAGAAGGAAGAAACTCCGAACACATTCGAACATCAGAAGGAAGAAACTCCAGATGCGCCACCTTAAGAGCTGTAACACTCACCGTGAGGGTCCGCGGCTTCATTCTTGAAGTCAGTGAGACCAATAACCCACCAACTCCAGACACGGTGGGACAAAACAACACTTTAGGTAGTGCATTTAAGTTTCATCTCATCCAAACATTCAGCAAACATTTCACTAACGCCTACTATGTCAACGGCATTATGAAGGATTGTGCACATGACCTCACAGTTTCTGCCCTCAAGGAGCTTGTATACACAATTCTCTTTAACATAAGACACACAGGAAGGAAAGACACATAACCATTGAAAGAAAGCCCTAGACAAAAGATGAAAGGGCAGAAATTGATTTCCCTTCCAGATATCTCTTAAATCTTTTTCTGTCTTCCTAAGTTCAGATGTAGGTGCATGGCCAAGGTGTGTAACTACCCAGACAGCAATGATTTGGTATACCCTTATGAGAGGTGACAATGTGCTGGTGACCCTCGCTCGCTCTCAGTGCCTCCTTGGCCTTGGCGTCTTGCTCTGGCCACCCTTGAGGAACTCTTCAGCCCACCACTGCACTGTGGGAGCCCCTCTCTGGGCTGGCCGAGGCTGGAGCCAGCTCCCTCTGTTTGCAGGGAGTTGTGGAGGGAGAGGCGCTGGCAGGAACCGGGGATGCACACAGTGCTTGCAGGCCAGCGCGGGTTCCAGGTGGGTGTGGGCTTGGCAGGCCCAGCACTCAGAGTGGCCAGCTGGTGCCAATGGCCCCAGGCAGCGAGGGGCTTAGCACCGGGGGGCCAGCAGCTGCAGAGGGGGCACCGGGTCCCCCAGCACTGCCGGCTTGCCTGCGCTGTGCTTGAATTCTCACCCAGCCTTAGCCACCTCCCTGTGGGGCAGGGCTTGGGACCTGCAGCCCACCATGCCCGAGCCCCACATGGTGGGCTCCTGCACGGCCCCAGCCTCCCTGACAGGCACCGCCCCCTGCTCCGCTGCACCTGGTCCCATCCACTGCCTAAGGGCTGAGGAGTGCAAGCGCGTGGTGTGGGACTGGCAGGCAGTTCTGCCTATGGCCCTGGTGCGGGATCCACTAGGTGAAGCCAGCTGGGCTCCTGAGTCGGGTGGGGACTTGGAGACCTTTTATGTCTAGCTGGAGGATTGTATATGTACCCATCTGCACTCTATGTCTAGCTCGGGGTTCGTGGATGCACCAATCAGCACTCTGTATCTAGCTAATCTAGTGGGGACTTGGAAAACCTTTGTGTCTAGCTCAGGGATTGTAAATGCACCAATCAGCACTCTGTGTCTAGCTCGAGGTTTGTAAATGCACCAATCAGTGCTCTGTGTCTAGCTAATCTAGTGGGGAGTTGGAGAATTTTTGTGTCTAGCTAAAGGATTGTAAACATACCAATCAGCACTCTGTGTCTAGCTCAAGGTTTGTAAATGAGACAATCAACACCCTTTGTATAGTTCAAGGTTTGTAAATGCACCAATCAGTGCTCTGTGTCTAGTTAATCTAGTGGGGACTTGGAGAACTTTGATGTCTAGCTAGAGGATTGTAAATACACCAATCAGCCCTCTGTGTCTAGCTCAGGGACTGTAAATGCACCAATCAGCACCCTGTCAAAACAGACCAATCAGCTCTCTGTAAAATGGACCAATCAGCTCTCTGTAAAATGGGCCAATCAGTAGGATGTGGGTGGGGTCAGATAAGGAATAAAAGCAGGCTGCCTGAGCTAGCAGTGGCAATCTGCTCCTGTCACCTTCTGCAGTGTGGAAGCTTTGTTTTTTCGCTCTTTGCAATAAATCTTGCTGCTGCTCACCCTTTAGGTCTGAACCGCCTGTATGAGCTGTAACACTCACCGTGAAGGTCTGCAGCTTCACTCATGAGGCCAGTGAGACCATGAACCCACAGGGAGGAATGAACAACTCCAGATGCGCCACCTTAAGAGCTATAACATTCACCGCAAAGGTCTGCAGCTTCACTCCTGAAGCCAGCAAGACCAGGAACCCACCAGAAGGAAGAAACTCCAAACAAGTCCAAATATCAGAAGGAACAAACTCTGGACACACCATCCTTAAGAACTGTAACACTCACTGCGAGTGTCCACGGCTTCATTCTTGAAGTCAGTGAGACCAAGAACCCACCAATTTTGGACACACTTAGATTACTAATCTTTCTTTTTGTTGTTTTTTGTTTTTTTTTTTGAGACGAAGTCTCGCTTCATTGCCCAGGCTGGAGTACAATGGCGCAATCTCTGCTAACTGCAAGCTCCGTCTCCCGGGTTCATGCCATTCTCCTGCCTCAGCCTCCTGAGTAGCTGGGACTACAGGTGCCCGCCCCCACACCCGGCTGATTTTTTGTATTTTTAGTAGAGACAGGGTTTCACCGTGTTAGCCAGGATGGTCTTGATCTCCTGACCTTGTGATCCACCCGCCTCGGCCTCCCAAAGTACTGGGATTACAGGCGTAAGCCACTGCGGGCTGGCCAAGATTACTGATCTTTAAATATCTGTTTAGCATTTATTTGACTAGATAAGAAAGATATAATTTCTATTCATGAAGAACATATTTTTATATGTATGTATATATTTTAGGTTCTAAATAAGCAACTTATAATATGCCAAGATGAGTGAACCTTGGTTCACAGTCAGATGTGAGACCTAACATTTTAAGATTTCAAATGTTCAGTTTAATTTCTGCCCTTGAGCATTTACTACTAGACTGATGAAAAACTGTGGGCCTTTCAGGAGTTCCTGACTATCCCAGGGTTGTATCCTGGTGACAAGAGAGGAATGGAGCGTGTTAGGTTCTCAGATATTGATACAAACTGAGTATCAATTAAAAAATATAAAAAGTGTTCACAGATATCTGAGATTCTAGTGTCTCAAACTGTTATCTCAGCCATATTCTCTTGAGTAGATTATTGTATAGACAGGAACTCACTTGTCACCCAGGCTGGAGTGTAGTGGGGCAAACACAGCTCACTGTAGCCTCAACCTCCCAGGCTCAAGTGATCCTCCCAACTCAGCTTCCTGAGTAGTTGGGGCTACAGGCATGTGCCACCACACCTGGCTTACTGTTGTATTTTTTTGTAGATATGGGGTCTTGCCATGTTTCCTAGGCTGCTTTTGAATTCCTGAGTGCAGGACATGGCTGTTTATTCGAGATAGTAGCTGCAAAGCTTTGGACGTTGGGTGGGCTGAGTAGAGTCCTCATTATGAGGTGCAGTCTCATTTTCCCGTCAGATCCTAAGTCCTCTGAGCATGGGACCTCTCTTGTTATTCCTCTTCCTGCAACCTAGGCACAGGCAAACAGAATTACCCAGAATTCGTGTTATCTGGTGTGAGTAGAGAAACTATAATGGACTCAGACTAGACCCTCTAAATTCCTGGGACAGTCCCTAAAGGCCTTAGCTCCCATATCATTAGTCATGTCCCCACTCCTACCCAACATACCATCCATTATGCAATGTTCTTGTACTCCACAGGCAGCTCCAAGAGAAGGGGTTCTTGCATTTTCCTAATTGCTAGCTTCTGCCCTAGAATGTTCACCCTCTGAGGTCAGGCAGCTTCCTTTAAGACCTTCTTATGGAGGCTTTCTTTTTCAGCACAGCCTCTTCGTCCATGCTGTGGGCATGTCTGCATTGTTATCACAAGGCCAGTTTCATTAGAATGCAACTGGCAAATCTAGCTTCTCTAGGAAAGTTTCCTCATCTCCTATGTATAAATCTCATTCTACAAACTCAAGTTTTCAACAAATAGAGTTATTTTGTTCTCTATAACTCAAGCTAAATTGTTGGCTCTCGGCTGGTGGAAAACTTAACATTGGTCCTTCCTGAGGATTTAACCACTTGAATTGTCACGAGTTTCGGGACCACCAAGGATTTAATAGGGAACCAAACCATCAGATAACAAAGAGATGGCAATGAATGAATGACTGTCTAAGTAACTAATTCCTTCACGTATTCCCATGCCATTCTACAGGCCCAAAAATCTTTTACAAAATTGCCTATAATTCAGTATGTCTGAAGGCATTGCTCAAGATTTTTCATCGAGTTTTACCAATTCCCTAAGGAAATATCCCCTATACTCATAATTCAAAACGCAGAATCCACAAATCTCCCTCTCTGTGTGTGTGTGTGTCTGTGTGTATGTCTTCTTCTTTCTCTTTCCTATTTCTGGCATTAACACCTTCTAAGCTAAGATATCCTTTTCCTTGGCAGGACAACAAAACCAAAAAAAAAAAAAAAAAAAAAACAAAACATGCAATGAACAACAACAACTAAAATGCCCCGAATAAAATCTCTTATTTCACTCATCTAACTTTTCTAAATCAAATATACAAGAAACTGAAATGGAATGTCTATTGACTTCCTTTTTTCCTGTTTTCTTGCTAGAAGGTTTTCTTCCTTTTAAAAAATAGCTTGTGGTTTTTCTTTAACATTTTTGTGGTACTTTCCTTAAATCTCAGAATTTCTTTGAGAGAAGTATCAAAGGTCTTAATTTATATAACAAAATAAGCTTTTCAATCTGTGTGGCATACTCTATGATTTTGTAATTTAAAGTGACTGCAATTTCTGACTAAAGGTTTCAGGACTGTTTTGGCCTACAGTAGCATTTCCCACTTTGAACATCTCAACTAAACAAACAAACAAATGCACACTGAACAGAGATAATAGTCTTTGAAATTTTTTTTCTCTTTAATTCAGTGGGAGCATAATTAATGTGTATTTTGCCATTTTGTTAATTATGTTAAAAGTCTTTGTAAGAAACTCAATTTAGCTAGTATGACATTTTCAGTCTGTTCAGTGATTATTTTAATGTTAGTATTTCAGGCATCTGCCTGACTGGTCAATTCTGTAATCTGACACTGGTCTACCCTCATACCTTGCTTGCACCACTGTAATAGACACCTCATTAATCTCCTGCCTCTGGTCATGCCTTATTACAGTCATTCAGCCATAGGGTAGCCAGAGGTGTGTGTCTAAAATGCAAATATAATTAAGGTACTCCCTTATTTAAGCCCCTTTATTGACTTCTCAGAATCTATGTTGGTGAACTGTAACAGCTACCTACTTAGGTTCTCTTTTAATCATGCAGAATACTAGGCCCTACTTCATAGTTACTGATTGAAAATTTTTGGTGAGACTGGGAAATCTCTTCTGGGGTTTGGAAATTTGCAATTTGCATTTGAACTAGAACTCTGCAAAACTCTTATGCCTGACAAAGATTCAGAATCACTGAAAGTAGTAATAAAAAAGTCATTAAATATGATTACTTTGCTTATTCTTCTACTATTATGAACTCTTTGCTCAAGCCATGCTTGATTACTCATATTTTCTCATTTCTTTTATGCCTTCTTGCTTTTCACATGCTATTTCTTCTATCTTGACTGCCCATTCTTATCTTTTTAACTGGCTAATTGCTACTTGTTCTATAAGAGGCAATAAGAACAATCCTTCATCTGTGAAGTCTTTCCTGACCTCCCACTTCCCATAGAGAACCATTCTCACCTCTTTAAGTGTTCCTATCACACTTAATAAATATCATCGTTGCAGAGAGAAAGGGCTCCAGTTAAAACTAGTGGCCAGCTGTGAGTAGTGTGACCAAAGACAGGGTATGAACTAATACACATGACTCTGACTGTGAGAGTGGTAATTTTATTTTTTCAGTGTTCTATATTAGCATTTGCATACAGTGGCTGTTGTATAGAAGGCATTCAGTAATTTTTTGAAAGAATATATTTTTAAAATGTGTAATTGGAAATATGACAGAACTTTTTCTCTTTTCTAGGATTTAACAACTCAAGTCAGGCCAAAGCTGAAGAAACTGTCACTAAATGCATTCTATTTTAAGGATAGCTACCAAAAATTGGTGCCATATTTCTTCTTCTGGGACTTACTAAGTGCTATTAGAATCAGCCCTCCTTTTACCATTTACCCTCTCAACCTTAGTTTCTGCCCAGTATATCTAGAGAGTGTGGGAAGGTAAGAGAGAAAGGGAGTGCCACCAGAGTCATGGCCTCATGGGAAGTGAATTGTGGATGGTGAGAGGCTATCCCAGCTTGAGGGTGAAAGGTTGGGCACTCTCCTGCCAAATCAAGTGACAGAAATGCTTTAAAAGAATCAGTCACATACATGTGCTACAATAAGAAAGCCTGAAGTACATTCTTTCATTTTGAATATACACATGGGCTGTGGATTTCTGACTTTGTCTCTCTCTGCCTTTCTGAGCAGAGAAAAAGAAAATTGGAGAGAAGAGGCAGGGAAGAGTGGGGTGTATGTGAAGCAGGAGGCATGATCACTGCCATGGTACAGATATGTGAATTTCCTCTGTGTCTGTGCACACCATGGAAGGTAACTCGTATTCAGCCATCCTTGTGGGGACCAACGCAGGAGGGCAGATCATCAAGGAACATGGCTTTATGTGAGGTAGACTCCAAGGCATAGAAGCCCAGAGGATCACAGTGGAAGAGGATGAGCTCAAACTCCCACATCCAGGGCCTGTGCAATGGAAAAGCCCTGTAGAGTGGGAACTGTGAGTCCCTCTTTAGAGAGGCATATCTGGCAAGCAGAAGTCATCAGTCAATGTTGGCCAGAAAAGCAGCAGCAGCCACCGCAGAGCAAACTGTGACTATACACAGTTAAATACACTGATGTTCATTATTTTTCTTTCCTTCCTTTTAATGTTCATTATTAAAGTAGTTGCTTCCTAGAGGAAGGAAGGAAAGGAAGAACTGAAAAAGAAGACATGTCCCTTTTCCGGTTAATCTTCTTAAAGCCACAGCTATAGTCAACAATGGGGCAGAGGAAAGCTTTAAATAGATTATCATGTTAAATTTTATACTGAGTTGGATTAACTGTATTGTGGACAATGTTTAGAAAGCTAAAGAAACATCCTATGATGGTCGTTAAAGGATCTGCCCCCCACTGTGGAATGGGAATTCAACAAAGTATCTTGGAAAGCAGTGCTTAAAGAAAAATAAGTCATTTAATGTTTTTATATCATCAAGTTGGACTGCCTTTAAAAATCCATTTACTTGAATGAAAATAATGAACGCTAGAAAGCAACAGGACCAGGGGCCAGTCACATCACAAGAATATCATTTCACTTTTTAAAAGTGTTTCTAGAGGTTTAGAAATACCCAAGACTAATCAAGACAAACAAGGAAACATCAGGATAAGAATGGAGATAAAGAAACTTGTAGTTTGTACAAGCGTCAGTGGGAATAAAAGTGTCAACCAGAGTACAGTAAAGTTTATATTGAGTTTATAAATGGGAGAAAAAAACAATTTTTCACCAGTTTTTACTTGGTCTTCCACATTCAGGAAAGGCAATGTATTGACGTGGAGAGGATGAGAGCAGCACATCAAATATGAAACCAGCTTGGGTTTTGATGTCAAATGGGCTTTCACCCCTTAAGGCAGTGAGATTATCCCTTGACTTTGTATTTGTCCTAGCAACTGAGAAAAACAGTATTACTCATTTTGGATTATAGTGTAAATGAAGTGAAATTGCATACATGCAGAGTATGACTACTGACACTGTAAATTCTAATAAATGTGTGGTTTATTTTTCTTTCCAAGAGAAGTATATATCACTGCTGGAGAAAATACTAGCTCTTCACATTATTTAATAGATAAACCCTCCTACAAAAATATACAGCTCCTTTAACACCAGTTCAACCCCCATCAACCTAATTTTAAGTTATAAACTCTCTCAGGTGTTTTGATTCTGAGGATGTGTATTTTGAATGGAGACACCAGTGTTCTCGGTTCTGAAATCCAGAGCTCCATTCTATGTTAATGAACCATTACATGCTTGTGTTTGGTTACTAACCCTGACTCCACCCTCGAAAGTCTGATTAGTTCTTGGTGAAATGCTAAAAGTAGGATTCTGGATCAGCAAAGCAGAGAGCAAGCCCTTAGAAAGTGGTGACCTCAAGAATTGATGACTTCCCACTCTCTCTCCAGACAGAGTCTCGCTCTGTCGCCCAGGCTGGAGTGCAGTGGCGCAATCTCAGCTCACTGCAAGCTCCGCCTCCCGGGTTCATGCCATTCTCCTACCTCAGCCTCCAGAGTAGCTGGGACTACAGGCACCTGCCACTATGCCCGGCTAATTTTTTGGTTTTTTTTTTAGTAGAGATGGGTTTCACCATGTTGGCCAGGATGGTCTCGATCTCCTGACCTCGTTATCCACCGGCCTCGGCCTCCCAAAGTGCTGGGAATACAGGTGTGAGCCACCGCGTCCAGCCTATGACTTCCCACTCTCTAAGAAGCAGCCAGTCTTCATGTGTCACGTCACTTCTGCTTCACTTTCGAATTGTTCTGTGGAACCACATTGTGACTTTGAGAACAGACCCTTTTGGAAAGAAGGCAACTGTAGAGTGCATCATGAAACTACAGCTTTAACACTGGAATGCACAAAATGGCAAACTCATCACACAGGATAGTTAGGCAGATTAAACAGCAGGTATGCTCTTCTCCTCAGGGCAGAAAATGACATGAAACTGCATGCAGGCATTAAGGGAAAAGGTTCGCAATGTAAAAAATTGTTAGCCACCTGCCAGTTCAGTACAGTAGCAGATGCACATGTTAAATGTTCAAGAAGTCAAAATGAGCTTTTAAAGCTTTTGTGCAGTTATAACTTCACTTTTTGTCCTTTGGAAACGTCAGGGCAAACAAGACAATGCTGGGGTGCTTTGTGTGCTTTTAGTCTTTGTCTTGAGAAGAAATAATAATTTTATTTTTCCAATTAAATACAAAATGTAAAAAAATCTAAAAAATAAATTTATTGACATTTATCTTTTATAATTACATTTCAAAGTTTAACTCCTTCCCCTAGTATAACATTTTAAGAATACTGGGATTCATTCAGTCAACTCTGCCATTAATTATGCTTTTTGAAATACAAAACTATCAATCTTACCGAGACTGCAGCTAGATAGTATTCCTTGTAGTTTGTTGATGGCATGGTACATTATAAATGTTTCCTGCAAAACTAAATTTTCAGCACATGTTATAGATACTCCCTGTGATTACATGTTGTGGCCTTCTCTGATTTGAATTTGCATTCATGTTAGAAATTATCATAATATTTGAGATATAGATAATAAATATTTTTTCATCAATCCATGAATTAGTGACATGTTTAAGGCATGTCATTCAGAAGATAAAATACTGTGAGTTGAAAAATGGAGTTCATAGAATCATAAATGTTTAGTGCTGAAAAAGATGTTAAGACCATTTATTTCATCCACTTCATTTAAAAAACAAGAAACCAGACAGGCATAGTGGCTCATTCCTGTAATCCCCGCACTTTGGGAGGCCGAGGTGGGCAGATCACTTGAGATTAGGAGTTCGAGAGCAGCCTGGCCAACATGGTGAAACCCCATCTCTACTAAAAATACAAAAATTGGCCGGGCGTGGTGGCAGGCACCTGTAATCCCAGCTACTCTGGAGGCTGAGCTGGGATAATCTCTTGAACTTGGGAGGTGGAGGTTGTAGTGAGCCAAGATTGGGCCACTGCTCTCCAGCCTGATTGACAGAGTGAGACTTGGTCTCAATACAATACAATACAAAACAAGAAACTGAGGACCGAAAAGGTGAAATGACTTGCATAACATTATTGGCTAATCCAAATAAAACTATTTTTAAATTTTCAGTGTATAATTTTTTTGTTAAACACATATTCGTCGTCATAGTAATTCAACCCCTATTTAAAGAAACTAACATTGTTTTTTTTTTGCATATTCAGTTTATTTGTGGATGATACAGATTTCTTCTGATTTCCATTGATGATTTGTATTATCTTCACAGCACAGTGGCTGAAGTGATACTTTATAACATTTTCTTTGGTATTTCCACTAAGATAATACTTTATAATAAATATACCTCTATATTAATGAGTAATATGAATTATAAGATATATTTAATATTAATGAAATAGAACCTCTGCCTTATACAATGTTGAGGTAGGATACTCACCCATGGGTTCCCTGATATTTCCCAGCCTCCTTTGCGGTGAGATGGAACTATATGCTTGACATTAGACAAAGGATTAGGAAGAAAGGTAACACATATCTCATCCAAGCTGAAGCAGTTAAAAGGTGCAGTACTTCCTCCATACATTTTTATTGTATGCTGACTCTAGAGTCCATGTGTTGAGAATGTATTATCACAGGATAGTTGCTTGGCTTCCTCTGTTATTACGAAGAGGACAAATCCCTCCTCTACTTTCTATCAGACTTTGAGCAAAAAACAAAGCAGAACACTGAAGCCACTGAAATTTCAGGGTTTGTCTGCTGGGCAACTGACACTACCTAGTGTCAGTAATGCAAGCTATTTTGTACATATAAGTCTATGCTAATCTGCTTATTTCAGTATTTTTACATAATTGTACATATATTTCCATTTTTAGATATTTATTATTAGTAGAGTATGTTACTAGCTCACTTCTAGGAGTAGGGAGGATTTTGAGAAATACTTCACTTGGTGGTGAGCACTTGATTTTCAGCCAAGACAATGAAGCTCAACTGGTATTTTTAGCTCACATACCAGGTTGAAAGGTAAAGTTATTTCATGAGCATGGCTGGCCTGGGGAGAGCAAGCATAAACTCTGGTACTGTGTGGCACTGGAGATTTTCTACATCATTCCAGAGGTAGCAGGTTAAAACTAGAATAACATACTTTTTTCTTCTTTTTTACTTTTATGATTCTAGATATTCACAGTACACAATAGAAACACAATTCTCAAAAAAGTTGGTGAGTAAAAGTTGTTTTTCAAATTCTTTTCAGGGTGATTGGCATATCACTTCCATCTAAGCTCAAAGTATAGGACACAAAATCTTATTCTCTTATGACACATTCACTGGGGTTTGGATAAGACTAAAAAAAGTGACTGGGTTTATGAATTATTTACAGAATAAGGTAGGTACCATGCTAATATCATTGATGGAGCCCACATAAATGGGATTTAAATTTGGATCCAGACATTTGACAGCTATGTGATGTTTAGATCATCACTTAACAAATTTAAACCTCAATTTTCCCATTTTTGAAATAGGAATAACATTATGTACTTCATGAATTATTTTTGTGGATTAAGTGATAATGTCCACAGGAAGTATACAGGATTAGTGGCCAATAGCACTGTTTCTCCTTTGTTTTTTTTTTTGTTGTTGTTGTTGTTTGTTTGTTTGTTTTACTTGTCAAGTGATGATCATTACATTTCCCTACCTAACCAACAGAGTTGTCGTATGGGGAAAAATGAAGTTAAACACACAGAAGCAAATTGTAAACTTTATGACTCAAAAATAGATTTTTTAAAATATGTGAATGTTGCAATAATTCCTATTTTAAAATAACCTGCCTTTTGCAATGTAAATATTACAGGATAATTCTGAAAATATTTCAAAATTCCATCTTTTGATACTCTAGAACAGGGGTTGGCAACTACAAACCACAGACCTGCTTTTTAAATATTTACTGGAACAGAGCCACGTCCATGCATCTACATATTGTATATGGCTGCTTTCACACTGGTGTGGAGCAGGTGAGTAGTGGCAAGAGAACCTGATGGCCCTCAATGCCTATAATATTTACATTCTTACCCTCTGCAGAAAAAGTTTGCTGATCCTGCTAACTTTGAGAAACATACTTGTGAGATGTTGTGATTCCTTTTATTGTAGCCCTCAAGGAAAGTTTCTTTAAATTAAGTTTATGTTTCAAGCCTCTAACATATTCTTGATCTTTTAAACCAGGTCAGAATTAAGAGGATTTCACCAATCAAGTGACAAATATTTTAATAATACATTAACAATCTATCAGATGTGAAGTAATTTTGTAATATTAGAAAAATAAATAAAAATATTGTTTGATCACTTATTTGGTATTTTTTTGAGTGCCTAATTAATCTGTGCTAGGAAGTGTTCTAGTGTCTGGGTGACCAATTGTATCTTTATACAGCTTACATTCTCCTTGAATAGGTAGTCAATAAGTACTATATAAATAAATTAGATAGTATTAATAGTAATTTGCATTTTTGTTGTTGTTGCTGTCTTTTTTTTTTTTTTTTTTTTTTAATTTTTAAGACAGGGTCTCACTTTATCACCCAGGCTGGAGTGTACTGGTACGATCATGGCTCACTGCATCCTCAAACCCCTGGGCTCAGGCGATGCTCCCACCTCAGCCTCCCAAGCAGCTGGGACCACAGGCACACACCATCATGCCTAGCTAATTTGTATTATTATTATTATTTGTAGAGACAGGGTCTCACTATGTTGCGAAGGTTTGGGCTCCAGCATTCTTCCCACCTTGTAGTCCCAAAGTGCTGGGATTACAGGCATGAGACACCACACCCATGGAGAGTAATCTATGTTTTGAAGCATATAGCAAACTAAAAGCATAGACAGTGGCTTCCGAAGAGAAGGCAGAGTCCCATTAAATTTTTTTTGCCAACATTTATCAAATAACTACCATTTGCCAGCTAATATTCTGTGCAGTTCACAACTGTTAACTCACTGGATGCTATTAACAACCCTATGAGGATGACACAATTAAGCCCATTTTACAGATGAGGAAACTGAATCAAAGAAGAGGTCAGTAACTGCCTAAAGTCACTGAGCTCACTCATGGTAGAAGCCAGGATTTGAATTCTAAGAAATCCAAATTTAGACTTCAAGCTAGGAATTGGAAGCAGGAAGACTTTGCTGAGCCTACTCACTGAATGATAAGATGGATCAAGCTATATAAACCCGTTGTGAAGGAGAGTTTGAGGCACAGGGAATAGCAAGCATACAGGCTCAGGGGCTGAAATGTACTTGGGCTACTTGATAGCTAAAAAGATAGTGTGGCTATAGCAGTAAATAAGGGGGGAAATAGTAGGAAATGATGTCAGACTACATTTGGCGTACAGAACATGGAAAAGAACTTAGATTTTATTCTAAGACTGACGATTTTAAACCAGGGAATAATTTGATACAATTTGTATTGTAGGAAAGAGCTCTCCGAATGCTCTGGGAAACTACCGGAGGAAAAGAATGGAGGCAAGATGTAGAAGAAACTGTCAATTACCTACCCAATATCCACTCTCCCTGCCTCTCTTTTTCTACTAACATAACCCAGTTTTTTTCAGGCTACACTGCAGTAGGTAAAAATGATATTTCTTGACTCCCCATGCAGCTCGGAATGGTTACGTGACTGTCAATAAGGCATAATCTGAAGTCTCTGGGTGGGACTTTGGAAAAAAGCTCTATGCATGTAGCTGACTCAGCAGGCAGCCATTTCTTCTTATCCTGCCACTTTTTCTTTTGTAGACATGGGGGTAGAGGATGAAGACACAAGGATGAAATTGAAACTGGAAAGATATCTGGAGGGTGGAAGCCATAATCAAAGGATGTCTGAGAAACAAATGGGCCGGGAACTGCAAACTGTTGTACAAGACCTGGATCACTATGTTCCAATTCCTAGTTTCATGAGAGAAAAATCATCTCCAATTTTATTTAAACCACATTTATTTGAATTATTTTCCAATATGCAGCTAAACTCACACTTTAAATTGGAAAGAGAAGCAAGTCAGAAGGTTATCAAAATAGTCCAAACAAAAGAAGATAGTGGCTTGGGCACAGTGCTGTCTATGGAGGTGGTCAGTCAATATAACGCTGGCTTGGAGAACACAGTTTATAAATATTTACTTGAAAGAAAACGGATAAATAAGTAAATGAATAAATTGAATACTTTAATTTACTACAATGATAATTAAGGTAATTAAAAGACTCAAACTGAAATTCACCATGATTGTATTTATGTTAAAATATGTATATAAAATACGGTAAGTAAAATACAAAAGGGAACACAGTTATGTTAATTTTGTATTTGTGTTTTTCTAGTTAAAACTTTAAAATGACTAAAACATAAATTTCGCTTCTTAAAGTGTCATTAAGTCATAGGTTCATTTGGAAGAGAAAGCAAACCTAATCCTTCAGGTATAGGAAGCTTCCCAGGGACAGATAAACACTTAAATCCTATCTGATGAATAAAACTCTATTCTTTTTTTGAACTTGAAAAAGACAAAGTCCTTAATCTTTTCCTTCCAAATCCTACTGCTTTATATATGCCACGTTTGCTAGATTGAAACTTTTGGTGGGTACATTAAGGACATTTTAATCCCCCTTTTTGTGAGATCAATGTAATCTTCCCCACTGCCTGCTTTATACATTAGGGGATTCTACGAACCAAGAGAAATTCAATAACAGTGGTGGCTGATGTGCTGGATAATTTAAAGATGCAGCCACCCGACAGCTGATTCTTCAGTGACTCCACTTCTACTGACAGAGGTAAAAGAAAATGCTGAAGTTGTCAGTCTGCTTCTATTTTTTATGAGCAAATTTTGTACTTTCTGGAGCTAGGGGATGGAGGTGCATTGCAGGGATGAACTTCATGTGCCAATCTGCAAAGCAATCCTTGCTGTCTCTTGTGATGGGAATAACACTTGTGTAGCATTTTTCACCTGAGTATGGCAGAGTACCTCATTAAAACGGATTTATTAAACCTCCACGGCCCTCTGTAGAAGAGGAATGGTCAGCTGCTATTTCATCAAACGGGAAAACTGGGCAAAAATGGAGTCCCAGTGACTAGATTATAGTGCCAAAAATTGGCAAACTTTATATGCTTTTTGCCCTGGTTTTAAAACTGGGGTCAACTCGGTCATGGGACATCTGATATTTTAAGCACTAATACACGTGCAGAAAAGGAAAAATGCTGTATGCAGGATTTCTCAATGTCAGCACTATTGATATTTTGGCCTAGATAAATCTTTATTATGGGGTAGTAATGGAGGCTATTCTGTGCATTATAGGATATTTAACAGCATCCCCGGTTTCTACCTACTACATGCCAATAGTATCTCCCCCCTCCATTGTGATCACTAATAAACGTCTCTAGAGATTGCCAAATATCCTGTGGAGGGAAACCTGCTTGTCCCCACTCCACTGGGAGCTACTGTGCTTTATGTAAGCTGAAAAAGAGGCCTAAAAATACATTCTGTTTTTGGATTCTGGAATTGGCACTTCACAGGAGTATCTAGTTTCATATATAGAATTTCCAGAGGTAAGATGCAAATATAAGCTTGAGTTAAATAAAAATTATAATAAGACAGTGAGAAGATGTGGGTTCTAAGAAAGCTAACGAGTAGCAAGTAGTACTATATCAGAACAAGCAAGAAGACTTTAGTTTGAGTGATCCATCCATTTATCCAAAGTGGAAGAAAGCTGGCAAAAGGCAGGTGAGGTCTCAGGGTCTCACTGAGCAGACTGGGATACAGGGCAGTGTTTCAGGAAAGAAACTGAGTACTGACTCTTGGCATGGAGTGAACCAACAGAGTAGGACAGAAGCTTTCCCCTGTCACTTCTAGACTGTGCTGGGTGATAACTTCTGAAGCCAAATATACTCCACATAAACTGCTTTGGGAAGCGGGTGGTGCTGAAACATCTAGGGAAAGTCATCAATAATTATTGAGAGGAGTGATGAGAGTAGGGGTGACTACTGATGGGGGCTTAATTCCCTTAATATATCACTGATTCATCGACAGACACTAATTTATCCCGAGCCTGCATTAAATCAATTCCTAAACTATAATTACTTGGAGAAGTAGTAATTTTTATACATTCAAGTATTATTTAACAGTTTTAAAAATAGCAACAGTAAGAAGCACTGCTGTCATCAATCTTGTCATCTAGTATTTGAAAGAAAGTCTTCCCTTTTGGGGCTGGAAATTCTTTTCAGACTCCGTGGTTAATTGTGAGTCTTCTTTTATAAGTACTAAGATTATTTTTCCCATAGTAAAATATGTTCAAACCAGCTTAGACTTTATATGAAGCATGGTAATTATTTCAATTCTCTCAATAATTAATTGACCCATTCATTCATCCATTCATTTATGCTGCCAGTTAAACTGCAAACATATTTTGTGCATGTATTGATGTTAGGCACACATCTAAAGATGGAACACACAAATGTAAATAATGTGGTCCTTGACCTCATGTAGATCATGGAATATTAAGGTTATGATTATTAATTGTGATAAGATAAATGAATGCCACTTGCAAATAGTATACATAGCCTTGACAATGTATTTTACTTAACACTTGAAGCATTACTGTTGTTTCACCAGTAAATTCAGGAAAACCTGAATTTCACGACAGGAAGGTTAGAGCCAGTTGGGAATACAGATGTGTGGAAGAATCTCATTATCAGAGAACAGGAACACCATTGAAACGAGCAGTGGGAGGGGAAAAGTGGGCAGGGGCCAGTTTGTTAATATCTTGCTTTCGGACATTAAGGGATGAAGGCTTTGACTTGTCAGCAAAGGACTTTTAAAGCAGTGAAGTGACTTGGGCAGGTTCGTATTGTGGAAAGATCACTCCAGACATTGTGGAAGATTTATTAGACTTGAGAGAGATTAGTGGCAGTGAGACCAAGGAAGACCAATCAGCAGACTACTGCAGTTGTCCGTGTGACACATGATGAAGGCCTGAGCTGAAGCAGCGACAATGAGATAGAGAAAATAGAACTGGTCTGAGATATGTTTCAGTGGTAGAAGTGAATGGATTTGGTAATTGGTTTGATTGCATGTAAAGATGTTGAAAAAGGAGGCATCAAGGGCTGGTGTTCACTGAGTTTGACATTAGGTCAACATGGTGTGCCCCGGAACATTTTGTCATTGGCATTAACCTCAAACCATGGACACTCTTTTGCCATTATAAATCACTCATGATTTTCCTGGGTATTTTTCTTCCTGGTCTGCTACAATCCTTTTTATAGTTTTCGGCTATCCATTCTTAACTTCGCCTCCAATTTCAGTGCCACACGAGAACTTTCACTTTCTTACCTTTGACTCACGACATTCTTTTTGGTTTTCTCCAGCCTCTTTTTTTCCTCTTTACTATCTAGAGATAGGACAACTGATTTCTCCCTAGCTTCCTGGACTCAACTTTTAACACAGATATATACTCAAAGAGAGTTATGACAAGTCTTGGATAACTGGATTAACAGAAGGAATATCCAGTTGCAGATGTTAGTACTGGTTACAGATTTTTCTGAGAGCTCAAGAATCAGTACAGGGCAAAATGCCAATATGCAAATATGACTGTTGTCAAGTTTTACATTTAGCCATTGAAGTCATGAGAAGGAATGCAATCACTTGAGAGAGAAATGTGTTAAATGAGAGAAGATCAAGAATAAATATTAGGAAACACAGCATTTTAGGACTGAGAAATGTAGGTTAAAATGAAGGAAAATGAGCAAATTGGTAATAAAGTTAGAAAGAGGATTATATACTAAAGTCGCAAAGAGAAAAATTCTTACGAAGACAACAGTGGCAAACACCTTTGAGAAAAGAAGCAAGATAATGAATTTAAAATGTCAGCCAGATTGTGAAATTAAGAAGTGTTCAGTGATAAGATCAAAATCATTTTATTATGTGATAAAGGCAAAAGTCCTATCTGTGGATTAAGAAAGGAATGGTAAGTGAGACTGTGAAGGAAATAAATATAACTTGGTTTTTTGAGGGCATAGGAAGTTAAGTAAATTGCAGAGCTAGGGTTAGGCTCTGGGAGGAATATATGACCAAAAAAATCTTTAAATGGAAAAGAATGAATATATAAATATTCAGAGAAGAAAAGTACAAAGTCCAAGAAAAAGGAAGTATCATCAGTCAAGCAGTGTCCCAGATGGGGCAGGAGGGGAATGAGATCATTATTACAGACGGAGCTGTCAGTCTTGAAAGTGAAATGGAACATTTCTTCTTTCGAGACATAAGAAAAAGAAGAAAGAATAGATGTGGAATAATAGATAGGTAGGTTGATAGGTAGATAGATGAGTTTGGAGGTGGTAGGAGATAAGTTGATGGATTTCATATTTCATAGCCTTTAGATTCTTAGGGGAGCATAAAGTATGGTATTTGCTAGAATTGTGAGAAGCAGACTAAGGTGAGCTTATAAAAATACAAAAAAAAAGAACTTAGAATAACTAAAAGAAGAGATATTACCTTATGCAATCATCACAAATTCTTGTGTGGTAGAAATTATTTTCATTATATTGAAGAGGAAACTAAAACTAAGAAATCATGTGCCTTGTAAAAAGGTCACAAGTTCCAAATGGCAGAAGTGGGATTTTAATCTATACATGTCTCATTTTATATTCAGTGCTCTTTCAACCAAATTGTGCTAAGTAAGGATTGGAAAACATTTAAAATCATTGACCAGTGGGTTTAGAGGGAGTAGGGAAAGCAGGTAAAGCACAGATAGGGATTTTGAAGGAATACAATATAGAGGCTCAAGGAAATGTATAGTTGAACATCATTAAATGATATAATTGGTGCATTTGGAGAATAGCTATAGGGCATGTAGAAAACAGAAGCCTGTAGCCAGAAAGTGGGATCAGGAGGTTGAGATTTCAAAGACAAAGAACACCCAACTGATAGAGATCCTGATAAGAGAAGTGCTAAGAGTCTCTTCTTAAAGTAAAAGTGACTACTTTTAATTCCAAAGGTCAGGGCACAATGATTTTGAGGCACTGATTGAGTTAATCAGCTAACTATGTCAAAGCTGAAATGCTCCTAATGATGCAAAGACTTAGGTTGGCAAAGAAGAGGATGACCTTTATAAATGAAGTTTCAGAGAAACAAGAGCACAGATCTCCACTCTGTCAGTTTTAGATCTTTGGAAAGTTTATCTTCCTCTTTAAGCATTGAGAAATGAGAGGGTCAAGAAGAGTAGAGCAGAAGGGATTTATTTTATGGTTTGTTTTTAACAAATTTCTATTCCCAGTTAATCTTTCATTAAACATTTACAAAATTTAACTTTTTTGTAATCCTTTAAACTGTTCTGTCTAAACTTGTACACATTTTTTAGCATTAATAAGTGATTTATAAATCTCTCTTTATTTCACATCCAGTAACAATGACAAAATCAGTATTGCTTACTTCAGTGGAAAATTGGAAAATCTTCTCATTCTGTTTTCTTGCTCACTGCCCCCCACTCCATGTTTATGGTACAGAATGATAGAATCGATTAACCCTGCTCAATTTATAGTGCTGCATAACTAACCAAAACTGCTTTTTTAAGTCAGTTATGCTCATGTCCCGATATGCCATAGATAAGTGATTTTACTACAGGAGATTTAGGCTAAGTCAAATTACTGAGAGAAATAAAATCTCTGCACTTTTAATTATGGCACTTATGATTATTAGTAAAGATGATTTCTCTAGTGGGTGCCAAAGATATGAAAAGCATTTATATTTTTTATTTAACAGAATCAGAAAAGGACAATGCTTAAACCAATTACAAAAGTCCAGAGTGGCCCTAAACAGAGCTTCCTGTATAGTAGAAGAATGAGCCTTAAGTATGTGTCTGATGTAGCCAATGACCAAGATCAGTTGGCTACCTCACACTGTCTGCCACTGTTTCAGGGCCAGCACACACTACTTTGACATAGTCATGTTTTTCTTCATCATTATCTGTTAGACTTTTCTGGAGTTAGCTCCTCCCAGATAAACTAATATTACAGTAATATATGAAATAGAATATTACAAATTTATTTGGAAAATGGCATATATAGGAGCAAAGTCTTATCTTTTATAATCAGGGAACACATTAATAGATACATTAATAACATCTTTCCTTAGGAAAGAGAATGTTCTTAATCTCTAATCTATTAGTAATACTGACGTATGCCCTTCAAGATCATCTTGTTCTTTATATTTGCTCTTTTTTCCCCTTGATTTTATTTAATGTATTTTCCAAAAGTGCTATGGTGGAACATTTATATAGTCATTTTTAAAAACACTTCTTGTTCAGATTTTGTTTGATTTCTTTTGTGTTGCTAATGACTGGGTTGGATGAAAGCAAAGCGAATTGGAGAATTAATGAACAACATAAGGGGAAGTTTAGAGATTTCTAATTTTCCTTTTATATTATTGCATAGGCAATGGTAATAAAAATCAACAGTTTGGGTTGATAAATGTATAAAATACAGTTTCAAATTTAAACCCATATAACCATGGCGGAGTATTTTTGAGCACTGAAGGCGGGCAGTGTTAGTAATCAAGCCAGGACAGCAGGATCAATCCAAGACTATTCCAGTCAAACTGAATGTATGGTCACCCTGCTTTTGTGCCTTTTTCTTGATGTCATGTTATTTTATTGTTATTTATGAAGCTGACCTATCTGTTTTTGGTGGAGGGTGGATTGAAAACTACTAGAACATAGTGTCATTCCTTTCTGTATTACCTTGTATATCCTTCAGTGATGTGCAAATAACACACGTTCAATAGATCTTTTCCTAATAAATGATGAATGTTTGAAATAGGTATCAGCATCCCCACTCCCCACAATGTGACCAATATGGCACATAGCAACTTCAGCCTCACATGGATAAGAGAGCAGCTTCTGACATCCTGTCTATTTCTGTTGTATAATAATCCTTTCGAAACCCTGATTACCCTCCAGAAACTTGTCCTAATTTTTTACCTCAAGCTCATCTAACAATAATATTTCTATATCTTGTTATGTATAATTAGATATACATTCCACTTGACTTCCAGTTATAGAGTGTTTGAGGCCATGTCCCAATCCACTAGTTCACGCACAGTCAAATCCTTGGTAATCACTGAAAAACATTTTCAGTGTCTTCTTTCAGGTATAACTGATTCAATTTACAGAGTTGAATTTTACAAGAAGAGAAATGCTTATTTTTCAATTATGTAAGGATATTTCATAAAATTTTATAAATTTAAAAGAAAAAAATTATTATTACTTAGGTCAGCTAGCTCACTTTGGATGGGCAATCTAAGATCCTAAGAAATAAAATTACTTGTCCTATGTCAAATAGTAATGGACCAGAGACTTATGTCAATACATCATATATATATGATATATATATGATATATATATGATATATATATGATATATATATGATATATATATATGATTAATATCTGAACAAGCAGTGTTTTTAAAAATGATTATGTAAGTGGTCCACTATAGCACTTTTGGAAAATACATTAAATAAAATCAAGGGGAAAAAAGAGCAAATATAAAGAATAAGATTAATATTATATATATAAAATCAACCTGTATATATGCATTGTAAAGATTTCCTAATTGAAAAAGATAAAAGAATCTTTTTGGAAAGTGTCTCACCTACAATGACCAAAAGTTTGATTACAGTGATTTAAGCAAATAAAAACTTATGTTCCTTAGACAGATGAAACTCTGAATGTTAGTGGTATCGTGATGGTGCAGGAACTTTAAAACATTAGCATCTCAGGCTCCTACTGTCTTTCTGCTCCACCATTCCTAGCCTGTGATTTTATCCTCATTGTTCCTTCATACTTTCAGGTTTCCACATAAATTTCAGGCTGGAAGAAGAAGGAAAGTATAAGAAGGAAAGGTAGCACCTGTATTTGAAAGTCAAAGCATTTCCAGAAGTCTCTAGGAGGCTTCTACTTTAATCTCATTTACCGTGCAATGAAAGGAAGGAACGTGCATGCATTTTTTTTCTGACACATTGCCACTCAAAACAAAAACAAACACTGTCCTAATGAAAAGTGGAAGTGGATGTTGAGTAGGCATCTAGCAGTGTCTGCTGCAATTGACTTAAATAGGAAGAAAATTTATGAAACTATTTTATCATTCCTGAGTATCAGTGAAGTCAGATACAAACCTTGGGACCAGAAGTACACCCAAGCAAAGCTCAAGATCATTTTGCCACAAACATCATTCACAATACTTGACACCAACATCTCAATATGTAATTACTTGATACTGTCTACTCTACATCTGCTTTCCTTAAGGAGCTAGACTCCAGCATGTTTGACCTGCAACTAATTTTTCCTGAAGCATGTTTTTTCCACATAGATTACCTGCAAAACTTATCCTGCTGGTTTAATCTAATGAATTTAGTCAAATCAAAACTGATTGCTAATGACTGAAGATAATCTGAAGCTATCTTGATATGTTACCACTTTTGCTGATATTTATATATCAGAAGTTCCTTCTGTGTTTTATGCAATAGTTTATTAATGTGAAGAGTTTAGATCCCACTGCAATGCGTGAATGATATTTTAAGAAACAGAGCCTTTTCTGAAGTCCCTAAAGCACATTAAGTAGGGAGTTAATCTTGGTTATGTGACTTATCATATGGAGCGAGCACATGGTTTTAGGTTTTGGAGCCATAAGTTTCAGATGAACATTCAGACACTGCAACTCCTGTAACATGACCTTAGCCAAGTGTCTTAAACCAGTTTCCCAGGTAAATGAAGGAAAGTAAGTCCTTTTTCAAAATATTGTTTTGAAAGTAACAACTATGTATGTGAAGACACTATCATAAACTGTTAAGGGCCACATGTCATATACCTTGCTAGATTTCAGTAAAAGATAGAAGGGAAACAAGTTACAAAATAGGTGCTCAACTTCCTTTGAAAGACAGATCTGTCAGGGCTTTGAGCTTCATTTTAAACACTTGTATGCGTTCCTCAGCTGTATCAGCTGAAGCCGTTTAACATTTCTGGTCTTTGACTTCCTCATTAGTATGGCATAGAGATAGAATTACTTGCTTCTTGTCATCACAAGAAAGATGTAGTAAAAACAGATGATTAAGAATAAAAAAAAAAATGGAAAATCTACTGGTATCCTAGGAGCTGCATAGAAAAGCGTGTTTACAGGAGTGACATCAGCTAGACGGTAAAGTAGGAGGTATTAGCCTTTGTACCTCCCACAAAACAACAATTAGACAGCTTTCCAGAAACAAAAATAGTCCTTGGAGAGTTCAAGAATCCAATTAAGAATTTCCAATAACACAGTGGAGTAAAGAAGGAAGAATAACTCGACAGAAAGAGTTGTTGGGGAGATTGGCATACCTGAGATATCTGGAGATGGCTAGAAACAAAGAAGAAACGTGGGGGCTACCAGTATCAGCCAGGTCCTTGGTGCTATCACAGCCCCACAATAGCCATCGCTCCCTGCAGCTTTCGCAGTGGAGGCCCCTCAGTGTTTGTTGGCATGGACACCAGCACACACTGGCCACTTTCACCACTGAGGTAAGCCAACAGCTATTGATGCTGCAGACCTCCCGCAGGGGGGAAAGTCGCTGAGCCCTATTCTCATTCCCTGCAGGAAGGAGCTGCTTTTTTTTGCCAGCCTGGGACTAGGGTTTCCACTCATCCCAGTCCCATGCTCCAGACCCCAGTTCTGAGACTGAGTACCTGCACTGCGAAGGCCAGAACCACTACTGCAGTTTTAAGTTGAGTAAGTTCTGGGTATCTAATGTACAGCATGGTGACTGTAATTTTATATACGTCAAATTTGCTAAAAGAGTAAATCTTAGCATTCTTACCACAAAAAGGTAATTATGTGAAGTGATGGATATATTAATTAGCTTGATTGTGGTAATCATTTCACAATGTATGTGTGTAGCAAAACATCATGTTTTACAACTTTCACATATTAAGTTTTTATTTGTTAATTATACCTTAATCAAGCTAGGAGGAAACAAAATATGTTCTCTGTGGTAGGAGAAGAGCACAAAGCCCCAGAGAACAGAATCAAACATACTTGGTTAAATTGTAGAGATCAAGAATACACAGTGGAAAAAAAAAATGAAGTGAGATATTGGAAAAGGAAAAACTAGATCCCAAAAGGTCAGAATCAGTGGCTATAATATCAGACCAATGAAAGGGGCAGTAGAGCAGACCAACAACCCCGTCCTGTATATTGTAGCCATGAGTTTCCCTAACTCATTAAATAAATCTTGTATGTAACTTTCATTTGGCTGCATTCAGCTGAAGGTAACAGACAAAAAAAAATAGTCTGTCTTTGCTGTCTCATACAGTCCTCTTTTGATGGCCTTTTATATTTTCTCCCTCACGGTCAATATAACTAATTCATAAAATAGTGGTATTTCCTTCTTTTTTTTTTTTGAAAATAAATTTGTATTTATTGAAATCCCTTGCTCACAACTGATCAAAAATGATAAAAGATGAAACCAATAATAGTTATTACAATTGAGTGTTATATGCAAAATAATAAGCTAACTTTTTTTTATTATACTTTAAGTTCTAGGGTACATGTGCACAATGTGCAGGTTTGTTACATACGTATACATGTGCCATGTTGGTGTGCTGCACCCATTAACTCGTCATTTACATTAGGTATATCTCCTAATGCTATCCCTCCCCCATCCCCCCACCCCACAACAGGCCCTGGTGTGTGATGTTCCCCTTCCTGTGTCCAAGTGTTCTCATTGTTCAATTCCCACCTGTGAGTGAGAACATACGGTGTTTGGTTTTTTGTCCTTGTGATAGTTTGCTGAGTATGATGGTTTCCAGCTTCATCCATGTCCTTACGAAGGACATGAACTCATCCTTTTTTATGGCTGCATAGTATTCCATGGTGTATATGTGCCACATTTTCTTAATCCAATCTATCATTGATGGACATTGGGTTGGTTCCAAGTCTTTGCTATTGTGAGTAGTGCCACAGTAAACATACATGTGCATGTGTCTTTATAGCAGCATGACTTATAATCCTTTGGGTATATACCCAGTAATGGGATGGCTGGGTCAGATGGTATTTCTAGTACTAGATCCCTGAGGAATCAAAATAGTGGTATTTCTTAAGGGCAATGTAGTCAGTGGAGGGGGAGGCAGAGTTTTCTCATGCTGTCATCTTGCCAGACATTTAAGCTTCTATTGTGTTCTACATCTCATTTACCACAATTTTAGGACCTCCATGTCTTTGGATTCTCTTTCTCCTGCTCTGTATGTATCAGATCAAAATCTGATCTTTTATGACCCTAGCATGATCTCACATCCTTGTGTAGGTGACCCAACCCAGGAGATCCTTTGTCTTATGTTATGACAAACAGTAGATAGGAATGGGATTGTTTCTATTGATTTGAGAGGACTACAGTGTTGGAATTTGAATATGAGCTCTCTGATGTTTTTATACTCTTTTGATCTTTGCCTACTGTATATCTGATGCTGCATGAAATTCGTTAAATATATTTTCAAATTTTGATTACAATTCTATAATGTAGATATTGTCTTTTTGCAGATGAGGAAGCTGAGACTCTGAAGAGAATAAGTAATTTGCCCAAAGTTCCACAAATAGTACATAGTGGAACTAGGTTTAAACCCAGTTTTGGTGAACCCAAAGTTTTTGTGGCTAACGACTACATTGTTTTGCCTATTTTGACATTTAGAATACTTTTCTTATCCACCATCAACATTTTTTTAAAATTAAAGATTTCCAGGAGGGTGTTTCCAGTTTTCTTAGAGATAAACACCTCTTAATTTCTGGTAAAAGTACACCAACAAACAAAGACATAGGCACATAGGCAAATTCAGTCATCGATTCAGATTAGAAAATAGGCAAATTCAGTCATCGATTGAGAGTAGGTAGACTTAGCTATAGATGCTACTAACAGCATTTTAGATGCATGCTAGTAAGAATCTAGAGTCATGAGAGACTGTCTTTTCACAGAATTCTGGTAGGAGGGCAGCTCATTGGCACAAGAGAGATGTGGTATTTACACTGTCCACTTGAAAAGGAGCATGGTAAAATTGCAAAGAAAAAGGCAGAGACTGAGAAAACATTTCGGAAGTATTCTTCTGTTTGTTTTCATTTCATGAAAGAAAGTACTGTTCATGACACCAACAAAAAACTTTAAATTAGGGACCTGTGAATCTTTAATATTCAGCAATCTATATGAGCCATTCCAAATGGCATTTAGTTATAAATAATCTTCCCAGGTTATGAATCCTCTCAACTGACTCAAGCCTGATGAAAATTACTGTTTAGATGTTGTGGCGACTGTCTAAGGCAGGGGATAAGGATTTCCCCACATTTTAACTCTATCATTGTTTCTAATTTTGACTTTTCAAGTATCCCCGGAAGAGCTTTGACTGTCCCCTGAGGTACAGAGGCTGGTGGTTTGATTAACTGCTTTGACAAAGTATATGAAAAAGCAGGAGGTAAACTGCTCCCTGCCATGCCCCAGAAGCGGTTTGCATCCTATTTGAGGCTACTTGACTCCACTTGTGAAACAGATGCTCAAAAAGGTTTCCTCAGCCTGTGATATTTCAGAAGCTATAGAACCTTTGAAAACTGGTATATCATTAACAGGTGAGATTTGTTCAAGTTACTCAATTCTCCTACTCTACCCAGCTTAATTGGCATGTCAGTCTATGGATCCATCCTGTGATAAAAGGTCAAATGTCTTCTGATTCTCCCAGTCTGACTGGTGAGTTTTAAGGGGCTATGGAGTTGCTTATAGAAAATGAGGCCATTCAGTGAACCTTGCTATTGAACTTGACAAAGAAGCAGACTGAGCGTAGGAAGGAGTATTTCCACATGCATTATTCTAGTTGTCAGACACATCTATCAAAAGATAATTGGAGGACATGTGGGGCCACTGGCTAATGCAACACCTTTTTCTTTTTTCTTTTTTTCCTTCCTTACTTCCTTTGTTCCTTCCTTCCTTCCTTCTTACCTCTTTCTTTCTTTGTTCCTTCCTTCCTTCCATATCTCTTTCTTCTTTCTTTCTCTCTCTCTTTCTTTCTTTCTTTCTTTCTTTCTTCCTCTTCTTTCTTTCTTTCTTCTCTCTCTTCCTCCCTTCCTCCCTTCCTTCTTTCCTTTCTCTCCTTCCTTCCCTCCCTCCCTCCCTCCCTTCCTTCCTTCCTTTTTCCTTCCTTTTTTCTCTCAGAGCAATTAAAATGTAACAATAAAATGGAAACTTTCATGGATAAGGTGAGATCTCAGTTTATGAAACAGAGAAAAAGTTTGGCAATAAGAAAAATACAATTCTAGGAATAATACATTGTTACAATTTAAGATTTCTTCTCTGTTTCTATATGTGTTGTCTGGCCATGCTAATCCTCTCTCAGCCAGTGTGCCTGCCTGTTGCATGTTTTGCACTGTATCTGGTATTGAATCTGATGTGGTCTGGTAAACTATTTTGACCCATGATACCTGCCTTAAGATGTTTAAGTGATAGGACTGGACTGTAAAAAAGAACCAAAGAAAATGTTTCAAGCAGAATGTTAAATAGACCTTTTATTGTGGTTGGAGGCACGTTTTAGGAAATGGACAAGGAGATAAAGACAGCAGGAATTTCTGGAAACATTATAACTGTAAAAAGCATCAGAAATATCTCTGATCCTGCACTATTTGAACAGCCATAGTAAAGGTAGTTGGAGCTGGTCATGAGTTTAGGTGATTGAAGAAAAATATAAACAGCTGCCAGTGAAAGATGCTAGGATTGCATCACCATAGAGACAACACTACAATGCCTCTAAGGAGCTCTGATTCACCTCTCCAATTTTCAGGAATTCATCTTTCTATTAAAAGAAGTATGTGAGCATAGTTGTACTGACATGTTCCTTTTGAGAGATGGTTAATTATTGTTTATGTAATGAAGCTCATATCTGATGCTTTTCAAGCCTTATCTCTTTCTTCTCCCTTTATGTTTTGTACCATCCAGTCAAACCACGGTATTGATTGCTATCTGAACACATTTTCTGTCTTTATGTCTTTTCTCATGCTGTTCTGTCAGCTAGTATGCCCCTTCTCCCATCTCACTCCATCTGTTAGTGCCTGGGTGCAAGGCTGTCTCTTTTCTAAAGACTTTTCTGGTACTCCCAACAAAAAAATCTGTCCTTCCCTTGAATTCCTCTTCTTGTTTTTAATCTCTCTGATGGAATTCATGTATCAGCTTATGTCGTGGTTGTCTGTGTGTATCTTATCTCCACTATGTTAGAAAAATCTCCTTGAGTGTCTCATCCTAATATGAAGCAATATTTTATTAATCTAATTGTAATTTCTGTCTTGTCAACAGAAAACACTATGAGAGCAAAGAATAAAGATTTTCCAATATGTTATTTTTGCTTAATCTTTTTTAATGCTACATTTTAAAAATTATGTAATAGCATTCCGAAATGAGTGTTTGTATAACAATGATGAAATAAAAAAAATAAAGGAATGGAGTATATACTTAAGAAACTATGGGTGCCAATAATAAAATTTCATCCAGTATATATTCAAAAAATTTTAGTCATTCTGCATTATATTCATTAGAGAATTAATCGGATAAACCAAAATTATGACATTTGCGGACAAGTTGCTCAGAAACTGCAATATATAATAGGACAACATGTTAGGAATATAATAAGCTATTTCAGGTCCTTTCAACAACTGTGCAAGATAAAAATTATTATTCAGTTTACATATACTAAAATCAAAGTTCATGAAAAGTAAATGACTTGCTCAAGGGCAGGTAGCTAATAAATATAACCAACATTTCAGAGCTTGGCTTTAAAAATCCCACTCTTCAAAATTAACACAATAAATCTCAGAAAGAGATAAATGCGAAGCAACTACTGAGGAAGAGCTTTCTGCTTTACTTATCAATTGATTGATTCTTTTATTTGACAAATGTTTTTGAGTCCCATATTAGGCACTGTTCTAGAGGCTGGGATGCAGCAATGAACAGATATATTTAGGTAAAAAATAGCTGCTGAATCTCTAGTCATCACATCGGAATTCTAGGCAAATGGAAAGATAAAAGCAAGGGACAGGCCGGGCGCGGTGGCTCACGCATATAATCCCAGCACTTTGGGAGGCCGAGGTGGGCGGATCAGGTCAGGAGATCGACACCATCCTGGCTAACACGGTGAAACCCCCTCTCTACTAAAAATAAAATTGGCCAGGCATGGTGGCAGGCGCCTGTAGTCCCAGCTACTCCGGAGGCTGAGGCGGGAGAATGGCTTGAACCCAGGAGGCGGAGCTTGCAGTGAGCCCAGATCACGCCACTGCACTCCAGCCTGGGCGACAGAGCGAGACTCTGTCTCAAAAAAACACAAACAAACAAAAAAGCAAGGGACATATCCCACCTTCTCCCTTTAAAAGGAGTTTCACAGGAGACCATATCCAAACCTTCTCTCCTTTATAGCTCACTGGCCAGTCCTTAATCATATGGCCACCGCAATCTGCAGGGAAAGCTGGGGTATTTAGTTTTCCATTGCCCATGTTAATACTGGAACAAATTAGGGCTCTATTCATGGAGGAAAAGATTAGGATGGCTATTTCATGGGTAGCTAGCTGCCTCTGACAACACCAAAACCCTTATACACATAGTAACCTGAGAGTGATCTGTCATTACTGTTTGGCTGTAAACTGATTTAGCTGAATACACAAAATAATCTTCAGTCCTTACCTGAGGTGCCTTTCCTTCCTACTTTCTCTCAGCTTTCAATCTCCTTCAAGTTTATAACAACTGTATACAAAAGAACATCTCCACTGTATTTTGATCACAATTCTCTTTTTGGCTCAAATAAGTTATTCATACTCCAGCATAATCAAATCGTGATGTCGGAGTAGGTACACAATATACATTAATTATAGGAGAAAGGAGCTAAAAAAAAAAAAAGAAAATCATAGAAATAATTAAAAAATGAAGAATGATTGGCCGGGCACGGTGGCTGACGCCTTTAATCCCAGCACTTTGGGAGGCCGAGGCCAGGGGATCACGAGATCAGGAGATTGAGACCATCCTGGCTAACATAGTGAAATCCCGTCTCTACTAAAAAATACAAAAAATTAGCTTGGCGTGGTGGCGGGCGCCTGTAGTCCCAGCTACTCGGGAGGCTGAGGCATGAGAATGCATGAACTCGGGAGGCGGAGCTTGCAGTCAGCAGAGATCGCACCACTGTACTCCAGCCTGGGCGACAGAACGAGACTCCGTTTCAAAAAAAAAAAAAAAAGAAGAAGAAGAACGATTTAAGTTTTATTAATAAAAGAATAGGAAATACGTATGTTTAGTCTTTTATATCATTAAGAATTAGAGTATTTTGTAATTAATGTAATTAGCTAATTTACTTATTCTTTTCAAAGAAGTAGGTTAACAAAGGTTTTTTCCATTTCCTATATACTTGTGATTTTAGGAGAAAAAAAAATTGCCTTGCAAAATGGCCAAAAGAATAAAAAGACTAAAAGAATAAAAAATGAAAGAATTAAAATAAAGTTATCTTGAAAAGAGAATGTCATAATACAGTTGAGAAAACAGGAAATTTGAAGGTTTGAGTTATCTCTCAGTAGCCGTTCACCCTTTTTTTTTATGAAATCTGGAAACTCGGAGATTGAAAAGATTTAGGAGAAAAAAATAGAACCAAATAGACAAGATGTGTTACTCATTAAGAGCCAACTATAGTTTACATTGCGTATTTTAGAATAGATTTAATTAAGGTGGTGGAGCAGTGTTCCTCAGGCCTTACTAATTAGCTAATAAAGCCCCCATCACTTCTAATTGTCTCAAACAAAGATTATTACTACAAAAATGAAACAGTTGCTGCTGTAGGGAAATTCAGTGTTTCTTTAAAATAGCAACAATTGGACAATGTAAACAAAGCTGTATCAGTGACTACCATGGAATAACTAGCTAATCTCATTTAAATTTGGTTAAAGAATTAGCAACATTGATATAAAAAAATTAATGAAGAATGACAGGAGTCATAAATGTCTACATATTTGAAGCATACTCAGGTAACCATATTCATGTCAACATTTTATAGTTAATTGCTTAATTGTTTAATTAAATATCTCCTTTTCAACCAAAAAAAGACATCACATGGCTTCTGAACAGAGTTTTAAAAAGCAAATTAATGTAAATTAGAAGTTTTTGTCAAAAATAAGTGAGAAGCTAATAAACTGAACCAAATGTGATTATTTAAAACATTTCATAAATACCTATGTTCCAGATAGCTATTGCTGTCAAATCTGGTTGTCCTAGCCAATATAAAGAGGGAAATCTAGCAAGTTAAATAATCTACTCTGTCTATAAATTTAAGATCAATTCAACATTTTAGGAAAAGCAAAACAATAATTAATCCAAATATCTAACATACATTTCTTTTGAAGATTCCCCCCAAAAGTACTATGAATATAACAAGAAACAACATACTCATTAACATATTTTTAGGATGTTTTGGAATCAAGTCTCTATGTATTCTTATGTGATCTAATTAAAGCATGATTCAATAATCTGGAATTAATCCAATGTCTGTGTATCAGCTCTCTATATATTTAGCTTACAATAGGGGTTTATTTCAGACTATTTGGGGTATGAACAAACTATACCTACTGATGACAATTTATTCACAGATATTAATCTTTTTGGTCTATTTTGTCTTCAGATATAGTTGATGATAGAGGATACGGATAATCTATCAATTGAAGCTACTCATCAGCGACAAACAAAATAATAGATTTTTATTTGAATTGGTAAGTTTTTTCACAGCCTAGTATTCTGTTTACTGATTTCATAAGGATTTCCTATTAAATTGAGAAACCAATGACCTGATGATTAGTCCTTGGGAAGGAAGGGGTGAGCAAAAGCACATCTTTATTAATAGCTACTAAATATGAGTCATCACCTAAGTTATACACCTTTTATATGCAAATTAAAAATTCAGGAACAAACCTATTAATTTTCTATTTGTTAACAGATATTGGCAGTTGTACGTAATGGAGACACAATTAATTGTGTTTGAATGAAACAATGAATTCAAGTCACTTGCCCTGAATTTTACATTTTTTTAAATGGTGAAAGGCACATAACCAATAAGACACACATTCAGTATACTTCTAGATATTCTTAGAGTTAGTTGGGTGTTGAGGAATTTAAAATCTTTCTGATTAGAATTTATAACTTTTTTCTTTGTGATTTTATTTCATTGCATTTCTTTTTTTTTTCCTTTCCACCAAAAACAAAAGTCATACAAGGGAATAAGCTATATGTGAAATGTCTGTGTGACTAGGTTAATTACAAATTACAATGGTCAAAAAGATATAGGCTTGCAAGTTAAGTTTACAACACAGAATAGCACACATGTTATTGGAGGTCTGGAAAATCTAAATGAATGAATTATTTTGTATTGTGATGGCAGAAAAGCAAGAGTAGAAGAATCATGAATGTATTTCGATAGTCAGGCTTCAGAGTGATGATAGAGACGACTTCAGAGAAGTCATCTTGCATTCATGCTGCTACACTCCTGTCCTTCCTCCCCTCTCAATCAGCAGTTGTCAAGACAATAGTTCTTTGACTTTACAGAACCAGTCCATAGGCTCCTGTGTCTATCCTTGTTTTACCAGCAAGCTTTATATTAACTTTCTTCATATTCCAGCTTAGATATAATGTTCTAACACTTAAACATACTTCTGCGGTTATCAACTACCTTGCTTCACTGTCCCACTAGTATGTGAAGAGCTTGATTTAAAATGAATTGCTGAGTGAAGAAAGATAGTCTAGGTATAAAGTCTGTAAGATCAGGAATAATTATTGATTGAAGTATTTCAAATAGATTGTGTGAACATACACATATCTTATTATACGTCTATTAATGCACTTGCATCAAATAATAAGTTTGGATTAGTGTTGCTAAAGATGTGCTAGGAAGATTCCACACAAACTTTGAACATAAATAGATGCCCTTTTCATTCCTTTATTACACTGAGAAAACATAAAATTTGATGTTTTATAAAATCTCTCCTGGTTGCAATGACAGACATGTAACCAAAAAGATTGAAGATAATTTTAACATTTATGTAGTTGAAAAGGTCAGTGATAGAACTAAATTTGGGTATTTCTGGATTCAGATGCTCAAACATCAGGAACCTGTCCACCACTAAATCCTGTTTTCCTTGACTTTGAATTCTTTCTCATTCAGACTCTTTTCATGCAGTTGATTTTCAAGATTTTATTCAGGATTTAACTTGACCAGCTTGGCAATGCCAGTGTATTTAGTGTCTTTAAAGTGGCACTCTATGTAATTTCTGCAAAATTCCCAGATTTTAGTCTTATTGCCCTGAGTTGGGTTGCGTTTACATTCTGTAATGAATCCTTGTGACCTTAGAAGAATGGTGCTACAAACTAACCTTAGCCAATATGATCATGCACAAGTATTAGATTCCTTTTGGTAAATGTCAGTAGCCTCTAATAGTTAGAGGTAAGTAATGATTGTGAGTTCTCTTCCAACAATCTTGTACCAGGTATCAGTGAAAGCAAGTCTGGGAAATAATCCTGACAAATACAAGCAGATACAACACTCTCAGACAAACTGTACTGTGACCTCAGTAAGACCCAGCTTTAGTTTTGGTACTTCAAATGTGACATTAATCTGGTGGGAAGATTCAGTTCACCAGAGTTGTATGAGTTAGGCAAGCAAGAATCTTCTGGAGCAGGTAGATCAGCATAGGACCATTTAGAAATCAAACTGATGGTAACATTTCCAAAGGGCCTAGATTTCTCTCCTTGTTTGATTTTTAAGCTCTGTTAATTCAAGGGCAAAAAGCCTCTAAATTACTTCTACCCAAATCCATACATCTTCAAAACTACTAATTCACTAATGAAAACCCATCTGTAATATCCATTGTGTTCATTAAACAACCAATAATGTCTGTAAAAAGCCAATTCAAGTGTGTAATTATGCTAATTAAAAAAAGTCTGGTGTTGATTGAAGATAAAGATAGTTGAAGTGCTACCATCAGCTGCCTTGGAGTGTGACCTTTGAAATAAAATCTGACTAACTATAGTTGGCATCATGCATTCCCAGTTAGGGCAACCTGATCATGCTTAAGGGGTAGATTAAAACTAACATATACACATTTGCATCTCATTGTCTATGCTAAAATATTTTAATATGAATTTTATACCAGGTAATAGTTCACTTCTAAATATTTCAGGATGCTTCCATAAAAAAGAATATCTTCTTTCATAGCCAAAATAAACAGGATCATATCTAATAAAATGTATTAACCTTTCTTAATATTATCTAATACCCATCTAAATCAAATTCCCTTAGTTCCCCTCAATATGTCCTTTGATGCCTGTCTGAACTAAGATCCACATATTTCATCTTTTTGTTATGTTCCTTTAGTTTTTTCTTAAACAGCATCTTTTTGTGAAGAAGATCTCATAAGTTGAAGATTGTGGCAGTTGTCCTAGAGAATGTTTCAGGGCGAGGCATGGTGGCTCACACCTTGTATTCCCAGCACTTTGGGAGGCTGAGGCAGGAGGATGGCCTGAGCCTGGGAGTTTGAGACGAGCCTGGGCAACAAGGTGAGAGGCCAATCTGTATTAGAGAGAGAGAGGAAGCGAGAGAGAGAGAGTTAGTTTCACCTTTCTTATAGTGTGGATTAATATTTTTCTTACATTTTCTGTAATTTTCTTACATTGGAGTTAAATTTAAAGGTTTGAGTTAAACAGAAACATTTTTAGCAGAAACATAATATGTGATGTTGTGTAGTTTATGAAGACTTTTAGTATCATTATGCAATTACAGATTTGTATAGATTCAATTAATATAGGTATAAATTTCTTTTCTCTTTTTGATGCTGGAGTTGTTCAGTTTGTTCTTTTACAGCTTTCTCTATATGGCTCTTTGGCTTCTATGACCTCATGACATGATCCATTTGATCTTTGAAAATGTCTTTTCTTTCTGACCCAGCGAGATGTTCTAGGTTCAACTTAGATCATCTCTGTTGTACACATGAAATTAGTCAATTCTTGGAGAAGCTCTGGTACTTGGTAAGTGGCGCTAGACACCAACATTTCAGCACTAGAAATAACATATTAGTTTTTCTGCCAGGATAACATTTGTCCTAATCCATTTTGACAGATATAAACAGGGTTAGAAAATATAAATGAATATCTAAAATTATGTGCATCATCACACTCTTCTTTCTTAATGTTTTTGATTCTTTAACTGAACTCTTCCCCTTATACTGAGAATCTTGATTTTCAAAAATATTAACAATCATTTGATTTATTTATATAATGAAAATATCTCAACATAAATATGTCAGTATTATCTCTAACAAAAAAATCTTTAGAATTTGATTAAAAATTTTGTTGCAGTAATTTTTGTCTTTAAAAGGTATCACACCCTTTATACAGTGCTGTGTTCCAGAGTCATTTGTAGTAGTTCTGATCTCTATGTATGAAGGTAAATATGGATATAGAGTTTAGTTCTATAATGAATCAAATTATATATATTAGCTCCAAGTGGTCAGTTTCTGCTTTTTACTATTTAAATTTTTAGTAATATTACAACATACATAACTTAATATATTCAAGTTTTACATTCTTATTTGCTTATTACATGAAAATTTAAAATTTATACTAAACATTTACAAAACTACATGCTTTATTATTTGTCAAATAGTATACTGCATTCTTTTACCAATCTGTGGTGTTGTATATTATTACACCAATATTTGAAATTCCTAAATTAAAATAAATGTCCTAGTTAATATTATCTGACAAAGAACTAGTTGCTAATTGGAAGATCCTTAAATTCCCCCCAATTTTCATGTGATTACAAAATAATTCTATATGTAAATACAAATTCCTATTTTTTTTCTGATATCCTCCTTTTAAAATCAAAAGAAGCATTTCTTCTATATATTTAATTTAATTTAATTATACATATTTAATATAGTCCTTATTTTAATTACTGGAAATCCTAGTATAGTGTAGAATTCCAAGTTCTTACAGGTCTTCAGGTAAATAAATAGTATTTTCTATTCTGATGTAATATGCAGTTATATTTACTAAAGCAAAACTAAAGATAAGATACAATGAAATTGATGTTATACAGAAAAATGGTTAAAATTTATACTTTAAATCTTTTATTCAGAAATTTCAAAAAAACCATTATATACATTTATATTCTTAGAATATTTTACAAATTTTCTAAAACTTATTCTTAGGAAAACCCTGATTGTACAATTATAATAAGTTTTTATAAGACTTCATCTCAATTACAGTTCCGTGTTTGTATTTTATTCACTTCATATTCTATATATTTAGTTTTTATCAGAAATCTAGATTGTTCATAGAATTGAAGATATTACACGCTGCAAATTTTAATTTTTGGATTCTGTATCAACTGCACTCATATACACAGACAAAGGTAATGTTGCATTTAACTACAAATATATTTTAAATGGATTGGTTTCATATTTTTATACATTTAAACCAACATGTGAAATATAAAAGGCAAGTAATGCAATCCTCTAGGTTTTTATTGTAGAAAACCAAGAACATTAATTTAGTCTGTGTGTGACTGTGGTGGGAGAAGGTTAATTTGACATATTTTTGTAGCTGTTCAGTCCAACATCAAGGATTTTGCTATTAGATAAGATTTTAAAGTGTGTGCCAGTTTTTCTTATTATGCATATGTTTTCTTTTTCTGATTTTTCTTTTTTCGAGATCTTAGCCTTGTAACAAGCAGCCTGCATATCTTTTTCTTGGCCTACTGTCTCTTAATACTAGGCAAAATTTATATTTCCTTCTTTAGCTTAAGTTCATATTAGATAATTAAATTATTAATTTCAAACTAGTTGATCATTATACATTTACAGCTTCTTAAAAACACATTTAAACAAATTATTATTTTGACCATAACTTTCTCTCACATATAGTATTCCAACAAACATTTGAAACATTTGAGTATTTTCCACCAATTTAAATATTTAAACTTCTAAATATTAAAAATAATTTTAAGGTTGTTTTCTTAAATTATTTCTGAAACTCTGAGGTCTCTGAACATTATTTTTTTGTCATGAATGTATAATGCATGGTATGAATTAAGCACTCAAAATTTTTTGGAGGGAAGACATTTTCTTTCTGTACAAATTTGCCCTAATTATTGACACAGAATTGCCAACTATTATATATATTTAAATTTTAATATGTAATCAATACTTATTTTCAGCAGAGGATTTTTTAAATAAAGCCTCTATCCCTGGCCTTTTATAAACTTTGTTTAAATTGAGGAGAGAGTAACTCACTTTTGTAAATTTCCAATAGTTTGAGTATCCTGACTTTAATGCTTCTGTATCCAAAGGGGGGAAAATCTTTTTCAGATGTTAAGTTTTTGGTTTTGTAATGTGATTTTCAATTCTTTAAATTAAAAATTTTAAACTATAGTTATTCCTTAAACTATTTAAGTCTCACTTGCTTCATCATTTTATTTACAAGCCTAAAAACGTTAACACTTCTATTTAAAGAACTTCAAATCAATGACCAACCGCATCTTCAAGCTCAGTCAATTATACACTTACAGCGATTTGAAAATGCCTTAAAAATACAATATATTGGATGTCCTTTTCAAGTCCTTCAGTCGCCTGATTTAACAACTGTTTGTGACTACTCAAAATGGTTTTGGAATCACAGTAAACCCCCTTCTCCTGGGACTTGTCTGGTCCATATAACCAGGCCAAGCATCCCCTTCTTTCTTTGGCCTGAATTTCTGCGATAGGCTGACACTCTCAGCTTCTGTCTTGTTATCAAACCTGCACTGTCAGTGGAGGGAAGTGTTTTCTCCAAAGGAACATTGTTAGGCCCTGTACCAGACCTACTACATCTGAATCTGTATTTAATGATATCCCAAGTGATTCATATGCACTTTGTAACTTTAAAATATTCATTTAAGAAAAAAAATGTTTTTTTGAGACGTAGTTTCACTTTTCTTGCCCAGGCTGGAGTGCAATGGCACAATCTCAGCTCACCCCAACCTCTGCCTCCTGGATTCAAGCAATTCTCCTGCCTCAGCCTCCTGAGTAGCTGGGATTACAGGCATGCGCCACCATGCGTGGCTAATTTTGTATTTTTAGTAGAGACGGGGTTTCTCCATATTGGTCAGGCTTGTCTCGAACTCCCGATCTCCAGTGATCAGCCTGCCTCAGCCTCCCAAAATGCTGGGATTACAGGCATGAGCCACCATGCCCGGCCTCATTTAAAATTTTTAAATCTCAAACATGTTATTTGGATTGAGCTACACATAGGATTTCATACATATTTTTATGTACGTGAATTTCATGTATATATTTTTGATGACCTATTTTAATAAATGCTATTATGTTGGATTTGAATTACTTTTTCGGTTTTTTCCTTAACTATGATCAAGTCAATAAAAAGAAAATAATACTGAATTTTAACAAATGCAGTAAATTCAGTGTCTGTTTAAACATCTTTATTTAATAGAATTTCTCCTTGTGTCTCTCTCTCTCATTTCACACTTGCCACTTCCAGAAAACTTAAGTGGTACAGAGAACGTACTTCCCCTTTCAATTTTTGTTTTAATATTAGAGCTGCCCAAAGAAGAAATTAGAATTTTTGGCAGTCATGCTCTTCTTGTCAATGAACAGTATCAGCACAAGCTGGATCATTTATGATCAAAGAGATTGTAGAGGGGACTAAAGTATCAGCTGTCTTGTTTGTGAAAATGACTTCTAGGATTTATTCTAACACAGAAATGTCATAGTTTTTGCATGTCTCCAAATATATTATCAGGTCTTATTGGTTAAATTCATCTTATATTTCACCACTTCTTTGTCAATGTATAATATCCTGCATTGAGTTTGTTTTCTTTTTTGTTTTCATGTGTATTTCCCGAACTTGATAGTGAGCTCCTTAAGAGAAGAAAATTTATGATAGGGTCTTTTGTGTCCTGAACAGGCAGCATAGTACCTAATATATAGTAAATAATAGATTAATATGTGTTGAAAGAATAGAAGAAGACATGCAAAGAAAATATAAAGAAAAGAAAAAAAAATCAAAATCTTTGGATAATTTGTTGGGGCAAGACAATCTTTATGCCAGCTCAGAAATCCCACCAACTAATACCTTAGATAATAAAAAGATGGCTTTTTTTATAGAGAAGAATTTATGTATTTAATATATACATCCCATGTTATCAAATATGTAAAAACTCAATGTTAAAAAATGCATTCAATGCCTGACAAACCACATGTGGTTCAGTTTATTTTAAAAATGATCTAGAAGACAATGAACGATTTTTCATTGATATCAGGAACAGGAAATAATATATAAAGGTAGTAGACATGAGAGCATTTTGCCAAAATATATTTTATAAAATTGTAAATTTCTACCTAGATAAAAACTTCAACATCCAACCAAAAATAGAGGATTAAATTTTTAAGTGTTCTAATCTAGAAATGACTGGTGATAGGGCACAAGGAAAATACTGCTGAATAAATACTAGAAAAAGCTAATTAAATAGGATGGTCTGACCATTATGCAGAACCCTGGAGTAATGGACTAGTTTCAGCTGCAGAAAACCACCTCACCTAATGTCAAGCCCTTTCTCACTGCAGCTTATATCAGTGATGCATCTTTCAGGGACTGTGAAGACCGGGCCATTGTAGCCCAACCAGGGACAACGCTGCCCTTTTAGCTCTAAAACTTCCTGAATGGTTGTCCAAGGTTGTGAGGCCTGCTTCACGGCTCAATTCCTCTCCCTATCCAATCCCCCTTCCTTTCTTTCCCTTCCTTACCTTTAACATGTACATATGAAACTCCTTCTCAATGTCTGCATCTCAGAGAATCCAATCAGCAATAGAAGCCATCACTGTTCTTGTAGAAATCACTGTTAATCAAAAAAGCCAACTTCTGACAATACTGTAGAAAACATTCAACTTAGGACTTATTATTTTAAGGTGCTATATAACATCAAAGCTATTTTTTATTACATGAAAAGCTGTAAACAATATATATTATCACAATTAAAATGTCTAAACAAAACATTCATACTTTAAAATTCATTCTGCATCTTTCTCGTACTTGTTATTTTTGACAAAAACACATCATCTAATAGGTATTATAATTCAGTTCTAGTTTCTTCTCTCGGCCTTATCACTTCTTAGCAAAATGTAAATTAATCTCTTTGTAGTAGCGTTTCTTGAGCTGTAAAATTAGGGCTTAGCTAACTTCTTGCCTTTTTAATACAGTTCGTAGAAGTCAAACTTTTGTGCAACTGCTTCAAAAATTTTAAAACCTACGTAAGTGCAAGGAGATTTCCTTAACAGTGTAGAAAATATCTACTGTTAATGCTCACTTTGAAGGAATTCTAAGTACCATTAAAATATTGTATCTGCTAGGATAAAAAAGGTTTTCCACAGAAGCTGAATATGAGAATTGAAAGGTAAATTTTAATTAAAATGCGGCTTTATTCCTAATCTATTCTACAAGGCTAGCATTACCTTAATACCAAAGCCAAACAAAGACAATACAAGTAAGAAAATTACAACCAATATTCCTATGAACATTCGTGTAAAAATTCTCAACAAGATACTAGCAAATGGACATAAACAGTATATTAAAAAGATTAAATATCATGACCAAGTGGGATTTATTCCTGGAATGCAAGGATGGTTCAAGGTACAAGAACCAATTGATATAATACACAACATTGACAGTACGAAGGAAAACAACATGTGATGATCTCGATTGATATGGAAAAAAATTGACAAAATTATTCATCCTTTCATGATAAAAAAAACACACACAACAAAATAGTAATAGAAAAAATAAAGATCTTAACATAATAAATAGAAAAGCCCACAGTTCACATTATGATGGTGAAAACTTACAGCATTTCCTTAGGATCAGCAAGTAACAAGAGAAAGATTTTTTATAACTTCTATTCATTTTTATAACATTCTATTCAACATAGTAATAGAAATCTTAGCCAGAGCAATTAGGTATTAAAAGAAAATAAAAGGCCGTCAAATTGGAAAGGAAAAAGTAAATTTATCTCTTTTTGCGGATGACATGATGTCATTTATTTATTTTTTTATTTTTATTTATTGATTGTTATTATACTTTAAGTTCTAGGGTACATGTGCACAATGTGCAGGTTTGTTACATATGTATACATGTGCTACGTTGGTTTGCTGCATCCATTAACTCATCATTGACATTAGGTATTTCTCCTAATGCTATCCCTCCCCAATAACCCCACCCCACAACAGGCCCTGGTGTGCGATGTTCCCCACCCTGTGTCCATGTGCTCTCATTGTTCAAGTCCCAACTCTGAGTGAGAACATGTGGTGTTTGGTTTTCTGTCCTTGTGATGATTTGCTGAGAATGATGGTTTCCAGCTTCATCCATGTCCCTACAAAGGACATGAACTCATCCTTTTTTATGGCTGCATAGTATTCCATGGTGTATATGTGCCACATTTTCTCAATACAGTCTATCATTGATGGACATTTAGGTTGGTTCCAAGTCTTTACTATTGTGAATAGTGCCACAATAAACATATGTGTGCTTGTGTCTTTATAGCAGCATGATTTGTAATCCTTTGGGTATATCCCCAGTAATGGGATGGCTGGGTCAAATGGTATTTCTAGTTCTAGATCCTTGAGGAATCACCACACTGTCTTCCACAATGGTTGAACTAGCTTACACTCCCACCAACAGTGTAAAAGCATTCCTATCTCTCCACATCCTCTCCAGCATCTGTTGTTTCCTGACTTTTTAATGATCGCCATTCTAACTGGTGTGAAATGGTATCTCATTGTGGTTTTGATTTGCATTTTTCTGATGACCAGTGATGATGAGCACTTTTTCATGTGTCTGTTGGCTGCATAAATGTCTTCTTTTGAGAAGTGTCTGTTTGTGTCCTTTGCCCACTTTTTAATGGGGTTGTTTGATTTTTTTCTTGTAAATTTTTTTAAGTTCTTTGTAGATTCTGGATATTAGCCGTTCGTCAGATGGGTAGACTGCAAAAATTTTCTCCCATTCTTTAGGTTGCCTGTTCACTCTGATGGTAGTTTATTTGCCATGCAGAAGCTCTTTAGTTTAATTAGATCCCATGTGTCCATTTTGGCTTTTGTTGCCATTGCTTTTGGTGTTTTAGTCATGAAGTCCTTGCCCATGCCTATGTCCTGAATGGTATTGCCTAGATTTTCTTCTAGGGTTTTTATGGTTTTAGGTCTAACATTTAAGTCTTCAATCCGTCTTGAATTAATTTTTGTATAAGGTGTAAGGAAGGGATCCAGTTGCAGCTTTCTACATGTGGCTAGCCAGTTTTCCCAGCACCATTTATTAAATAGGGAATCCATTCCCCATTTCTTGTTTTTTGGTCAGGTTTGTCAAAGATCAGAAGATTGTAGATGTGTGGTGTTATTTTTGAGGACTGGGTTCTGTTCCTGGTCTATATCTCTGTTTTGGTACCAGTACCATGCTGTTTTGTTTACTGTAGCCTTGTAGTATAGTTTGAAGTCAGGTAGTGTGATGCCTCCACCTTTGTTCCTTTGGCTTAGGATTGACTTGGCAACGTGGGCCCTCTTTTGGTTCCATATGAACTTTAAAGTAGTTTTTTCCAATTCTGTGGAGAAAGTCATTGGTATCTTGATGGGGATGGCATTGAATCTATAAATTACCTTGGGCAGTATGGCCATTTTCATGATATTGATTCTTCCTACCCAGGAGCACGGAATATTCTTTCATTTGTTTGTGCCCTCTTTTATTTTGTTGAGCAGTGGTTTGTAGTTCTCCTTGTAGAGGTCCTCCACATCTCTTGTAAGTTGGATTCCTAGGTATTTTATTCTCTTCGAAGCAATTGTGAATGGGAGTTCACTCATGATTTGGCTTTGTCTGTTATTGGTGTACAGGAATGCTTGTGATTTTTGCACATTGATTTTGTATCCTGAGACTTTGCTGAAGTTGCTTATCAGCTTAAGGAGATTTGGGGCTGAGATGATGGGGTTTTCTAAATATACAATCATGTCATCTGCAAACAGGGACAATTTGACTTCTGCTTTTCCTAATTGAATACCCTTTATTTCTTTCTCTTGCCTGAAATCCCTGGCCAGAACTTCCAACACTATGTTGAATAGGAGTGGTGAGAGAGGGCATCCCTGTCTTGTGCCAGTTTTCAAAGGGAATGCTTCCAGTTGTTCCCATTCAGTATAATATTGGCTGTGAATTTGGCATTAATCGCTCTTATTATGTTGAGATATGTTCCATCCTAGTTTATTGAGAGTTTTTAGCATGAAGGGCTGTTGAATTGTGTTGAAGGCATTTTCTGCATCTATTGAGATAATCATGTGGTTTTTGTCTTTGGTTCTGTTTATGTCATGGAGTATGTTTATTGATTTGCATATGTTGAACCAGCCTTGCATCCCAGGGATGAAACCAACTTGATTGTGGTGGATAAGGTTTTTGATGTGCTGCTGGATTAGGTTTGCCAGTATTTTATTGAGGATTTTTGCATCGATGTTCATCAGGGATATTGGTCTAAAATTCTTTATTGTGTGTGTGTCTCTGCCAGGCTTTGATATCAGGATGATGCTTGCCTCATATAATGTGTTAGAGAGGATTCCCTCTTTTTCTATTGTTTGGAATAATTTCAGAAGGAATGGTATCAGCTCCTCTTTGTATCTCTGGTAGAGTTCGGCTGTGAATCCGTCTGGTCCTGGACCTTTTTTGGTTGGTAGGCTATTAATTATTGCTTCAATTTCAGAGCCTGTTATTGGTCTATTCAGGGATTCAACTTCTTCCTGGTTTAGTCTTGGGAGAGTGTATGTGTCCAGGAATGTATCCATTTCTTCTAGATTTTCTGGTTTATTTGCATAGAGGTTTTTATAGTATTCTCTGATGGTAGTTTGTATTTCTGCGGGATCAGTGGTGATATCCCCTTTATCATTTTTTATTGTGTCTATTTGATTCTTCTCTCTTTTCTTCTTTATTAATCTTGCTAGCGGTCTATCAATTTTGTTGATCTTTTCAAAAAAGCATCTCCTGCATTCATTGATTTTTTGAAGGGTTTTTTGTGTCTCTATCCCCTTCAGTTCTGCTCTGATCTTAGTTATTTCCTGCCTTCTGCTAGCTTTCGAATTTGTTTGCTCTTGCTTCTCTAGTTCTTTTAATTGTGATGTTACAGTGTCGATTTTAGATCTTTCCTGCTTTCTGTTGTGGGCATTTAGTGCTATAAATTTCCCTCTACACACTGTTTTAAATGTGTCCCAGAGATTCTGGTATGTGGTGTCTTTGTTCTCATTGGTTTCAAAGAACATCTTTATTTCTGCCTTCATTTCGTTATTTACCCAGTATTCATTCAGGAGCAGATTGTTCAGTTTCCATGTAGTTGTGTGGTTTTGAGTGAGTTTCTTAATACTGAGTTCTAATTTGATTGCGCTGTAGTCTGTGATACAGTTTGTTGTGATTTCTCTTCTTTTACATTTGCTGAGGAGTGCTTTACTTCCAACTATGTGGTCAATTTTGGAATAAGTGCGATGTGGTGCTGAGAAGAATGTATATTCTGTTGATTTGGGGTGGAGAGTTCTGTAGATGTCTATTAGGTCTGCTTGGTGCAGAGCTGAGTTCAAGTCCTGGATATCCTTGTTAACCTCCTGTCTCATTGATCTGTCTAATATTGACAGTAGGGTGTTAAAATCTCCCATTATTCATTTCCAGCCAAACTAAGCTTCATAAGTGAAGGAGAAATAAAATCCTTTACAGACAGACAAATGCTGAGAGATTTTGTCACCACCAGGCCTGCCTTACAAGAGCTCCTGAAGGAAGCACTTAACATGGAAAGAAACAACTGGTACCAGCCACTGCAAAAACATACCAAATTGCAAAGACCATCGATGCTAGGAAGAAATTGCATCAACTAATGGGCAAAATAACCAGCTAACATCATAATGACAGGATCAAATTCACACATAACAATGTTAACCTTAAATGCAAATGGGCTAAATGCCCCAAAGTAAAAGACACAGACTGGCAAATTGCATAAAGAGTCGAGACCCATCAGTGTGCTGTGTTCAGGAGACCCATCTCATGTGCAGAGACACACATAAGATCAAAATAAAGGGATGGAGGAAGGTGGAAGCAAATGGAAAGCAAATGGAAAGCAAAAAAAGCAGGGGTTGCAATCTTAGTCTCTGATAAAACAGACTTTAAACCAACAAAGATCAAAAGAGACAAAGAAGGGCATTACATAATGGTAAAGGGATCAATTCAACAAGAAGAGCTAGCTATCCTAAATATATACGCACGCAATACAGGAGCATCCAGATTCATAAAGCAAGTCCTTAGAGACCTACAAAGAGACTTACACATGATCTCATTTATTTAAAAAAATCCTGAAAATCTCTCAGAAAACTTTGAGAGCTGAGAAATGAATTTAGTAAAGTGGCACAATACAAAATCAACATGCACAAATCAGGTTCATTACTATGCATTTACTATAAACAATCCAAAAATGAGCTTAAAAATAATTTTATTTAAAATAGTATAAAAAAGAATAAAATACTTAGAAGTAAACATATGAAAGCAAGTGAAAGGCCTGCACACTGAAAACTACAAAATGCTGCTGAAAGAAATTAAATAGGGCACTAAATTAATGCAAAGGTGTCCTGTATTTATGGATTGGAAGATGTCACTACTACCCAAATTAATCTATCTACAGAGTCAATGCAATTCCTATCAAAATCTCAATGAGTTTTTTTTGTAGAAACAGAAAAATCCATCTTAAAACTCATACATAATCTCAAGGGACAATGGATTGTTAAAACAATTTTGAAACAGAACAAAATCATTTTCTGATTTCAAAAATTTACTACAAACATATAGTAACCAAAACAGTGTATTACAGTTATATAGAAGGACATACAGATCAACAGAATATAATAGAGATCCCAGAAATAATCCTTATATAGGCAAATCACTTTTGACAAGGGTGTTCAGATTATTCATTAGGGAAAGGAGAGTCTTTTCAATAAATAGTGTTTGGGAAAACCAGATCTTCATATGCAAAAAAAAAAAAAAGTTAGATCTTTACTTTACACCATATACCAAAGTTATTCCCAGATCGACAAAAGACATAAATGTAAATGCTGAAACTACAAAACTTTTTGAAGAAAACCTAGGGGAAAATAATTTCTTGGATATGACACAAAAAGCAGAGGCAACAAAGAAAAAATAGATAAGATGAACTTCATCAAAATTATAAACTTTTGTTCATCATGCATTAAATAATATTATCAACAGAGTGAAAAAGCAACCCATGGAATGAGAGAAAATATTTGCAAATTATCTATCTGATAAGAGATTAATACCCATCATCTAGAAAGAACTCCTACAAATTAACAACAACAAAACAAACAAACCAATTAAAAACGGGCAAAAAACTTGAATAAGCACTTCTCCAAAGAAGATATACTAGTGGCCCCTAAGCATATGAAAAGTTGTTTAACATCACTAAGCATTAGGGAAATGAAAATCAAAAGAACAATGAAATACCACCTTGTATGCATTAAGATGACAATTATATTTTAAAAATAACAAATGTTTACAAGAATGTGGAGAGCTTGGAAGCTTTGTGAATTGCTTGTAGAAATATAAGAAGCAGTGCAACCACTGTGAAAAATAATATGGTTGTTTCTTAAAAAAATAAATCTAGAATTCCATTTGATCCAGCAACCGTATTTCTGGATATATATCAAAAAGAATTGAAAGCAGAAATGTGAACAGATATTTTTACACCAATGTTCCTAGCAGCATTATTCACAAAAACTAAAGGGTGGAAGCAACCCGAATTTCCATCAATAGATAAATGGCTAAACAGACTTTGATATACACATGAAGTGGAATATTATTCAGCTCTAAAAAGAAAAGAAATTCTGACACACGCTAAAATGTGGATAAACCTGAAGACATTCTGTTAAGTGAAATAAGCCAGTCACAAAAGGATAAATACTGTATAATTTTACTTATATGAAGTACTTAGTCAAATTTATAGAGACAGAAAGCAAAATGTTGGTTGTCTGTGGTGGGAGAGGCATAAAGGGAGTTATTACTTAATGGGTATGGAGTTTCAATTGGGGAAGATGAAAAAGTTTTGGAGGTACATAGTAGTGGTGGTTGTACAACAGTGTAAATGTGCTTAATGCCACTTAAAAATGGTTAAAATGGCAAACTTTATGTTATGTAGTTTTTCCTCATTTAAAAAATGAGTTTCATAAATGTACACATATCTAGAACCCATCTAATCCTTATTGAATGAGACTATCTGCAGTTAATCTTCATGGTTGGTTTTTCATGAAAGGTCCTCAGATTATTCTTTTGCAGTCATATTTGGAAATGTCTCCCATGGCATGTTGCTTATGAGAATTCCTCCACCTCTGTTCCTCTGTGCATCCTTGCTTTAATGTAGCAATACATATGGAAGATGTAAAAAAAAAATGTAAATGTCCTAAGAGTAGAGCTAACTGGATTTCTCATGTTGTGCTTTCCTAGATTCTTTATTCTGTCTACGTACAGAACTTAGAATTACGTGGACTTTGTTGAGAGGAAAATTTAATTACCTTATGGATCTCATTATAATATATTATGTATCATATTGCCTGCCTGTGGTTAGCTTTGAAGGACATTCTATTATATCATTTTTATGGTCCTGGGAAAGGGTGACACAAGTATGATCAAAAACTACATTTATTCAAATATATCTATAATAAGCTTATGGTAAAAATTATATTTTTAACAATATGAAAACATTGAGATTTGCAAAAAAAAAAAAAAAAAAAAAAAAAAGTACTGCCTGGGGATTGGAAGCCCTGGGTGCCTCCTTTCACTCTATCACTACATAGGTATACAACCTCGGCAAACCACTCTTCTACGTATGGATATTCCCTATGCTCATTCATAAAGAATGGTTTGAAGCAGACGTGCAATGTTTTCTCTTTTATGGGTCCTTTCCATCTGTACAGTTAATCTTGTGACAACTGTGACTACTTCTCAGCCTTGCTGCAAACTTCTTCTTCTGAGTTTTGTGCAAACCCTGTGAGCAAAATGCTTTCCCAGCCTTTTCCATGACACTTCCATTCATGTTGGTTGAAATCTCTTTTTCTTTCTTTCTCTGTGTGTGTGTCATATAATATCATCTCACCATAAACTCTCCATTAAAGATTGCTCCTTTTCCCATATGTGCTGATCTGCTATGATTCACATGGTCAGTCCTGCATACATGCTTGTTTGATTGCTTAGGCAGTGGCCACAAGCAGGTGGCTCTTGGGCCAAAGATAACATGATGTATTTTCTTGTCTGTGGGTTGTTGGCTTCCAAAGTCATGGAAAACATCATGTTTTAATGTGAATTACTGTCCAACATCAATATGTTGGGAAGCTTTCATTTAAAAAGAATTTCCAGCTTCTCTTTAAATTTCATTTAAAAAGAATTTCCAGCTCCTCTTTAAATTTGGGAGCCTGCTGAGAGAGCATCCATATTTTTATGTAGTGAAAACTGCTTGAGACTTGTAGTAGCCGTCCTCTTAAGTGAAGTGTTACGTCATCCACCTCACCATAATTTTCACTATTTCCTCATCTCTCTGTATGTCTCAATTGGACAGTCAGTTTTTATTTACCATCTTATATTTTGTTGTTTTTTATTCATGTACATTTACTCCAGGACATCTAGACATTTGAATTTCAAACTTTGACCCAAAACTTGCTACTCAGTGCCACCATCACTCATGAAATTGCCATTTACATTACCAAAGTTATAGTCTCATCACTCTAATTACTAATACCTAAAATGGATTTATGCATTTTTTGTATTATTTATATCTATTATTATTTCCTAGGCTAGCTTTTTCTCAACTGTGCTCTTCAAATAATTAGTTCACGTAGATATTCATAGATGTTTCTGTAGAGCAGAGGAAGATAAATATACTTGGAAAAAATGAGGATAAGCAAAATCGAATGGGTTTTGAATGGACTTTAGGATGCTATACTGCGCTGTGAATCACTTAGAAAGGGAAGCAGTCTGTAGAATTTGCTAACTTGTTAAACCAGAAAAAAACTTTGGCATCATTCCTTATAAATTTTTATCAATGAGAAAGGCCTTTGAGTTAATCTCATCCAGTTCCTTATTTTACAGGTGAGGAGCCTGAGATCTGATAAGGATAAAGAATGTCCTACCATTCTTATATTTGTGATGATATTGACTGCATTTTTGATGACCTTCTAGGCTTACACCCTTCAAACAACACAACTTTAGTGTTGTTCAACTCTTACCTTTTTCAACCTATCAGCCGCATCATGAAGTGAAGCCTTACCCCACGTGCTACCCTGCCTGGAGAGAGGAAAACCATTTTAACAATATTCGATCTAACACAATACTCATATTTAACCATACTCTCCTTAACACATTACTCTACCTAACACAATACTACACCTAACACAGTACTCTACCTAACACATTTAACCATACTCACCTAACACGTTACTCTACGTGACACAATACTCTGCCTCACACATTCGAAGAGTAATGTGGACTAGAGAGGAAGGGGGTCGCTAACACAATCACAAATCACCTGGAGGAGATTTTTACACATATCCTGTTCCTGGATCTTTAAATAGGCACACTCATTCCTGAAGGTTCTGATATTCTTTTGAGGGTGCATGGCCATAAACATATTTAGGCATTTTTTATTATTACCAGACATGAGTATTTTGTTTTGTTTAAAGAAACATTTACTAGAGATATCCAATTCCATTTGTCTTTGAAATAAGGGTCTTTGAATAAAATGTTTCCTTCTCATAAAACACAGTATAGCAGATGGCAGATAGATGGCCTTTGGGGCTAAATATTCAGTAGAAGAATCAACATCCAGACCAAGCTTGGTTTATGAGTGGCGTTAGAATTTACACTGAGCTGTTAAGCCAGAGTTTTCCTCTTTGAAAATAGGTTCTGCAATTTCACAATTGTATTTGAAGGATTACATCAGAAAACATATGTAAAAAGCTCAATATAGAATAGTTCCTCTCTAAATGCTCTCCCTTTTCACTTGCCAGTTAGAATGATTAATGAAATAAGCCACTGTTAGTTTCCTTATGGGAGGAAGAGGCTGAGGATTAGGGCACTTCTTTCCTGAGAAAGTATTACACTGCTCTTGGATGAAGCGTTATTTGCCCCGTAAATGATGGCTTGTTGCTTTAGCAGTTCTGTAGGGGAGAGGAGGTCTTGGTTCCTCTCAGCAGTCCATATCAATCCCCATGCCTTGGTGATAGAATGTTGGGGCACATAAATATTGCAGAGTTGGGGTTGCTCTATTATTTACTCCTTCTGAAGAGAAACATTGATCAAATTCACCATATCTGTACTGGTGATTTATTATTTCATTTTATGCTTTTACAAGAGGATTAATGATTGAGGTAAAGTCTTTTCAGCTATTGAACAAATAAATATATATGCTACTTGGTTATTTCATTACACCCAAAGAATTTGAAATCTCTAGTGCTACCTTGGATTTAAGGTAGCTTCGAGCAGGAGGTTCCAAAAATCCCTAAGTGTTTTGACTGAGGGGATATTTTCTAGGGAGTTTTTTTTCCTTAAGTTATAATGTTTTAAACTCTAAAATACATTGTTGATGTTTAAAGCTTATAAATTAGTCATGTTAGTGGAAGTAGTTTTAGGCATAAACACTCTGGAATTTTCATCTCCTGAAAAGTAAATACTGTTTTCATGCGAGAGAATAAAAGAAGAACTAGAGAAGTCTCATTTCACCCTGTCCCTGAGAAGTCTCCTTGGGAAACCAAAATCTACAATGAAAGAGTGAAGTAGCCACCTCCTGTCCTTTAGATGGTACCTTTATCTCAGTACTCAGTGGGTCTACAGTTTGTCTTGTTGTTTTCGACATGACGCCTAATGTATCTGGGGTGGGATACTAAACACTGATCAAAGTTGCCTTGCTTAGGGTGGCCTCTGCATCTACTCCTTGATCTTAGAGTTGTTGGGTGTTCCTTTTTCTACTGAATCTATCAACCCCTTTCCGGTTTCTCTTCTTTCCTTGTCTATTCTATACTTAATGGTTAATCTTTTCAACTGCACTTTTACTAACATTATCAATTCCCTTGTCCCTGGGTCAGGGCTGTAATTCTTTTTTTCTGTTTCTACACCTGAATTTTTGTCAGATGTTTACAAAACAAGCAAACACACACCATGACTTTGTGGACTATTGCCACTAAATATTTATCTTTCAGTTTCAACTGGACCAAGCTCGGACCATGTGTCATTCACATGGACTGTTTAGGACTTTTATCATTTTTCTTAACCAGATACTAACTTTCACCATACTCTTCAGTCGTGCTCCATATGACAATTTGCACTCAGTGCAGCTAGAATGCCTTAGAAATGCAGCTGGGTCTAGTACACATAACACCTCTTAACCTACTGCTCGGGGGGCAAAGACAAATACAAGCTCTATGAGTATTTTTATAAAGCACATAAAAGCACTTAAAAAATAGATAAATAAAAGTGTATGAAAATTAGTAATGTAAAACGCTTTTAAAGATGTCTTCAGGGGTGGTCTTTTTTGTTTTTCCATATCCTCCACTATCTGTACAAATATAGCAACACTTATTTTTACCTTCTTCTATAATTTCAGATATGGCAGCCTTGAGATCTTTATCTTTTTAAATCCAGCAACCTCTGGAGCTAGAAAGAAAACACTTCCTCTGTCTCATATATCTTTCCTGGCTCCTCTCTCCTGGCTCCTCTTTGTTTATAAACACATTCAAGTGTTTCCCATCCCTCAAAAAACTCTGCTTATATAATCTATTTCCTTTGATAGTTACCATTTAATTCCTTTTTCCCTGTATCATCCAAACATTTTGAAAAGGTTGACAACAGGCATTTCTGTCTTTTCCTTCACTCTCCAATCCATCATAACTTGGTTCTTGTTCTTAGCACACTTCTAAAATCGCTCTTCTTCAAATCCTCAATAATTTACTAACTTCTAGGTCTAAAGGACAGCTGTCATATTTGAGACTTTGAATCACAGTATCCAGGATAGCACTCATATTAACAAGAACTTACATTCACTTGCATTTTCTGATATGCTTTGATTATATTATGCATCTTATATTCGTTATTTCATTCAATCCCCGGAGTGATTGCATGAGAGAGTTACTATTGTTTTTCTCACTTTATTGACAAGGATGTTGGGAATCAGAGAGATTAGTCAACTACAGAGCCACACTGTTGGGAAGTGGCAAGTGAGATCTAAACCTGGATTTTCTTAAAACTCTCCATCCCCTTATGTTTTGGAGCACCAAACTCTTGTTTCATATTTTGCCTTTGCCATTTCTGTCTTCTTGGAAGATTCTTTTTTATCCACTCTTCAAAACATTGGTTCTTAACCCTTTTTACACAACAGAATTAACTGAAGATATTGTTAAGACCATGAATGTCATGTACTTATCCTAAACATTGAACCAGAATATCCAGAGTTGGGGCCTAGAGATCTGCATTTAAACTCCCATGATGATTTAGATACACAGTACAGTTCAAAAGACATTGCTACCCAATCCTTTTAATAACCTTGTCTAGTTTCATAATTACACCTGTCACCTATAAAGTGATATTCACAAATATGTTTCCTGGCACAAAGAATCTCTCTTTTTTTATTTCTCCAATTTCTGGAGTCCAAAATCTGTCTACCTGGTAGGTAACTGAAGCTCCATATCCTGCAGAAAATGCATCCTCTTTCCCCTGTAACTCTTGGATAAGCCAGGATATAACATCACTCTTTATCTAACTGCTCAGATGATTCCCTTTGCCTGCAAGACAATGTTTAAGGCTCATAACATGGTATGCATATTCCATGATAATCTGTCCTTCTAATCTCTAGTTTCTTTCCTTAGTAGTTCAAAACCCAAAATTTGTTCTTCATGTTTCTAGAGTACATGTAGTTCCTTCCTTACATACAGACTGTCTCCTGCCTCTTTTGTCTTTATGCTGTTGCATGTCTAGAATGATTGTCCTCTCAACTTCGGCCTGTCTTACTTCCCTCAGAATTTTGTAGGTACTGCTTCTTCCTGGAGTTCTCTATTAACACCTTTCTTTTTCCATCAGCTACACATTTTTGTTAGATGTGCCTCTTCTGTGTTGCCATTAGCACCCTGCATATACATTTATATAACATTTGTGACTTTTTCTTATGGTCTGTTTTATTTCAGGTGAAAAAACTGACAGCTTCAAGTACAGGACTGTAACTTATATATCACTGTATCCATAGCACCTCACTGAACCTTACAGATAGTAGACCTAAGGAAATATTTTGAATAATAGTTTGAATAATATGCAAATATTGTTATCAATACTAATAACAATAACTCTTTATGGAATGCTTTATAAGTGCTAAGCATTAAGTAACTATTTCCTTTAGTCCTCATTATAAATCTATAGGGCAGATATGATTTCTGTATTCAGGGGAGGAAAAGAAGGCTTCAGACGTTAAGGAAGGCTTTTCAAGTCTACATAGACGTTATGTGGCAAAGCCAAGATTCGGACCCATGTGTGTTGTCCCCACATCTGAACCATTTCTTTGAATACTTGGTGGAATTCCTTCTGATGCATGACCATCCCTCAGCCTTGCCACTTCTGATCAGCTTTCTAGTTTCTGGCAGGATGGAAGCGCCACTTAGATCGTAGTCTACTTGAATAATGTTGGCTTCATATATACCTCTTGTCAGCCTCTTCTCTGAGAATTCCACTGCAAAATATTAGCCATCATGGGCATATGGTGCCACTAATTGCTGCTACTCTGTTGTGCATTGAACTGAAATAGTGATGCTTTCTGGGACACTGCTACAAGCTGCAACCAAACGGGGGCAGCCCAAGCCATTGTTTGCTGTTTTCCTTGTAGAGGTTAGATTTTGATTTGGGTCCGTTTTTCAGACTTGATTGGACAAGACCCTGCCTTATACTTTTTTCTTATTGAACGATTAAACTCAGCTCTCAATGGGCTTAAACATGCTGCAATTGTAACAAGCTTAAGTTCTGACTGATGAGGTGAAAAAATACAATTTAGAATGAGTGATGACAAAATACCATAGCAGAAGTATTTATGACTATTAAGGGAACACAGAAAAACAGCCCTTTGATTTTGCTATGGAGTGGGTGTTAGAAACATATTCCTAGATTAAGTGAATTTTGAGCTAGGTTTAATTTTATAAATTTTATAAATGTGCTTTTAGCTTCTGGGAATTTGGAATCATGGTAGAAGTGCTATATTTTCTTTAAAAAAAGGAATTGATTGCTGTATTGTCATCTTCTTTAAAACCATGATTGTTTATTCATCATTCAGCTGTCATATCAAATAATCCTTAATAGTGTCAACAAAATGAACAACTCCAGGTGCACCATCAATATTGTATTCTATTTCATTTAATTATTTTGGCCACTACTATCTTCACAATGCTAACATTATTCATGTTGAATGCTATATGAATGTCGCCCCTTGGAATTGGGCAAAATAGTTGCCTGATTGAAAGCAACCAATAGAGACATCTATAGAACCTCAGGTATATAGCCAATCCTGGGCTTGGTTCCCCGTAGTTTGGAGGATATAAAAACAAACATTATATCTGTTTTCCTGAATCAATAATTTTTAATCAAGTTTATAGAAACAATACTTTCACGTGTGTCGGACAAAGGGTAATGAACTGTATTCTGTAAATAGGCACTTTATTGTTAGACATAATGGAAATTGCTAGATTGGTGGAAGTCAACGTAAACTAGAATAGTCTAGTAAATCTTTTGAAAATGGAGTAGGGCATAGATAATCAGGAAAAGGAGACAAGTAATGCAGTAAAACTAAGGCATAGCATATGAAAGCACACAAATAATACTAAAACCTGACAAATGGGATCTAATTAAACTAAAGAGCTTCTGCACAGCAAAAGAAACTACCATCAGAGTGAACAGGCAACCTACAACATGGGAGAAAATTTTTGCAACCTACTCATCTGACAAAGGGCTAATATCCAGAATCTACAATGAACTCAAACAAATTTACAAGAAAAAAACAAACAACCCCATCAAAAAGTGGGCGAAGGACATGAACAGACACTTCTCAAAAGAAGACATTTATGCAGCCAAAAAACACATGAAGAAATGCTCATCATCACTGGCCATCAGAGAAATGCAAATCAAAACCACAATGAGATACCATCTCACACCAGTTAGAATGGCAATCATTAAAAAGTCAGGAAACAACAGGTGCTGGAGAGGATGCGGAGAAATAGGAACACTTTTACACTGTTGGTGGGACTGTAAACTAGTTCAACCATTGTGGAAGTCAGTGTGGCGATTCCTCAGGGATCTAGAACTAGAAATACCATTTGACCCAGCCATCCCATTACTGGGTATATACCCAAATGAGTATAAATCATGCTGCTATAAAGACACATGCACACGTATGTTTATTGCGGCACTATTCACAATAGCAAAGACTTGGAACCAACCCAAATGTCCAACAATGATAGACTGGATTAAGAAAATGTGGCACATATACACCATGGAATACTATGCAGCCATAAAAAATGATGAGATCATATCCTTTGTAGGGACATGGATGAAATTGGAAACCATCATTCTCAGTAAACTATCGCAAGAACAAAAAACCAAACACCGCATATTCTCACTCATAGGTGGGAATTGAACAATGAGATCACATGGACACAGGAAGGGGAATATCACACTCTGGGGACTGTGGTGGGGTCGGGGGAGGGGGGAGGGATAGCACTGGGAGATATACCTAATGCTAGATGACACATTAGTGGGTGCAGCGCACCAGCATGGCACATGTATACATATGTAACTAACCTGCACAATGTGCACATGTACCCTAAAACTTAGAGTATAATAAAAACAAAACAAAACAAAACAAAACAAAAAAAAAAAAAAAAAAAAAGAAAATCTCTCAGATTTGTTTGTGGTCAGCAGAGGATGCTGAGAAATGGTCTCTCCCCTAACCAAGTCTAGTGAAATTGGTGTTTTGTGTGCTTGTTTGTTTTTCTTTTACCATTTAATATCTTCCTGTCTCATAAATAGTATCCAGGTTTTGATAAAGAACTATCACCCATGGGCATTAAGGCAAACCAAGTAAACATTTATAAGGAGCAGTTAGTTCTTTTCTTCCTGGCCTTGATTTTATTTACTCAATTAATTATTTAATCGTAACAAGGAACATAGTCTCCCTGTGCTCTCTTCATCCCTTTGCAGTAATCAGCAGTGAAGGGAGGCAATGCAGTAAATGGGCTCTGTACGGAAGGATAAGAGAATCATGAATAATGGTTGTTTTTAGTACCATGAATAGAACAGCAGCAGCTCAGTAATAATAATAAAAATGAAATTTATATTAAGTACACCTTATGAAAGGTTATTATGTAGAGAATAAATTACTAACTTCTCTACATGATGACTGGTAGTCCTCCACCACAAGTAGGCACAGAAAAAGATGATCTAGATTTAAACATTAGTCGACTATATTATTGAAAAAGATAGTCATATTTTTTCAGTAACACCTTAACATAAATAATAAAGATTGTTCATCTCTCCAGAACATTTCAGTCAAAGTGTGTGTGTAGCTAGGGGGAAGGGGTCAAAGGATATCATGTAAAAATTTTTTGGGGATAACCCAAAATCCTAGACAACTGGTACATAGAAAAGTGTCCTAGGTTGTGTAGATAGTGCTTTAAATCACTCTTTTGTTTTCTTTTTGAGATGAATGCTTAACTCTCAATTTTTCAGTAAACTAAATACACCCTAAGCAATTAAGAGACCTGGTGAATGCCACACAGCTAATTAATAATGGTGGAATAGGAGTTCAAAAATAGGTCTTCTGACTCCAAAGTCAGTGAGTAAATTGTAGACTTAACAGGGAGAACCCTTGAAGAATGTTCTGCAATGATCTTCAAGTGATAGGTGAGTAAATTGAGGCAAAGATAGTTAAAATCACAACAATTTAATAGAAACAGGATTTGAATCTCTTGTCTTCCACACAAGTGTGCTTTTCTTTTTTTCTTTTATTATTATATTTTAAGTTTTAGGGTACATGTGCACATTGTGCAGGTTAGTTACATACGTATACATGTGCCATGCTGGTGTGCTGCACCCACTAACTCGTCATCTAGCATTAGGTATATCTCCCAATGCTATCCCTCCCCCCTCCCCCCACGCCACAACAGTCCCCAGAGTGTGATGTTCCCCTTCCTGTGTCCATGTGATCTCATTGTTCAATTCCCACCTATGAGTGAGAATACGCGGTGTTTGGTTTTTTGTCCTTGCAATAGTTGACTGAGAATGATGATTTCCAATTTCATCCATGTCCCTACAAAGGACATGAACTCATTATTTTTTATGGCTGCGTAGTGTTCCATGGTGTATATGTGCCACATTTTCTTAATCCAGTCTATCATTGTTGGACATTTGGGTTGGTTCCAAGTCTTTGCTATTGTGAATAATGCCGCAATAAACATACGTGTGCATGTGTCTTTATAGCAGCATGATTTATAGTCCTTTGGGTATATCTCCAGTAATGGGATGGCTGGGTCAAATGGTATTTCTAGTTCTAGATCCCTGAGGAATCGCCACACTGACTTCCACAAGGGTTGAACTAGTTGACAGTCCCACCAACAGTGTAAAAGTGTTCCTATTTGTCCACATCCTCTCCAGCACCTGTTGTTTCCTGACTTTTTAATGATTGCCATTCTAACTGGTGTGAGATGGTATCTCATTGTGGTTTTGATTTGCCTTTCTCTGATGGCCAGTGATGGTGAGCATTTTTTCATGTGTTTTCTGGCTGCATAAATGTCTTCTTTTGAGAAGTGTCTGTTCATGTCCTTCGCCCACTTTTTGATGGGGTTGTTTGTTTTTTTCTTGTAAATTTGTTTGAGTTCATTGTAGATTCTGGATATTACCCCTTTGTCAGATGAGTAGGTTGCGAAAGTTTTCTCCCATTTTGTAGGTTGCCTGTTCACTCTGATGGTAGTTTCTTTTGCTGTGCAGAAGCTCTTTAGTTTAATTAGATCCCATTTGTCAATTTTGGCTTTTGTTGCCATTACTTTTGGTGTTTTAGACATGAAGTCCTTGCCCATGCCTATGTCCTGAATGGTAATGCCTAGGTTTTCTTCCAGGGTTTTTATGGTTTTAGGTCTAACATTTAAGTCTTTAAACCATCTTGAATTAATTTTTGTATAAGGTGTAAAGAAGGGATCCAGTTTCAGCTTTCTACATATGGCTAGCCAGTTTTCCCAGCACCATTTATTAAATAGGGAATCCTTTCCCCATTGCTTGTTTTTCTTGGGTTTGTCAAAGATCAGATAGTTGTAGATATGCGGCATTATTTCTGAGGGCTCTGTTCTGTTCCATTGATCTATATCTCTGTTTTGGTACCAGTACCATGCTGTTTTGGTTACTGTAGCCTTGTAGTATAGTTTGAAGTCAGGTAGTGTGATGCCTCCAGCTTTGTTCTTTTGGCTTAGGATTGACTTGGCGATGCGGGCTCTTTTTTGGTTCCATATGAACTTTAAAGTAGTTTTTCCCAATTCTGTGAAGAAAGGCATTGGTAGCTTGATGGGGATGGCATTGAATCTGTAACTTACCTTGGGCAGTATGGCCATTTTCATGATATTGATTCTTCCTACCCATGAGCATGGAATGTTCTTCCATTTGTTTGTATCCTCTTTTATTTCCTTGAGCAGTGGTTTGTAGTTCTCCTTGAAGAGGTCCTTCACATCCCTTGTAAGTTGGATTCCTAGGTATTTTATTCTCTTTGAAGCAATTGTGAATGGGAGTTCACTCATGATTTGGCTGTCTGTTTGTCTGTTATTGGTGTATAAGAATGCTTGTGATTTTTGTACATTGATTTTGTATCCTGAGACTTTGCTGAAGTTGCTTATCAGCTTAAGGAGATTTTGGGCTGAGACAATGGGGTTTTCTAGATATACAATTATGTCATCTGCAAACAGGGACAATTTAACTTCCTCTTTTCCTAATTGAATACCCTTTATTTCCTTCTCCTGCCTAATTGCCCTGGCCAGAACTTCCAACACTATGTTGAATAGGAGTGGTGAGAGAGGGCATCCCTGTCTTGTGCCAATTTTCAAAGGGAATGCTTCCAGTTTTTGCCCATTCAGTATGATATTGGCTGTGGGTTTGTCATAGATAGCTCTTATTATTTTGAAATACATCCCATCAATACCTAATTTATTGAGAGTTTTTAGCATGAAGGGTTGTTGAATTTTGTCAAAGGCCTTTTCTTCATCTATTGAGATAATCATGTGGTTTTTGTCTTTGGCTCTGTTTATATGCTGGATTACATTTATTGATTTGTGCATATTGAACCAGCCTTGCATCCCAGGGATGAAGCCCACTTGATCATGGTGGATAAGCTTTTTGATATGTTGCTGGATTCAGTTTGCCAGTATTTTATTGAGGATTTTTGCATCAATGTTCATCAAGGATATTGGTCTAAAATTCTCTTTTTTGGTTGTGTCTCTGCCCAGCTTTGGTATCAGAATGATGCTTGCCTCATAAAATGAGTTAGGGAGGATTCCCTCTTTTTCTATTGATTGGAATAGTTTCAGAAGGAATGGTACCAGTTCCTCCTTGTACCTCTGGTAGAATTTGGCTGTGAATCCATCTGGTCCTGGACTCTTTTTGGTTGGTAAGCTATCGATTATTGCCACAATTTCAGCTCCTGTTATTGGTCTATTCAGAGATTCAACTTCTTCCTGGTTTAGTCTTGGGAGAGTGTATGTGTCGAGGATTTATCCATTTCTTCTAGATTTTCTAGTTTATTTGCGTAGAGGTGTTTGTAGTATTCTCTGATGGTAGTTTGTATTTCTGTGGGATCGGTGGTGATATCCCCTTTATCATTTTTTATTGTGTCTATTTGATTCTTCTCTCTTTTTTTCTTTATTAGTCTTCCTAGTGGTCTATCAATTTTGTTGATCCTTTCAAAAAACCAGCTCCTGGATTCATTAATTTTTTGAAGTGTTTTTTGTGTCTCTATTTCCTTCAGTTCTGCTCTGATTCACCAGCAACGGAACAAAGCTGGACGGAGAATGACTTTGACGAGCTGAGAGAAGAAGGCTTCAGACAATCAAATTACTCTGAGCTACGGGAGGACATTCAAATCAAAGGCAAAGAAGTTGAAAACTTTGAAAAAAATTTAGAAGAATGTATAACTAGAATAACCAATACACAGAAATGCTTAAAGGAGCTGATGGAGCTGAAAACCAAGGCTCGAGAACTACGTGAAGAATGCAGAAGCCTCAGGAGCCGATGGGATCAACTGGAAGAAAGGGTATCAGCGATGGAAGATGAAATGAATGAAATGAAGCGAGAAGGGAAGTTTAGAGAAAGAAGAATAAAAAGAAATGAGCAAAGCCTCCAAGAAATATGGGACTATGTGAAAAGACCAAATCTACGTCTGATTGGTGTACCTGAAAGTGATGGGGAGAATGGAACCAAGTTGGAAAACACTCTGCAGGATATTATCCAGGAGAACTTCCCCAATCTAGCACGGCAGGCCAATGTTCAGATTCAGGAAATACAGAGAACACCACAAAGATACTCCTTGATAAGAGCAACTCCAAGACACATAATTGTCAGATTCACCAAAGTTGAAATGAAGGAAAAAATGTTAAGGGCAGCCAGAGAGAAAGGTCGGGTTACCCTCAAAGGGAAGCCCATGAGACTAACAGCAGATCTCTCAGCAGAAACCGTACAAGCCAGAAGAGAGTGGGGGCCAATATTCAATATTCTTAAAGGAAAGAATTTTCAACCCAGAATTTCACATCCAGCCAAACTAAGCTTCATAAGTGAAGGAGAAATAAAATACTTTACAGACAAGCAAATGCTGAGAGATTTTGTCACCACCAGGCCTGCCCTAAAAGAGCTCCTCAAGGAAGCACTAAACATGGAAAGGAACAACCGGTACCAGCCACTGCAAAATCATGCCAAAATGTAAAGACCATAGAGACTAGGAAGAAACTGCATCAACTAATGAGCAAAATAACCAGCTAACATCACAATGACAGGATCAAATTCACACATAACAACATTAACTTTAAATGTCAAGGGACTAAATGGTCCAATTAAAAGACACAGACTGGCAAATTGGATAAAGAGTCAAGACCCATCAGGGTGCTGTATTCAGGAAACCCATCTCACGTGCAGAGACACACATAGGCTCAAAATAAAAGGATGGAGGAAGATCTACCAAGCCAATGGAAAACAAAAAAAGGCAGGGGTTGCAATCCTAGTCTCTGATACAACAGACTTTAAACCAACAAAGATCAAAAGAGACAAAGAAGGCCATTACATAATGGTAAAGGGATCAATTCAACAAGAAGAGCTAATGAGCCTAAATATATATGCACCCAATAGAGGAGCACCCAGATTCATAAAGCAAGTCCTGAGTGACCTACAAAGAGACTTAGACTCCCACACATTAATAATGGGAGATTTTAACACCCCAATGTCAACATTAGACAGATCAACGAGACAGAAAGTCAACAAGGATACCCAGGAATTGAACTCAGCTCTGCACCAAGTGGACCTAATAGACATCTACAGAACTCTCTACCCCAAATCAACAGAATATACATTTTTTTTCAGCACCACACCACACCTATTCCAAAATTGACCACATAGTTGGAAGTAAAGCTCTCCTCAGCAAATGTAAAAGAACAGAAATTATAACAAACTGTCTCTCAGACCACAGTGCAATCAAACTAGAACTCAGGATTAAGAATCTCACTCAAAACCGCTCAACTACATGGAAACTGAACAACCTGCTCCTGAATGACTATTGGGTACATAACGAAATGAAGGCAGAAATAAAGATGTTCTTTGAAACCAACGAAAACAAAGACACAACATACCAGAATCTCTGGGACGCATTCAAAGCAGTGTGTAGAGGGAAATTTATAGCACCAAATGCCCACAAGAGAAAGCAGGAAAGATCCAAAATTGACACCCTAACATCACAATTAAAAGAACTAGAAAAGCCAGAGCAAACACATTCAAAAGCTAGCAGAAGGCAAGAAATAACCAAAATCAAAGTGTGCTTTTCAATAACTGTTGATCCAGCTTCCATACACAAGGACAGCATGAATGAGAACAGATGCAGCCATGTTGCCCTTGCACACCCAATTAGCAGCAGGGACACAAAAACCCACTTCTTTCTGCTGTCTTTGCCCTTTAGTAACAGGATAAAATATTACAGTCAAGAAATTGATAGTGCTTGTCCCTATATCCTGCTTTCTAAAGACTTAATATTTGTTGAACTGATAGTCTTCCAGGCTTTTGTTAATGAGGTCAGAGGAAACCTGGAAGAAACAAACAAAGTATTTGACCAGTATGCCCTTTAGGAGTGGCCTAGCGTTACTTGTGGAAGGAAAGAATATTGAAAAGCCTGAAATAAGGTGTGGGTGAAATTATGGAGAGGAGGTTGGGAGGGTAGAAATGGAAAAGAGATAATTTTCCAAGCAGTTTAATGCTAGAAGATTCTTCTTGCCATAGAAGAAAGGTTTCTGTGGAGAAGTTTTAGGAAATTTTGCTCTGCTTGCGCAGTATAACTCCTCACCTTTCTTTCTGGTTCTCTACCACCTTTGCAAAAGTATTCAGTAAAATCCTGCATTGCTCTTTAGACATTTAAAGTCAGAATTTCATTTAATATTTTTGAAGTTAGAATTGCACTGTGGTAATGAGGGGACTGTTCCCACAATCACTTTGTGGGAATGAAAAGGCGCATTTATTTGCTTTGCTATTCTTATATTTATACCTTTGATCACTGAATTTCAAGCCTAGTTTTGAGTTTTTATTATAAATAATAATTTTATAATAGTTTCCTTATTAATTTATTTTTCACTTTGGATAATAGAAGGATTTTTCTTTAGCTAGAAAAGGGTACTAACAGTTTCTTTCTTCAATATCTTTCTTAATTCAGTCAGTCTTCCTATTCCCAGTCTTTTCCATTTCTGACTTTACCACTCCATGCATAAAAGCTACCTTCAGAATAAAGTCTGTACTCATTCTTTGGCATGCAAGTCCCATTATTAACTAGACACAATCCAACCAGTCAGGTCTTCTAAAGGGTATGTGCCAAGTGTGTTGGACACATTACACCACTTTAAGTCCATCATTCTGCTTTTCTTTCTTGTCTAGGACCTTTGCACATATCATCACTTCCTGCTTGGCTTTTTATTTCCTGGTCTGTTGAATACAACCTTCAAAATGCAGTTTAAATATCATTTGTGTTGCCTTCCTTGCATTCTCAATGCACAGAAAGACACTCCTCTCTTTGTGTCGTCTAAGGATTTAGAGCATTCCTTTGTCATGGAACACACAGAGTGTTGTACAGTGATTGTCTTTATACCAATGTGCTATTGGGGTTTGACATCAAAGGCCATGTCCTATTCACACATGTTGACTTAGAACAGCAACTGGTATATAGTAGGGGCTAATTTAAATTTTCCCATATTAGATTGAATTTGACTAGAATGTCAAATAAACTTCTTAAACAAGTGACCTGGATATTTCCACATAGTTTAAATCAGGTATTTCAGCAAAAAGAGAAAACATCACATGCTACAATCATTCTTGGGAAAATTTCCCTCATTCTTTCATTTATGCAAGTAAAATGGGTTCTTTCCTGGAAGTAGATTTCTTTTTTTTTTTTTTTTTTTTTTCAGATGGAGTCTCACTCTGTTGCCCAGGCTGGATGGAGTGCAGTGGCGCAATCTCGGCTCACTGCAAGCTCCGCCTCCCAGATTCACGCCATTCTCTGTCTCAGCCTCCCGAGTAGCTGGGACTACAGGCGCCCGCCACCATGCACAGCTAATTTTTTTTGTATTTTTAGTAGAGACGGGATTTCACCGTGTTAGCCAGGATGGTCTCGATCTCCTGACCTTGTGATCCGCCCGCTTCGGCCTCCCAAAGTGCTGGGATTACAGGCGTGAGCCATGGCGCCCAGCGAGATTTCTTTTAAGACTGGTTCCTTGTCTTCTGTTGGGGAAGGTGGCCTCCAGAAGTTGTTTACAAAGAGCTAAGGTTTCTGAGATTTTGTTTTCTAACATATTTTGCGGGAGGAAGAAGTGGATGGAAAGTACAAACATCTGTAGGACCACTCTTAACTCCTAAATTACTACTTATTTAGATTCTCAAATTCTCCTTGCTGTGTGATCTGTTGGTAAGATACCCTACAGCAAATCATTTTATTCATCTTAACCCCTACCATCTAAAATCTTTAGAGTAGAAAACTTTTCAAGGTAAGCAATAAAATGAGGTAAATAGGACAGCTTATGTGATGTATTAGAAAGAGAAATGAGATAGGAGGTTGTTATGCGTGTACAGTGCCTCTGTTGCCCTGATGTATACTGTTTTCAGCCTATTTTATCAGTAACTGAAGTATTTTCTTTCCTGTTTGGGCTTTCCCTTTACAACTGGGTTACCAGACATGTTTTCCGATGTCCTGAAAATTTGTTTCCTAACAATCAACTTTTTGTGACATTTTAAGCATAGTTTAACTTAAAGGACCAAAAAGGAAGAAATGTGCCTTATCTTCATTGCTGACTTACTAATTGTGTAAGTCCGAAGTTAGAAAGCAGTAAGTAGTAAAACACTTTCTGCATTCTATTCCATAGCGTCCAGAACATTACACATTTGTGTAGGGAACCAATACCTATTTATAATATAAAAGACACTGCAGCATGAACCTGACAACTGTTATGAAAGAACAAACATCCACCGAAGAGTCATTTGCTCAGGAAAATTTTACTTTTCTGTTGTCACTGCCTCAGCCAATGTCTTATGCTCTGGAAGTTGTCCTCATTGCATAAAAAAATTCTTTGCTGTAAATGTGCTACAAGCTGATAAACTTGATCCTAATGGCTTTTATTTTTTCATGTTTAATATTTCATTAGGCTCAACAGTGACCTCTTTTTAAAATTTTTATTTTATTTTTACTTTGGCCTCTGATGGTGAAAGCAAGTCTCTCTTTTTCAATTTAAGTATAATTGAACCTGAGATTAGCTGTTCACAAACACTGGTAAGCTTTGCAATGTGTTGCCTATAAACGAATTCCAACTTCAATTTGAATAGCACCTTTCATATCAGTGCTCCAAATTGTTCACAGTAATACATCATCAATATTTCACAACATGGCATGACTGAGCAGCATATTCAATGATTTAGCCATCACTTCAAATAATCTAGAGAAGCAACAACCAGAGGGAAACAGTTCTTCTTTTTTTAACCATAGGGTGAAATAGATTTAATATTTTCCAAGTCTTTTACCCATAACCCATGTTTAGAAGAACAGTCCAACAGAAAGGTGCAAAAATGCCCCAAGGGCACCATTTACATTTGAATCTATAAATGCAAATCTAATCAACAAATCCTTGCTGTATATGTAAGTACATACCTGATATTTGAATATAGTCTATGAAGTATCTTTAAAAATTTAGAATAAATTGTGTTATTTTATTTGAAAAAATAATTCAAGAGATAAATGCCTAATTATTATTATTGTGGGGACACAATTTGTCCAAGCCAATAACAAGAAAAGTCACCCTGTATTTCTACTTCTCTCTCTCCTCACCACATCCAGTACTTATCTCTATGCCTCTAGATTTCTTATTATTTTTTTCCATCCTATTCTTGTCTCCATAGTTTAGGTCTTCATTTTTTACTTGGGTTATTTCAGCACCCATATGACCAGTTTTCCAGAATCTAATTTTGCCTGAACATCCTACATTACCACCCCAGATAGTTCTCATTATAAGTGCCAGAGTAAATTTTCTATAATGAAAATGGACAATGTCTCTTCTCAGATAAAAAAAAAGTCCTCCAATTACTTCAATAGATTCCATAGATTTCAGAACGCTTAAAATCCTTAACATGGCTGACACGGCCTTTCATGAACTGACTCCTGCCTACGTTTCCACCCACGTCTCCTTTCATTCACAAAATGAACACGCACTTTTCCTCTACACATTGAACTCTCTGTGGTTTAATGGACGTGTCACCTTTTCTGTCATCTCTGGACTTTTGAACTTATTGAATCTTTTCCCCAAAAGGCATAGCCACTTGCTTACTCAGTTCTCTCACTCACTAGGGCAAAATATCCTGCACTCAATGGCTAATGCCTGATAATCTATACTTAATACCTGATTGCTGAATATAATATAACATAATGTAATATAATATAATATAGTATAATGCAATAAAACATTCATATCACCTGTTTACTGAACAGTGCTAGATATAGGCAAAAATACCAAAAACATTAGTCCCAAATACTTTGTGAAAATATGAACCTCTTTTAGAATCTGCTGAAAGCTATATATTAAGCCTCTCAGTGGAATAGGAGGCACAGACACTCTTGCATACATAATTTTCCATACAGCTTCAGAAGAATTATCCATACTTTGAATTCAGTTTAGGAATTTGCAGCTAAAAAGCCTTGCTCTAAGGCATTCCCATATTGGTAAACATACCACTGTGAAGTTTGTTCATTTGTGTCAGCTTGCTCTACCTCACTATATTTAAGAGAATCCTGGAATCTGGCTTGGCAAATCCTCTAAATACTTTCTAGCTGAATTTCATATATAATATATAAAGCATCTCTACAATGTTTACATCACATGCTTTTTCCTCTCCTGTTAAATACTGTTACTCAATGATAGTGAAGCCACTACATCTTGAGCTTGACCATATCTATTTTGTGGAGAGCAGGGCAGGTGTCCCAATCAAGTTCAAAAATGTCATGAGAATACAGGAAAAGAAGATTGGGATGGCTGGGCTGACCACTCCTGTTTGTGGGCTGGACTTATGTGGTTTGAATTCGCTACCAGCAACAAAGGAGGAAGCACTCAGGTATGTTTATCAGCTTGCCCATATATGGGGTGGAAATAAGGCAAGGTGAGGCTTGAAAGACAGCAGTCAAATATCAAAATTGGAGTTAAGAGTACTTAATAAAAACATACACAGTATTCGTATGCAGAAAAATACAAAATACTGAAGTAAGAAATCAATGCATATTTAAATAAAGAGATATTCTGTGTTCATGGATTGGAAGACTTAATATTGTTAAGACATCAGTTCTTCTCAACTTGATCATAGATTCAATGCAATCTTAATCAAAATTCCATAAAGCTATTTTGTAGATACTGACAAACTGCTTCCAAAATTTATACAGACTGGCAAAAGACATAAAATAACTAACACAATACTGAAGAATAAAGTTGGAAAACTGAGATTATTGAATTTTAAGACTATGTGTATGTGTGTGTACTTGGGTGTATGTATATGTACATATGTGTGATATGTATATGCATACATACATGTGTTACATGTATATGTTACCTGTATACATATGCACGTGTATGTATGTGGTATACATATGAGACTACATATATGTTATATATACATGTATACACACACAGAAAGAGACAAGAAACAAAGAGAGATATTTATTTTTAGGAATTGGCTCACATGATTATGAAGACGGGCCAGTCCAAAATCTTCAGAGTAGAACAATAGGTTGAAGATTCAGAGAAGAGCTGATGTTGTAGTTCAAGTCCAAAGGCAGTCTTCTGGCAGAATTCATTTTTCTCCAAAAGAGGTTAGACTTTTTCTATTAGTGTCTTCAGGAGATATGATGAGGCCCACACACATTATGGAGGGTAATCTGCATTACCCTGTCTGCTGATTTAAAGGGTAATCTCGTTTTTAAAAACACTTGCACTTAAACATTTTAAATAACGTTTGACCAAAATCTGGATACAGTGGTCTAGCCAAGTTGCCTATAAGATTAATTATCACAAGCACTTACTATAATGCTACAGTAATAAATATATCATGATATTGGTAAACCATAGATGCATAGATCAATGAAATGGAATAGATAGAAAAGAACTAGACCCACACAGATATAGTCAACTAGTTTTGACAAGGGTGCAAAGGTAATAACATGAAGAGATGATTTTCTTATTAACAAATTGTGCTGGCACAATTGGATGTCCACATGACCAAAAAAATGAGCCTAGATAGAAACTTTACACATTTCACAAAAATCAACTCAAGATTGATTGTAGACCTAAATTTAAAATGCAATACTATAAAATGTATAGAAGTAAACAAGAGGAAATTGGCAAGACCCTACGTTTCGGACTAAATTGTTAGAAACAACCCAAAATAATGATTCATGAAAGAAAGAACTGATGCATGAGACTTTACTCAAATTAAAACTTCTGCTTCATAAAAGACAGCTTTGAAAGAATGAAAAGATAAGCCACATATTGGGAGAAAATACTTGCAAAGCACATATTTCGCAGAAATTTGTATCCAAAATATAGAAAGAGCTTTTAATATGCAGCAATAAGAAAAAAATCCAATTTAAAAATAGGCAAAAGATCTGAACAGACACCTCACCAAATGTGCTATACAGATACCAAATATGTATATGAAAATGTGTTCAACTTAATTTTTTATTAGAAAAATGAATGCAAATTAAAGTTATCCTGATATAGTACCACACACCTACAAGAATGGCTAAAGTTTAAAAATCTGACAATACCAATTTTTTTGTGAAGGTGTGGAGCAACAAGTGCTCCTATTTTTTTGCTGGGGTGAATGAAACTTGGTATAGCAGTTTCTTAAGAAGTTAAACATATTCTTGCCATACAATCCAGCAGTCACACTCCTGTGTATTTATCCAACTAATCTGAAACCTTATGTCTGCACAAAAACCCACATGCAAATATGAAAAGCATCTTTGTTCATAATTGCCAAAAACTAGAAGCAACCACGATATTCTTCCATATAAGCACACTGTGGTATATTCATACAATGGAATGCTATTTCATGATAAAAAGGAATGAGTTATAAAGCCAAACAAAGACATAGATAAATCCGTCATTCACATCACTAGGAATTCTTTCAAATTAGAAAGAGCCTAATTTTAAAATGCTACATACTGTATGATTCCACTTGTATGACATCCTGTAAAAGGCAAAACTACAGAGATGGTAAAAAGTTTGAGAGTGATTTGGGGAGATGTAGAAAATGTGAAGCACAGGGAATTATTTACGGTAATGAAACTATCCTGCCTGATACCGGAAGAGTGAAAACATGACACTCCAAATTTGTCAAAACCAATACAACTTTACTGCACAAAGAATGAACATTAAGGTATGAAAATTTTAAAAAAGATGTTTGTGGGGGGTCAGTGAATCTTATCATGGGATGCAGAATGAAACAAAGGAATCCACCTGTAGTACAAATGTATGAAACGACTCACTGAATTTGATAATGGAAAAGGTGCTGACCTACATAATTTTAGAAATAAATAGAGTTTGGAAAACCAAAGACAATGTACTATAGTTGATAAAATTGTTTCCCATGGGTGTATATGTCAGTAATTTAACCTTTAAATAAATGGGTGGTGAGAACCAGGTTTCCACTATTGGAATGGAAGATAACAAATAAGGAAGCGGTGGAGATTTTGAATGATCCATAAGGGAGTGAATTACAGTTGGAGACATCAGTTTGAATGAAAGTTTTGATTTAGTGTAGATACAGATGATTATAGAAATATTCATAGTTATGTGTATATACACAGGTTGGTAGACCCATATATATATCCTTGCTCTTTCAGCTGAGAGGCCCTAGAATCAATGATACTCCAGTAACAAGAAGGATACATAGCATCTACAACTTGGTTTTCATTCTTCAATGTAGTGCCTGAAAATAATAAAATGCACACACACATACACACATACACACGCAAATGGGGTATGCACAAGAATATAGGAGCTAACTGAAAGAGCATCCTATTGTCAAAACTGAAACAATTTGTGCATTAATATTTAAAAAGTAACATCAAATTATAACCCAAAGTATTATACAAAATGAATATCTATGAGTCTATACTGACATAAATGATTAAATAAATAAGTATGGGGCAGTAGACTAATCTTCCATGTAGAAAAATTCCAAATAATTTATGTTAATACTCTGCTCTCAAGGAGATGGAGTGTGAATCCTACTCCTCAAGTGTGGGCTGTGCATAGTGATTTTCTTCTCAAGAGTACAGTACAGAAAGGGAAGAAAAAGTCACTTTGCAGTGGAAAAACCTGACATATACTACCTCAGCCAGAGTCAGGTGAACAAAGTCAACATCAACAGGAATAAGTCATGTTGATAATACATATCCTTGATATGATGTGATGAGAATGGCACTTTATCTCTATGGGTTTCCTCCCCAAAACCCATAACCCCACATCTAATCATGAGGATAACATCAGACAAATCCCAATTAAGGGACATTCTACAAAATACCTGACTAGCACTCCTCAAAATGTTGAAGTTATCAAAACGAGGAATATCTCAGAAACTATCACAGCCACGAGCAAGTTAGATTTGACAAATAAATGTAATGTGATTTACTGGATGAAATTCTGTAACAAAAAATGTCATAAGGTAAAAACTAAGTAAATATGAATAAAATATGAATTTTCATAAATAATAATGTGTAACTATTTATTCATTCATTGTGACAAATGTATCATAGTAATTTAATATATTAAGAATAGGGGAAATGGCCTGGCGCAGTGACTCATGCCTGTAATCCCAGCGCTTTGAGAGGCCGAGGCAGGCAGATCACCCGAGGTCAGGAGTTCGAGACCAGCCTGGCCAACATGGTGAAATCCCATCTCTACTAAAAGTACAAAAAAATGTAGCCAGGCATGGTGGTGCATGCCTATAATCCCAGCTACTCGGGAAGCTGAGGCAGGAGAATCACTGGAATCTGCAAGGGGGAGGTTGCAGTGAGCCAAGATCATGCCACTGCATTCCAGCCTGGGTGACAAAGTGAGACTCCGTCTCAAAAAAACAAAACAAAACAAAAAAAGAATAGGGGAACTGAGTATGGGCTATTTGTGAGCTTTCTATATTATTTTTGCAACTTTTCCATGAATCTAAAACAATTCTAAAATTTTACAAAATATTAAATTTATTTAAAATGTTAGATTCCAAGTTATGAGTATTATATCCTATGATTGAGTTCACTAACATGCTATTCTTTGCTAGTTAAAAATAAATCCAAAGTAATCAGTTTTTCTCACTGACCTTCTCAATCTGTTGAGATGAACTACTTGGCTGAGAGATTAACGCTGTTTTTTCTTTTGCTTATCAAATGATTGGCTTTTAGCGGAATTAGAATTAGAGATCTGAGTAGTTGTCTATCCCTTTTTATATCCTGAATTAGTGCCAGTTTTGTGATTTTTATATTAAAACTAATCTGTGGATCTACATTCTATTTAATGTTTACTCATGTATTGCTTGTTCTCACAATATCACAATTTTATGCTCACATGCTTGATTATTTCAGGCTGTTATTTTTCACCCTTATTTCTTTCAGGATTCAGATCCTATCTCTATTATGTGATTTACCAAAGTGTGTTGTATATGTTATGTCCATATGCTTTTCTATCACATTTATTTATAAAATCTCTGAAGATGTATTTTTTGTTAGCCACTATTAAAAAATTTCATAGGAAAAGCTCCAATATTTGGTGGCATACAAAAATAAGCATTTATTGATTTCTAAAACTGTGAGTTGGCTAGAGGTCAGCTGATCTAATATGAGCTCAGCATGGGGTAACTTTTCTCTATGTGTCTCTCATTCTTTTCCTGGAATCAGAAAATTAATCCAGATCCATTCTTCTCATTTTGTCGACCAGAGGTGAAAGAAAGTAAGCAAAAAGAGACAGGCCTCTTCAGTCCTAGATTTGCAATTTACATGCCATCACCCTTTTCTGCCTCCTTCTATCATCCAGATAAAAGGACATGATCATTTCCAAAATCAAGAGCCAAGGATATATTCTCTATCCACAATGGAGGGACACTTTAACATTTTCAATGGATGTGATAACAGAAAGGGGAGAAAGTTAAGACCAGGAACTCAACAACAGTATGTTTTGTTCACTTTTCTATCTCTGGATCCTACAACAATAATTGACCCAGTAAGTAGTCAATAACTTTTTTCTCATCCCTTAGATTTATATATTTTTATTTTTTTCATTTTCAACTTTTATCTCAGTTTCAGAGGTATACTTGCAGGTTTGTTACATGGGTAAACTGAGCATCACTGGGGTTTGGTGTACAAATAATTTTGTCATCCTGGTGGTGAGTGTGGTACTCAATAGCTAGCTTTTTGACCCTCATCCTCTTCCCACCCTCAGTTAGGTCCAATATCTATTGTTCCCCTCCCCGTGTCCATGTGTACTCAATTTTCTTAGCTCTCACTTATAAGCGAGAACATGTGGTATGCAGTTCTGTCTCTGCATTAATTCTCTTAGGATAATGGCCTTCAGCTGCATCCATATTGCTGCAAAAGCTACAGTTTAATTCTTTTTTTATGGCTACATAGTATTCCGAGCTGTATATGTGCCACATTTTCTTTGTCCAGTCCATCACTGCCAGGCATCTAGGTTGATTTCATGTTTTTTCTATTGTGAATAGTGCTATAGTGAACATACAAGGGCATACGTCTTTTTGGCAGAAGATATTCTGCCAAATATGTGGGGTTGGTGGTAATGTTACCTTTGCCGTTTCTGATTGTGTTTATTTGGATCTTTTCTCTTTTTTTCTCTATTATTCTACCTGGCAGTCTATCAATCTTATTTATTCTTTCAAAAAAACTTTTCATTTTGTTGATCTTTTGTATGAATTTTTACGTCAATTTTATTCAGCTCAACTCTGATTTTGTTTATTTTTTTTTCTGCTAGCTTTTGGGTGGGTTTGCTTTTGTTTTCTACTTCCTCTGGGTGTGACATTAGATTGTTAATTTAAGATCTTTTTAACTTCTTAATGTAGGCAGTTAGCACTATAAGCTTTTGTCTTAACACTGCCTTAGCTGTGTCCCAGAGGTTTTGGTATGTTTTTTCTTTGTTTTCATTAGTTTTAAAGGATTTTAGATTTAAAGGATTTAAAATTTCCACCTTAATTTTATTCTTTACCCAAAAGTCATCCAGTATTAGATGTAGTTTTATGGTTTTGAGAGATCTTGGTATTCATTTCTATGTTTATTTCACTATGTGCTCACACAATTAATTTCTCTTGAATAAATGAAGGAGCAAATGTCAGCTAAGTGGAGACATGTAGATGTTTCTATTTTCCTTTTAAATCTTGCAATAACTTAGAATCATCCTAATGTTTTATTATCTTCATGATTATCAATTAAATGAACCTCTAAGGTATCTCCAAAATATATTAAATATTAAGTGTTGTACCCATATTCTGTGTATGACAATATAGCTATTTATACAAAAATATTTTTTTGATCCATTTTATTTTGCAGTTTGTTTTTTTATAAGATTAATGTTGCATGTTCCATGACTTCTTTTCAGAAAATTATCTCACCATTAGTAAAATGTCCACTAGTAGAATCCTTACATAAATTTTTGTCTAAGTAGTGTTTTCTTACATTGTTCTGGTTTCCTTCTTTTCTTCTTCTTTCAAGTGCAAGAAAGAGCAGCACTGTTCAAATTGCTGTGTTTTAAATTTTCTCTGAATTGCATTTTGAGCTTTTGATGGAAAACATCGCAGAAATCTAATCAATACATAGAAATAGACTGTTGGTTCTAAGAGTTAACACAGATAAGAGAGATACAAGGGCCCATCAGGTGATTTCTGAGGAAGTATCCTTGTTTATGTTTTAAAACAGAGAAGATTGAGGAGTAAAACAACAATTATACTTTTGCTATCTGTAGTGGATACTGCGGTGCATTAGCTAGATTCTCCCTTCAGGACTGAGGCCATTATCTCTCCTAACTGGCTGATGGCCTACACATACACCCCTTTCCAGGTGTGCCCTCTTTGCAAGTGGCTGCCTCAACAAATGTTCTATCCCCCTCAGAGGAATCTTGCATCCGGGAACTGGATTATACAAGAGTACAAATGTGTAACCCATGGCTTCAATTTGAAATGAGTCCAAAGGGCCATCTCAGCTCTAGAACTGCCTGGAAGACTGGCGAAGGCCTTTGTTGCAACTGATCAAAATTCAATCTCATCTTTATCTCAATCAGTCTTCCATCTCCCTTTCTCAGGTTTCTCCATATTAATCCTCAATAAACCTCCAGCACTCAAATCTTTATCATGAAGTTGACATTCAGGGAACCTGAATAATCCACTATCTGTAAGAATGAAATCAGGTCACTTGCAAAGACTTGGACAAATTTGTCCTCTCTTTTTCCTTTCTTGTCAAGTCACATTTATAACACAAAATGGGTGTCCTCTGGAGAGTCATTTAATTGAAGAATTTAAGCCTGATGCAAATAGGCTGTAGATATTTAGTAAGTAGTAAACAGCACAAAAGTGACTACTTTTTTATTCCAACTCTAGACTAAATAAGGAGATTTTTCTCAACAGTGGATGATTGTATACAAATGTACAGAATGTGAAAGAGATGAAGCGATGAGGTATTAAAAACAAAATATGTAAATCTATGTCAGGATCAACAGGGTCCTGTAAGTTTTAAGTATAGCAAGGGCAAAAATTCCCAAAGCTACGGGGAATTTGAATTATTGACTATGATACCCAGAAAGAGATTATCAAATATGAATTGTGATGATAATATTTCTAGCTGTGTTTTTCTTCAGTTGAATATCTTATCAATAATTACAGGATGTTTGTTGCAAGATTGAAAAGAGAAATCAACAACCTTTCTGAAAAGAAAAATAATCCTGTATTGGGCATAAGCAATAATACATATATAAACATGCTTCAGTATGAAGCGGCTAAGGAATACATAGCATTGCCCTAAGAAATTAATACACCTTCATACTTGATAAAAGTATCAAAAGTATTACTAAAATTAATCTTTAATCCCACAAAATCTAGTTAAATAAACATATTTTTCTCTACATTTATATATATACATATATATATAAAATATAACTTTTTGATGTAGTGTTGTTAGCTTGTGGGAGAAAATCTGTCACCCTTGTTAATTATCTTAAAATGTGGCTTCATTAGGTATTGAAAACAGTGCTTGTAGAAAGCAGGCTCTAATATAGTGGCATTACATTTCACTGAGTTTAAAATATAATAGCTATGAAGGAATGCACGGAAACTTCTAGTTTAACTGCAGAAACATGGCTTATATGTATATACACATTTACACACATAGTTACATAGGCATATTTATTGTGTTGTTCTATGGGCATGCATGCATGTGCATCTGCATGTGTGCAGTTATGTGAGGTGCATGTATGTGTGTGTGCTGTTGAGCAATTAATTACTTGATAACTAGGGCAACAGAAAGAAGATTTCATATACTATAATCGAGAATTAAATATTGATTTACCTAAAATATACTGACTTAGGGAATGAAATGACTCTGGCTGCTCTGATATTTCACCAAGCTAACATATACATTTATTAAAGGTGTTTTCATGCATTCCTTTATACAAAACACTTTCCTAAATAGGAAATGAGATAGATCCGGACCATAAGGAGTTTATGTTCTAACATATAGTAAGCTTCAAGGTATAAATGTCCTAATTTATAGTATACTGATTAACTTACTATTAGCAAAATCAGTACTTGTGGACTCTTCAATCCAAGCTTCCGTTCTACAACAAATGGGCAAATATTTGAAGAGAATAGCTGCAATATTAACTTTTATTTTCAGAGGTTGTCAACATTCACAGGAAACCAATGAAAAATTCCTTCTGCAAACTGGTTGATTCCTTGGCTCTTTCTGGTCCCCTTACTGATCACATGTTACTACTAAGACAATGATTTGTCTCCCTTTTTTTTTCTCCTTGCCTATCAGAAGTTCTCTTCCTTTCCCTTCGTCTTCTCCTCCACACCCCTTGCCATCATTCTTCCTGAAATAATCACTTCAATAGATTTTTTTCTCCATATATCTACAGTTAGGGAGATATTTGATAAAATTATCATCTAAAAATGTTACATAGGGTATTAATGACATAAATTGTTGCAAATACAGCTCTAGAACACACCATTGCAGATTTTCTGGCCATATTCCAGGAAGATGACAACACTGAGACTCATACTGAGGTCACATAACACTCCCACTCCCACCTCCACTGAGCCTCCCTTGCTATGGTACCACAGTTACATCAAGGTGACTATGACTAACCAAGCCCTTTAGGCCTCAAGTTCTTTCCCTTCAGCATCAGTCTGAAACATAAAGCCCTCAATCTCCTTTATGCATGTTCCCACATTGTTCTGAAACCTTTCATTTTTAATCTCGGCACCTAATTCCATGATAAGTAGTCTTCTTAAATCTTCAGCCTCTCCATTGAACCATCTAACTACCTCCTGCTTTCATAAAGACTTATAGATTCCATAAGGGTAAAGTCTTTATAGTTATTTTGTTTGTTTGTACAGCAATATATGTTCTGCTCCATCCAACAACCATGGTTAAATGTCTGGAAGTGAGGTAAGCATTCTTCTATCCCTTTTTTGCCATCTTTTTAGCAGTATTCTTCTACCGTATGGGGGAAAGTCTTTATCCTTTGTGATTACTACCATATGTCTATGCCACACCCATTCTTTCTGATTGCAATCACTAGATGACATCTTAGTTGATTCTTTGTATTTTATGAAGTCTTTGATATTTTCTCTCTACCACATAATTCCAAGCATTGGAGTGGATGATTTCAGTATTGATGATAATGAACCCAAAACCTTAGTTCTTTCTGCTCCTTGACATCCAAGATTTAAATGAAGATTTCTTTCTATCCAACCTCAATCACCAACCCTGTGGCTTTTGTTATTATTATAATCAGAAACACCAAACTCCAATACATTGCTTTCTGTTTACAGGCTGATATGATTTGGCTCTGTGTTCTCACCCAAATCTCACCCTGAATTTTAATAATCCCCACACGTCAACGGCAGGGCCAAGTGGAGATAATTGAATAATGAAGGCAGTTTCCCCATACAGTTTTCATGATAGTGAATAAGTCTCATGAGATCTGGTGGTTTTATAAATGGGACTTACCCTGTACAAGCTCTTTTGCCTGCTGCCATGTAGGGTGTGACTTTACTCCTCCTTTGCCTTCTGTCATGATTATGAGGCCTCCTCAGCCACATGGAACTGTGAGTCCATTAAACCTCTTTCCTTTATAAATTATCCAATCTTGGGTATATCTTTATTAGCAGCATAAGAAGAGACTAATACAGTAAATTGGTAATGGGAGTGGGATACTTCTGTAAAGATACCCAAAAATGTGTGTAAGGGAGATGACTGTGCTTTAGTCAGGTGTGGGCTGAGGCAGCCTTCAGGTGCTGCATGACTCAGCGGGTTTGGAGCGCAGGCACACAACTCTGCATTTGAGGTTTGGAAACCTCCACCTAGATTTCAGAGGATGTATGGAAATGCCTGGATGTCCAGGGAGAGGTGAGCTACAGGAGTGGAGTCCTCATGGAGAACCTCTGCTAGGGCAGTGTAGAAGGGAAATGTGGGGTGGGAGCCCCCACATAGAGTCCCCAGTGGATCACTGCCTAATGGAGCTGTGAGAAGAGGACCACTGTCCTCCACACCCAGAATGGCAGATCCAATAACAGCTTGCATCATGAGCACAAAAAATCTGCAGACACTCAATGTCAGCCCATGAAATCAGCCAGGTTGGGGGCTGTACTCTACAAAGCCACAGGGGCAGAGCTTCCCAAGACCATGGGAATCTACTTCTTACATCAGCATGACCTGATGTGAGACATGGAGTCAAAGGAGATCATTTTGGATCTTTAAGATTTGACTGCCCTGCTGGATTTTAGACTTGCATGGGGCCTGTAGCCTCTTCATTTTGGCCAATTTCTCCCCTTTGGAATGGATGTATTTACCCAGTGCCTGCACCTACATTGTATCTAGGAAGTAGCTAACTTGATTTTGATTTTACAGGCTCATAGTTGGAAGGGATTTGGCTTGTCTCCAATGAGACTTCAGAGTGTGGACTTTTGAATTAATTCTGAAATGAGTGAAGGTTTTGGGGGACTGTTGAAATGGCATGATTGTGTTTTGAAATATGAGGACACAAAATTTGGAAGTGGCCAGTGGCAGAATAATATAATTTGGCTCTGTTTCACCACCCAAATCTCACCTTGGATTGTAGTAATTCCCAATTGTCAAGGGTGGGGCCCAGTGGAGATAACTGAATCACAGGAGTGGTTTCCCCCATACTGTTCTCATGATAGTGAATAAGTCTCATGAGATCTGATGGCTTTATAAACGGGAGCTCCCCTGCACAAGATCTCTTGCCTGCTGCCATGTAAAATGTTCCTTTGCTTCTCCTTTGCCTTCTGTCATAATTATGATGCCTCCCCAGCCATGTGGAACTGTGAGTCTACTAAACCATTTTATTTTATTAATTACCCAGTCTTCAGTATGTCTTTATTAGCATTGTGAAAACAAATGAATAGACAGCCCCGAATGCTTCTTTCTTACACCTCAACTCCAAGTACTTTTTAAATCACATACGGACTCCTGTTTCCTTGATGCCATGATCTTCTTTTAGTAGTTCAGTGTTTTTTCTCATCTCACTAGAGGTACTCTCAGGATATGCCTTATGGTCCTTGATCAATACCATTGTCTATGTTGTATTCCTCCCTTTTTCTCATCTTTCCAGGAAAATTTCAACCCTGGGTTCGTACTACCAAATTTCTGGGGCTGAGAGAATTTGAATAAAACAGGTTAGCCCTCAATATTGGTACTACAGCCAAAATAATATTCTCCAACCTCAAATGGGACCTCAGCATTGCAGGATAATTATTTTACTCATTTTTAATCTTTACTTCTTCAGTTCCCCATAACACTAACCCTTCACTTTTCCTCATCTCTCAACAGAGGACTTTACTTTCCTGCTCCCTATTTCAAAGCAACTGGGGCTTTTAAGAGTCAGTTTCGTCACTCTTCTTCTCAAATGTCCTGATATCAGAACGTTTCCTAATCCCAAATAAAAAGATGTTAGGTAGCACTAGCTTTTAGCTCAGTAACCAGTCACACTTTTGTGCTTATTTAAGACATAGATGCCACATTTTCTTTGTTTTTTAATTCTCATGTTTTAGTCTCTTAGCCTAAGAGTGTTTATCTTAAAGACATTCAGAAAAATAACTGGAAAAGCCACATCCTAAATCTGAGATTTCCTCACTTTAATCAATTCAGAAGTTTTAATTTTTTTAAATCAAAAATCTTTTAATTGCATCTCTCCAAGCAGTAAATTTTCTGGAAATATAAACAAAACTAAATTTCTGAACTCTATTCACTCTTATTATGCTTATAAGCCAGACAGATTTTGTCCATTTTGGTTTTTTCTTATAATGACTTAACCAAATAGAGCACAGAGTCTACACTCAAGATTAGCTTTCTCTTTTGCTACTCTCTCCTTGGTAGGAATGCACCTGCCCTCCAAGCCATTGCAAACAACATTTTCACAAAATGTTTGCCACTCCCTGACGTGGTCACAATCTTTTCTGTCTGCTATGTCAGTTTCCTCAGTGACTTGGCCAAACTACTTATGTAATATATTTCAGATTCCAGTTATTGCAGCCTCCCTACTTACGTAAGACTCTTGGTTGACAGTTTTTTTTTTTTTTGTAATTTTTATTACCACTGTAAATATGTAAGCTTCTTGGATGTGTAGATGAATTTTGGAAGTTTTCAATTATTATATCTTCAAATGTTTTGTCGGTTGCTTTGTCTCCCCACCTCCCCTGATTCTCTTATTATGCATATGTTAGTGCACTAATGGTATCTCACAAGTCTCAGCCTTTGATTATTTTTCTTTTTTTCTGTTTTTATTATTGCATTACCTCTATGAATCTATACTCAAATTTGGTAATTCTTTCTTCTGCTAGCTCAAATATGCTCTTGAGCCCCTCTAGTTTATTTTTCATTTTGCTTATTTTATTTTCATCTTCAGAATTCTTATTTGGTTCTTTTTTACAATTTATTTTTCTTTTTGAAGTTATCTATTTGATGAGACATCATTATTTCTTTTAAAATGGCTTCTTTTAGTTTTGTAAATATATTTATTAAAGTATTTTGAATCTTTGTCTGTTAAGTCCAACATCTGGGCCTTCTTTAAGACTATTTCTCTTCCTTCATCACACCTTGGCAGTTCATTGCATGTCTTATAATTTTTTTTAATTGAAAATTGAACATTTAGATAGTATAGTATAGAAATTCTGGATACAGACCTCCTTTTCCCCTCAACCTCTGGCACTGATTGTTATTGTTGTTTTTTGTTTGTTTAATAAGTTGACCAGACCAGTTCAGTGAAATCTACTTTTCTTGAAGGTGAATGCTTCTATCATCTCACCTCAATTATTTTCATTATATTTATCTTTAAAACTGGATACTTAGGTGTCACCCTTATGGTCAGTCCTATTTAGTAGTCAACTACTGTTGGTCAGGTGTGAATAAGTCTTCTGAACCACTAAGGTTTTTGTCTTTTACCATTAAATTTTTGTGTAGTTTGGAGACTATTATCATGATTCAGGGAGTTTTCAAGGTTGCCCTATGGTAGCCAGAAACTTGCAGCTCAGAAATTGCAGATCCCTCTCTGGTTGCTCCTCAGAGGGCATGCCCAGAGTGTCCTGACCACCAGAATTACTTTTGGTTTTAGCCAGCCTCTCTTTGACTATCTCTTTCCTTGATCTTACCATTAAGCTTCTTACTGGTCTGTGTTATTGGTATCACAGCCAGTGGTTATCCTCCCCAAAATGCTTACACTGCCATTCCCAAAGTCCCAACTCTGATCTCATTATATTTTATTTAAAATTTCGTTCTATATTATTAATATAATTAACTAACTCTGCCATATCTAGATAACCAAGCAATAAACTGTGTAAGTTTTCCAAGATTTTCTAGATTTTCTTTACCTCCATATCTAATTAATGACTAGTTCCTGCCAATTTTACCTCTTGGATATGTTTCAGATCTCTCTTCCTCCCTAGTCCCACTACCACCATTCTACCTAAGACTATCATAGGTGGTCTTGATGCATTCATTCTTGGCCACCTTTAAATTATCTCTCCTTCCCACTCCATTCAGAACAGCTAATGTAAAATGTGAATCACTATAATCACAAAACCTACTAAACACATTTTAAGGGCTTTCCCTTTCCTATTGAATGAACTACTAAATTCTGTCATAATTTTATGGCCCCATGTGTGAAGATTTTGTCTTCTCACTCATTGTCTTGTTTTTTATTTTCTGATAATGAAAATGAAATGTCTGTGTTTTCCACTGAGTCCATTTATTTTACATTTTCATTGTGTTATACAGATTGTTCCTTTGCCTGGAATTTCTCTCCATCTTCCTTTTTTAGATAATTTGTACTCATTCTTCAAGACTCAATTCAGGCATTGCACTCCCCAGAGAGGCATTTCAGAATCCTCAGATTGAGCTAAGGCCCCCTTTTATATCCTTTGCGTCCTCATTGAGCTCTTCTTTATCAGCAACTGAATTTGATTATTTGTGAAGGTTCTTTCTGCCATACTCCAAGTTCCCTGAGGCAGGAGCTATTTTCCCTGCCTTCAACCACTTGATGCCTTCTTATGGTTTTAAGTTTGGATACTGAGATTCTTAAAATGACCTAGAAGTCTCTGAGTAATCCATATCATCTCTTTGCTTCGGGCCTTTGCAGATGCTGTTCTTCAGTTTAGAATGGCCTCCCACACTCTGCTCTCCCATCCCTAAACACACACATTCCTTCTCCTTGTTAACTTGAACTCCCTTCTGCTTTCACTTCAAATGCCACTTTTTCAGAGAAAGCTTCTTCAAAACTAAAATTATATTAACTCTCTCATTTATATACCCCAAGACACCCCTTTTACTGTTTCTTCATATTAGTTTGTAATTACACATTTACTGATTATTTGATTAATGCCTCCCTCCCAACCAGGATGATGTTAAGTCGCTGCTAGCAAGGGTTATATTTATTGTGATGTTTCTGTTACCCCTCATGCTTGGCACAATGCTTGGCACTTAGAGCACATGCAATAAAGAAACATGTTGAATACGTTTATAAATTGCTGGCACTTTTATGATTACACCAAAGCTTAATTCAAACAGCCTGGCTTTAAACTATGCTTTCTGGACTGAAATTACTACTGCAAGATTGATATTCGTAAATATTTAACAGTGAAAATAAAAGTATTAGAAAATGTACAAAACAAGTCATATTCATAGTTCAGTTTTCAACTGAATTATTTTTATTTATAACAAGGCATATTTAATGAATTAAATATTTGGGGTCTGTCAATTAGAGAGAATAGTCTTAGATTTCTACAAGTGTATACAAATGTCTATTTTCCTTTTGCTCAGCAGGAACTTGCTTGTGACGTTTTGGTTGGAGCCTTCTCCCCTTACCTGTCACATTCGTAGTAAATCAACCTGGTCCAGATGGGTTCTCTTTATGTGTAGAAACTACCTCTATCACCTCACTCACTTGAATACATGAGATTACTTGTTTACATGCTTGTCTCCTGTGCTGGAGTAGGGGCTCTTTCAGGAAGCAACTTTATTATCTTAATCTTTTTATCTTTGGCATCTATTACAGTGTCTGGCACAAGTAGGTTTTCAATTAATATTCGTTCAATATATAAATGAATCAACTAATGAGGGTCTCAGAATCACTAAATGCTTTTCATAATTGAAATTATGGTAAATAGTCAAGTCTAGAATCACTTCCTTTGAAAAAGCCTTTTTCTTCACAATAAATAATTCCAACAACTAATATATTTGCTAATTTTCTTTCTGCTTGGTGTATTTTATGCTTCTACTTTTAATCTATTTATCATTTATTCATGTGTCTGCTTTAGTGTGCTATCTTCTCCTGTGGGAAATTTTTACTGATTTTTGAAAATAGCCCTAAGTCTTAAAATTTTTCATTAGGATAATTTCGTACAGTTATGAAAATGTGGTTCCAAGTACATAAGAATAACTGTTCTTGATTTCTATTCAGCAACTTCTTTTGGAGTCTCTGAAACACTTAATAAAGGAAAAAAGAAATTCTCAGTTTTGTGATCTATTCTTGAAATGGTTATTCTTGTCAAAACAACAAAAACTGTAATTATACAGTAAAATATAATAGAAAATAACTGCATACAATCATATAATATTTTAAATTAAAAATTTTGTTATTACTGTAAGGACATTTCACTTGTTTTATAATGTGGGTGAGCAAGTGCATGGGTGTAGATTATTATTATATTTCTTTTCCAGGTTGGACTGATTTACTGCTTGCCAATAGGTCGGCCCTTGTTCTGTATTTATTACCAAAGTAGACTTTGTTTAATGTACTATCTAGTATGCAAATATACTATTGACTAATTGAGTGATGTTGATGACACACATGATACAGGCAGAATTCTTAACTTCAGGTCAGATTTTAAAGTATCTTTAAAGCCCCTGAAATTGATCACACAGTATATTTTTGACATTGACATACTTTGGGGAAGAGTGGCCTTAGAGTCAAAAATCAGCAATTCTCCATCCCAATTCTCATAATCAACTCTTGCTACCCTTTTACTGGATGGATACAAAGGTTCCAATAAAAGTCTTAATTCTGGGATTTTTGCTTTAGCCAGCCTTGTTATACATTCCATTAACATAATGATTTTTGTTTACTCAAATTCTTTATTTGTCAGGGAATTTAAAAATTCTGTCCTTTAAAGGAGGCATATTCAAAATGCATTGATTATTTTATCTTTATTAACTACGTTTTTAATTTTTAAAAAATTTTTGGTAAACCTCAGCCTGTCAACTCAATGCAGTCTAATAAGTTAGTGGGTTTCTAATAAATAAGAAAGTGCTATTAATCATCAGAGATGGTAGCACACAAACTAGAAGATACTGAGAGGGTGCTAATCATATAGCACATGGCACCCTACAAGCCCACTAACATGAAAAGCTTTCTCAGACTGAATGTTAATTTTCATTTCTTCTAGTGTAGGTATGTAAAGAGAAGCACTGAAGAGACACTAACATTGTTGGAGCACTGCAGAACACTATGAGACAAAAAACACACCATAAGCAAAAAGGGTAAAAACAACATGTCTCAATGGTTACCTCTGTGCAACCAATTGCAGAGGCTGTCTTGTAATTGTAAAAGAAAAATGTAAGCAAAACAAAACAAAAACATAGCAGCTTAATCATTTCCCCAATAAGATTATGTTTAATTCAAATAAATAAACCAAAAGATTTAAAGACAGAACATAAAAAGCTTGCTTATAAAGCTATTTCCCGTGCTCTGCTGGTTCACATTTTCAGTGAGGGACCTGTCACATTACACAGATGTCCTGATGTAATGACATCTTTGATAACATGAACAAGTGCAAGCAGAAATACAGCAACAGCAGCAAAGTGACTGCTTTACACTGCACTTCGGGCATTACAATCAACTTCTCATGCGAATTTTTTCTGCATCTAGTCCGAATGCCATTCCAAGAAGCTGCTCATTTGAACATCTATGCCACCAGTGGGTGTACTTAATATGGTCTGGATTTCAGTGACCATGGCAGAATGGAGGCTCAACACTGCCCAATGTCAAAATGTGTTTTCTAGCCCTATGTCAGAGTGCTTTAGCCCTGCAACATTTGTAATTTCTGAACAATTCCCATAAAACCTAGGGGTTGTTGACCTGAGATAAACTCCCTGTGGCTAGCAATGTCATTCTCCCTCTCATTTCACTTTCCAGGTTGATAAAAATCAATACTTTCTCTCATAGAATTCTGACTTTCCAAGCAGCACTCAGGTTCATACGAAATGTGTGGAGCAGATAAAGGGACAAGAGCTGTTATTTTATGTTCCACTGCTATTTCCTAATTTCATCCAAGCAGAGGATAATGCTATAAATGCTATATGAAATAATTATTTTGAAATGAATCAGTCTGGGAGCTTTTTTTGATAGAGTTAGGATAATTTTTAAAAATCGCTTATGATGACATTAACATCTAGCTTTATTCAAACTCTGTTAAAATAAAATCTTTGAACCTAATTCTCATTATTATCTCCCATACCTATGTTTGATTTCAATGATTGCTGCTTTATTCTTAATGAAAGCAAAGTTTATGGCTAGTGCATGATTGAAATTTAAAAATAAATAAGCTAAAACAGACAAACAAACAAAACGTAGAGCTGTGGCTGGGCACAGTGGCCTCACACTTGTAATCCCAGCACTTTGAGAGGGCGAGGTGGGTGGATCATGAGGTCAGGAGATCAAGACCACCAGGCCAACACGGGGAAAACCCCTCTCTACTAAAAATCCGAAATAATTAGCTGGGTGTGGTGGTGTGCGCCTGTAGTTCCAGATACTCTGGAGGCTGAAGCAGGAGAATCGCTGGAACCCAGGAGGTGGAGGTTGCAGTGAGCCAAGGTCTTGCCACTGCACTCCAGCCTGGTGACACAGCAAGACTCCGTCTCAAAAAACAAAACAAAAAAATTTGAGCTTTGACTTCTCTTTTTGTTTTACTCTGTATCTCCCTGAAAAATCAGGAGAAATAGACATGCAAGAGATTCTTCTTATTCTTTTCCTTTTGGAAGAAGCTTGTCATGGGGTGTAGCTTTCCTGAAATTAATGTAACTAGTCATTCTGAAAATGGTTTAATTTCCCATTGTCTGGGCTGGCAAAAACTAATTCAATCTGCTCCATATGATGAGTCCACTTCCATGCCATGCTCTCAGCCAAGAGTTGGCAAACTCTCTGTAGAGCCAGAGTGTAAATATTTTAGACTTTGTGAGCCATATGTTCTCTGTTTCAAGTACTCAACTTCTGCCATTGTAGAGTAAAAGCAGCCATAGATAACAGTAAATGAGTAAGTGTGGCTGTAGTCTAACAAAACTTTACTCACCAAATCAGGAAGTGGGCCAGACTTGACCCACAGACCATAGTTTACCAACCTCTGCTCTAAGCGCATGATTCTTGAACTTCGTTTCACACCAGAATTACCTGGGAAGCTTGATCCAGTTCTGTATTGAGGTTCCACTTTATAACTAAACATTTTAAAAACTGTTATCTTTGTGCTACATAAATATAATATATATATATGTATGCAGTATTGATGTATTTAATACACAATTTAGACAATTCTCTGATGGCCCTAAAAGTATACATCATTACTACAGGACATATGATTCTTGAAAATTTTATTCCATGCTTCCTAGATGAGGTAATCGATTGTTGTCTTTCCATAATCCTTAGGAAATATTCTTACAGTTTTTCACTAGAAAACACTCAAAGTGTTTTCACTTAATGTGATTGAAAAAAAATCAAGGATCATATTTCTACAATGACTGTGCTTTAATTGGATTCTTTTATTAATGTGAACTGCAACTTCTAAATAAACCAATGTGAGGTTCTTGAGAATCTAGGGAACTACCTGTGTGTAAAGTGGAGGTAATTAATCTATTCTGCTCCAGTATACACAAGAAAAGCTATTAAACTACCAAAGCCTGTGAAATGGTAGCACTCAGAAGGGCAGGTGGAAAGCAAGTGTAGCATTTGCACAATGAAGGAAAACACAGTTAACCCAAAGGAAGCCTAAGAACTGGACCCCAATTCCAGAAAGTATTTGGTATAAAAACAGAACTCCATAGGGACACACACCACGTTTTCCTTCTTTACTGTTATATTGTCACCATGCCTGGCACCAGAGTAGACAGTCACTAAATAAGTATTGATTGACTGTCTGACCTGGTTGCAACTAGGATAGAAATTTTAACAAAAAATAAATCATAGGCTTTATTTTTACCTATGACACAAAAAAATTTAGCATTTATAAAGACATCACTGAAATACATTTCCATCCATGTAATGGAGTTAAATGCCCAGTGCCCTCAGAGTTTCAAGGCATACGCCATTACCTAAGGTACTTAACTCATGCAACTCAGAAATCCAGATTGTTCTATGAAAGTTCATTTTCAGTAAGTAAGAGAATTTTTCACTGGCATTTCATCTTGTTTCTATGTCTAAGGAAATCTTTTATAATTGGTGACCAAAGTGCAGTACTTACTTTATTTATATGATTGTGTTTTGACTGATTTCATTATTTTTACATATACACTAGATATTTTATTTCTAGTTAATTGACTAGCCTTATACTATCAAAACTGTAAACAAGGCATTACTTAAGAAGTAGAAAAAATAATATAAAATAAAGAAACTTTCCTTTGCTAAAGTATGGCATATGGCTAATCATAATTTTAATGCAGATATTATAATTATCATTTTCAAAAAATAGATTTCCTTAAGCAAGCAAAATAATGACCTTACAGGCTGCTCAAAGCAAATTTGAAAAGAGGAAAAAATGTTCTCCCTTTTAAGCCTTTTTTGTTCCTAAGAAGCTGAAGATAATAAAAGCCTATGAACTAACGCACACTGAAAATCCAAAGAGAAGTGATCTTTTGAGAAAGTAAATCTGTTTCTTAATGCTGTTTCTTAACTCTAAACCGAGTATTATAAAATAGAAATGGCAAGAATACATTTTCTCATCATAGAGCATGTCCACTCCAGACCCACTTATTTCCTTTACATTCCCAGGCAACTTCCAGGATCCTCCAAAGGGAAGATTCTGGAAAAGACTGGGACATAATTTTCATTAGGAATTCCCTGTGAGTTCATTTGGAGATACATATGCATGCATTCTGGGGTGTGTGTGTGTGTGTGTGTGTGCACGTGTGTGTATGTTTGTGTGTTCTATTGCATACTATAGTAGAATGATCTCCAGAATAGATTGCAAATATATTTTCATTTTCTTTTTTGATAAACAGCAGTATATTATAAATCCCATTTTTCTTCTGTTTTTACTTAATATGTCTCTGACATCACCCCAGTAGTGCATAGAGATAGTTCTCATTCCTTTTTAAAGCTGTGCAGCATTCCATAATGTGAATATATAACACTTTATTCAAAATTTGGGGAAATAGTACCTTGTACATACATAATTTCACATGTTTGCCAGTGTGTGTTTTAGATACATGCCTGGAAGTGAAATTGCAGGTAGCCTGCATATGTTAATTTTGCTAGGTATTACCAAACCAGCTATATCCAAGAATGATTGCTTTCTCAAAGCCTTGCCAAAAGAATATGGACATTTTAATGTAGTTTTAACTGGTAATTCTCATATTATGTGAAGGTGGAGCATCTTCTTAAGTTAGTGTCTGTATTAGTCTATCCTCATGCTGCTAATAAAGACATACACAAGACTAGGGAATTTATAAATAAAAGACATTTAATTGATTCACAGTTCCATATGGTTGTGGAGGCCTCACAATCATTGTGGAAGGCAAAAGAAGAGCAAAGGGACTTCTTACATGGTGGAAGGCAAGAGAGCTTGTACAGGGGAACTCCCATATATGAAACCATCAGATCACTTCAGATCATATGACCTTAGTGTTTTTGGCTAAACATACTGAATACTACTTGCATGCAGAAGAGAATTAGTTGATTACATGTTTCAACCTCTTAGGGTGATAAATACATGTATAATTGTTTACATACTTGAAAGGAAAAAGTTGAGTAAATTTCTTGTCATACAGTGGCTCTATGTAATGTAGCTTGTATTAATGTGAAATACTTACCAGAATATTCAAAAAAGGATGAACAGAGAAAGAAAAACATTAGATCTTGTGAGACTTATTCACTATTGTGAGAAAAGCATGGGAAAGACTTGTCCCCAGGATTCAATTACCTCCCACCAGGTCACCCTCATGACACGTGGGAATAACAGGAACTGTAATCCAAGATAAGATTTTGGTGGGAATACAGCTAAATCATATCATTACACCCCTGGCCACTCCCAAATCTCATATCTTCACACTTCAAAACCAATCATGCCTTCCTAACAGTTTCTCAAAGTCTAAACTCATTTCAGCATTAACTCAAAAGTCCACAGTCCAAAGTCTCAGATAAGACAAGGCAAGTCCCTTCCACCTATGAGCCTGTAAAAGCAAAAATAAGTTAGCTTCTTCCTAGATACACTGGGGGTAAAGACATTGGGTAAATACACCCATTCCAAAAGGGAGAAATTGGCCAGAACAAAGGGGCTACAGCCCCCATATAAGGGCAAAATCCAGTAGGGCAGTCATTAAACCTTAAAGTACCAAAATAATGTTATGTATTCACAAAGATATGCTTTGGAATTGAAACTTATGTTTAAAAGGGAAGCAGAAGCCGGGTGTGGTGGCTCACGCCTGTAATCCTAGCACTCTGGGAGGCCAAGGCGGGAGGATTGCCTGAGCTCAGGAGTTCGAGACGAGCCTGGGTCACATGGTGAAACCCTGTCTCTACTAAAATTGAATGCTTTTAATAGTACCCAAGTCACATCTTGAACACTTTGCTGGTTAGAAATTTCTTCCACCAGATACCCTAAATCAGAAACAAATCTTTAGGGCAGGGGCAAAATGCTGCCAGTCTCTTTGCTAAAATGTAACAAGAGTCACCTTTGTTTCAGTTCCCAACAACTTCCTCATCTCCATCTGAGACCACCTCAACCTAGACTTCATTGTCCATATCACTATCAGCATTTTAGTCAAAGTCATTCAACAAATCTCTATAGGAAATTCCAAACTTTCCCACATTTTCCTATCCTCTTCTGAGCCCTCCAAACTGTTCTAACCTCTTCCTGTTACCAAGTTCCAAAGTCACTTCCATATTTTTGGATATCTTTACAGCAGTGCCCCACTTTACTGGTACCAATTTATGGTATTAGTCTGTTCTCACACTCCAAATAAAGACATACTTGAGACTGAGTAACTTATAGAGGAAAGAGGTTTAATTGACTCACAGCTCCACATGGCTAGGGAGGCCTTACAGTCATGGGGAAAGGCAAAGGAGGAGCAAAGGGACTTCCTACATGGCATCAGGCAAGAGAGCTTGTGCAGGGGAACTCCCCTTTATAAAACCATCAGATCTTGTGAGACTTATTCACAATCATGAGAACAACATGAGAAAGACTCGCCCACGTGATTCTATTACCTCCAACCAGATATCTCCCATGACATGTGGGAATCATGGAAGCTGCAATTTAATATGAGATTTGGGTGGGGAGACAGCCAAACCATATCAGTGTCCCTTTGTATTTCTTTTTCTGTGAATTTCAGTAAGAAATTGCTCAGTGTAAAGTCAAATTCGCTAAAATGACTTAAAAGCTCCTATCTAACCCAGCCTCATTGACCTCATCATTCACTCTACTTCAGACACACTGGCATCCTTACGGTGCTTTGAATACAACAAACTCATGCACACCTCTGGGATTTTCTCTTCCTGATCTCTCCACCTAGTATACCTTTCCCAGATATCTCCGTGTTGCTCTCAACCTATATCTTTCAATTCTGTGCTCAACGACCACTTTCTGAAAAAGGTCTTTCTTAAAAGTCTTGTGTAAAATAGAAATTCAGCTCATCACTCTCACCCTGCTTCTTTCCTGTAACATTTGTCATCATCTGAAATATTATATGTGGGTTTTTCTTTTGTTATTTTCAACAGACTCCAATGAGGGACTTTTGTTTTTTACTGCTGGATCTCCAGTACCTGCAAAGGTACTTGGCACAAAATAGGACTCTATACTTGTTAGCTGAATGAACAAATACATAATAAATATGGTTTCCTTAATTGATTAACAGCTGTTACTATAGAACATTCCACAGTGCTAATACTCCATTGAGGACTTTCCATTTATACAACTGAGTTAAATGCTAGACAATGGCTTTCTTGTCTAAACTGAATAGGAAATGTATCAATATCTATTCTTCTTTGATTGTTGTCTAAGTAAAAGATGGCATTGACTTAAGCCAGTTCTTTCCTGCCTCTCTTTACTTGTGTCCCAACTGCATGAGTTGGTAGCATCTAGAATGTAGTCCTTTATCTTTCTGCAAACTCAGCCAGACCCTGTGTGTTGTCCAGACAAGATACCCCTCAAAATTGCTCCCCTTTTCTTTTCCTCTTACCTTTAACATGTTCACTAGAATGGGCTAATAGGTACCAATTTGTAAGCCATCTCCTGGATTCACATGAGACTCAAGAATTAAGGTGCTGAGAGGGTTTAGGGTTTTAGTTAGGGCTCAGGAGAAAACAATGTCTTAGATAGCTCATTGCTGTCAAGGGCCAAAAGGGGTGAGTGCCAGCATGATTTTTAATCTTTAGCTTACAAAGTAAGTTCCTTGAGAGAAAATATTGTATTTATTTCAAAAAAATTACTTAATACCTAACATAGAACATTGTTAGTATATTGCACCTAATAGACTAATAGACACCTCCTATCTTTTTGTTGTTTGTATGATTATTCTATGAATGCTAAAGGAACACTTGTTTGTATCATGAGCATAAAATTCATTATTTCCTAGGTAACTTTTTCCCTCATAAGAGTAAAATATCATTAATCCCTAATATATAGCTAGATAAATCTTTCTGTGGCACCCAAATGTCACTTGTTTATATATTATTGTCATAACATAGAGTTCTGTAAGTTGTTACATGAGAAAAAAGCATCTCTTTTATGTGTACAACTTTCTTGTGCCAAATCAAATAATTTATATTCTTGTGGAGGTTAATAGGTGTTATAAGACTTCTCGACATAATTTATAAAAACATTGCTAAAACCCAGTAGCTCAGTGTGAATTCTTTGAACTCAATAACCACTTATCATTTTCCTAACTGAAAAAAATAAAAAAAAAAACATAAGTGCAGACAAGAACGAGAAGAGGTATATAGGTGAAGAGTTCATGGGGCTTGCTTTTTTGAAGTAAGGTTCCCAGTTAGTTGAGTTGTTTCATTCTCAAAACAAAAACATAATGTAATAAAGAATACAGGTCCATGTTCATATTTCATTATATTTCAAAAATCCAGTTCTTAGTCTCTATGGCAGTGATTTGAAGTAGCAAGTGAAAAGCACTCATGTATAAAGCATTTAACAAACTTCAACATAAAATCAGAAATGTGTATGTGTGTGTGTGTGTATATATGCATATATATGTAAATTTATTCCCTAAGAAATATATATATTTCTTCTCTAAGTTCTTAACCTAATTGCTGTTTTTGATGTTTTTTTATCAGATTTCATGTAACCAAGAGTAGCTCTGTTTACAGACCTTGCTTCTATAATCTGTAAGTTTTTAATTGACCTTACCTCAAAAATAAAAATGCATGCACAATAGCCAATTAATGCTGAACAATCAGTTGGCAATTATATGTTTATCATTTTTCGCTTTGTATCAAAGTACCTCACTCAAAACCATCAAATCTGTTGATTAAGCTACTAGGAATCCAATCTAAAAGCTTTTTTATTTCTAAATAAGAAACTTTGTGAGTTAGATGGTATTTAGCAGGCAGCATGGTGTGGTAAAGTCCTAAGGCACTGAAGTGTGAGAATCGGAAAGAATTTGGTGTTAGCCATATTTGTTAGACCAGAATTAAAATTCCGGTTTTGGTATTCATTGCATGCTTTAACATTTCCACTTCTCAGTTTCATCTGTAAAATGAAGAGAAAGGCAGCTGGCTCATATAATCATTATCTCCTAAAGTAATACTTGGCATATAAGAAGGCTATCTATAGACAGAGATGAGCCAATTACATCCAAATTTGAGTAATTTGCTTTGTTTTAATTTAATGTTACCATTTTAATTTCAAGTCTTTAGTACTTTCTCCATGTTCTCTACTAGTTCTGTGATGTATAGAAACAAACACAGAGAAGACTCTATACATAAAGCCTACCAGGAATGTTTCCTTCTTTGTGTCCATATGTACTTGATGTTTAGCATGCAGTATTTGGTTTCCTGTTCCTGTGTTAGTTTGCTAAGGATAGTGCCTTCACCTCCATCAATGTTCCTGCAAAGGACATGCTCTCATTCTTTTTCATGGCTACATAGTATTCCATGCTGTATATGTACCACATTTTCTTTATCCAGTCTACTGTTCATGGGCATTTAGGTTGATTACATGTTTTTGCTATTGTCAGTAGTGCTGAAATGGCCATATGTGTACATGTGTCTTTAGGATAGAATAACTTTTATTCCTTTGGGTATACACCCTGTGATGGGATTGCTGGAGCGAATGGTAGTTTTGTTTTTAGGTCTGTGAAGGTTAATACTGAGTGTCAACTTGATTGTATTTAGGGATACAAAGTATTAATCCTGAGTGTGTCTGTGTGGGTGTTGCCAAAAGAGATTAACATTTGAGTGAGTGGGCTGGGGAAGGCAGATCCACCCTTAATCTGGTGGACATAATCTAATCAGCTCCCAGCGAATATAAAGCAGGCAGAAAAATGTAAAAAGGAGATGCTAGGCCTAGCCTCCCAGCCTACATCTTTCTCCTGTGCTGGATGCTTCTGCCCTCAAACATCGGACTCCAAGTTCTTCAGTTTTGAAACTCGGGCTGGATCTCCTTGCTCCTCAGCTTGCAGACAGCCTATTTTGGGACCTTGTGATCATATAAATTAATACTTAGTATCTATCCTATTAGTTCTGTCCCTCTAAGAGAACCCTGACTAATACAAGGTCTTTGAGAAATTGCCACACTCTTTTCCACAGTGGTAATTGTGGAACTAATTTGCACTGTCACCAAAAATGTAAAAATGTTCCTTTTACTCCACAACCCCCCCACCACCTGTTATTTGTTGGCTTTTTTTAATACTTTTTTATTAACCTGTTTATTTTTAATAATGGCCATTCTGATTGGTGTGAGATAGTATCTCATGGTTTTGATTTGCATTTCTTTGGGGATCAGTGACGTTGAGCTTTTCTTCACATGCTTGTTGGCCATGGCCGCATGTATGCTTTTTTTGAAAGGTGTCTGTTCATGACATTGGCCCACTTTTCAATGAGGAGGTTTGCCTTTTCTTGTAAATTAAAACAATCAATATTTTAAATTAAAGCATGAGTATGAATGCATGAATTATGACTCAAAGAAACAATCATGAGATGGCTACAGATGAAACTTATGAAGTTTACCTAATTTGCATCTCTTTCAAACCACGGCAGGGTGTGTGGAGTGAACAGACCACACTTTGCTGCATTAGTCGTATCTAAGGAAGAGTAGCACCTTAAGTGTAGCTAGCTTGCATACAGCAAATCAGAAACACTTAAAGACTCAGAGTTTGTTTTTCATGGTTACATACTTACAAAATGATACATGTAGACAGACAATAAATATATATTAGATGGTTAATGAATACTTTGTTTTACTTCAACATGAAACACCCTGGACAAAAGCAGGTTTTTCCCCATTTTCACAAACATTATATTTATTAGAAAAAAAATTTGAAGCTCAAGTTATCTCTCAATTCAACTAATATTTCATGTATTTGAAAAATGAAAGATACTTAGCTAATATTTAAGGTAAGGTCTATTTAACTGAACAAAATACAAAAAGAAACTTATGTGCACACTGTGTAAGAAATTCAAGAATTTTGTATGTAAACAAGTAGTTGTTTGTAGTAGAGAAAGATGTAACACATGGACTCAACGATACTCTGCTATAGAGCAAGAACCACAAGGCCCGTCATATCAAAGATTGCCTTCTCAACGTGCTGATAAAATAAGGTTCAGTATAACGTAAACTTGAATATCTAGTGATCTGGGAGTATGATTCCAAAGTAAATTTCCTCTATAATAATTTTTTTATTTTTAGTTGAGTCAATTAGCAGACCTCTGTTTCAATTTTTATTTTTCCCCTGGTATCGAGGAGTGTGTATATGTGCACGTGCATGTGCATATGTGTGTGTGTGTGATTATTAGATATAGCTCATGAAGTCCTCTCTACCCTGCCCATATTTATAAGTTTTGTTTTTTTTCTTGTCCAGAGGTCCCCAGATAAATATTGTCTGCATTAGAAGCCTCCCTAATGTGATTGTTGCTTTCTTGGGATTTAGGGACCCTAGGCTTAAACTGATTTTGAATTAACCCCTGACATATTGATAACCCATAAAACCCAATTGAATCCAGAGTCTTTGTTAGTCCATTTTACTTATATATTAAGATTGTGGTCTTCCATTTTTTGGACAGGGCTGAAAGTAAACTATTCTCTGCCATGGGGTATCATGCATATTTTCTCTTCTAACCCCAATGATACAAATATTTTGTTTGACAGAAGCATGGGCAGTAGTAGCAAAAACACGTGAGGCCTCCTACGATTCCACTAAGTCATTTGGTTTTAGGAATGTAGACCTCTTCTTCCACGTTAATGGCTACTTGATGAGCTCATATTTTTTATAATGTATCAGTCTGTCTCCCAAGAGTTCTATAGAATGGGGATCAGTGCCTGATTGAAACAGATAACAAATGGTAACAGGGCGAGAGTCTTTCTCTGAATAATATTCATTATGACTTATGCTTGAATCAAATATAAGATTCTCTTAGTTACTTTTAAATACACATTATATTATTGTTGACTATTGAGACAAAAAGATAGTTGCAAGCTAAGACACATGACCCAGATACTTTTTAAGAAGGGTCCCAATTTCATATTTCTGTCCCTACATGCCAATTATTGAAACTTGCAACTTCGGACAATAAATCTAAAATAAAAGCTTAATAGGACTTGGTCACAGCACCACAGCACAGCACAGCTCAAAGCCCAAGCTTATTGGCAGGAAGCAGTACAGCTCAAGGTGCATATTAGCAAGCAGGCATCAGCTCCAAGGGCATGCTCACCGGCAGGGAACAGAGCCAGTAGTAGCAAGTCAAAAGGAAGAGAGGACTCCCATTTTCTTCCAGAAAAATAGAAAAGCATTTGTTTTCTTCAGCACTGGCAGATGGCAGTACATATTGTGGCTGAGAGCTAAAAATGTTGAGACAAATGGCTCTGGTTTCAAATCTTAGCCTACCATTTACAAACCACATGACCTTCATTTGCCATCCTTGAGACTCCATCTGGTGGTGATCATCTTGACTACCCTGTTTACAGCACCACTTATTTTGTGTTGGCCCCATGGATCAGTAATTGGTTCAGATGTCAAGGTAGATGATGCTACACCTGCACTAAGATGATACAAAAAGTTTGTTTCTCACAAAATAGGGCTTTCTGGGGTAATGGGTAATGCAGGTACCAAAGTTGGTCCAGAGCCTCTTGTGCTGAGTGAGAGGCGATGGCTTTGGTTTGTATTGTGGTTAATGGATGGACTAGCAGAACTGTTCTCCCATGGGGGGCCAGGGTTTTCTTTGTTTGATGTTACCATGGGTGCCATGGAAGGGAGCATCAGACTTTTTTTATGTGTGGAAATGGAATAAAAGAGAGGTGGGTCCTGAAAGCTGTCAGAGATCAAACATAAAAAATGGAGTCAAAGTGTTCAGTTAAGTTGAGCATTTAACAAAATCTGTTTTGTTTTGTTTTTTATTTTCTCAGGTTGTCTTCCAGTGATTATCTTCTTTCCTTTGCCCTTCTCCAAACTCAAATGACATCTGTTGAAAAACAATAATGTGCTTCTCTCTCAATTTCTCATATTGTTTACAAGAATCAAATCAGTCTTCTGACTCTTACTTACAATTACTTTTTCAGAATTTTTCTTTACTCCTCAATTATAAGCTCCCAGAAGACAGGAAAAGCATTTGTTTTATTCAGCACTGGCAGATGGCAGATGTCTAAAAAAGATCCATTAAATGAGTTATGGATTTATCACCTTTTTTGTAACCATTATGTGAAAAAATTGCTAAGCTAATTTGACACAAAAATGGAATATCGCTCTTTTAAAACTCAGAAAAGCACAACTCAAAAACAAAACAAAAACTCACAAGTTTGCTCTTTATAGCCTAGGTCATCTTTGACAAAGCATGTAACACTTTTTATCTCATTTTCTCAATCTGCAAAATGGAAAAATGGGAAAGTTTCTTTCTTGAAAATATGTGAACTTCTTTTCTGAGATTTTGTGTCTGAAGATAATCTAAATTATAAATTGCTGCTTAAATATTATAAGACTTTGTCAGTTCTTCACCCTTATAAGTCATCTTCTATTGATAAATAATGATGACAGCCTGAAGGCATCAGGCTCAAAGGTTGGATGGGCAATACATTTCAGGAGGGGGATGGAATGTCAACTCCCTCTAAAATTGAGCTCTGTTCACCTAAATGAGAGGTCCTCTATCCCTTCTTAAATGACGCTTCAGAACCTGGGCTTATGCACATCAACAAACATCATAGAATAATTAGGGAGGGTAGAAATCATCACAGTGTCAGCCTTCCTATTACCGAATTGTAAGCCTTCGATACAGAACTGCCTAAAGCAATTGCAGAATGCAATAGATCCAACTGTATTTCCTTTGGAGCCCACAAAACCATCCAGCTGTAGCCTGCAGGTTCCAAGTGAGGCCCTTCCCCCAATTAGGATTTAATCACCTTGGAGAGCAGCTGAGAATTTCAATCATTATTTTTTTTCCCGAGGTCCCATCAATCTTGTCCTTCGAAGTAATGTGATTTTTTTTTCCTCTGCATGAATACTAAATCTTCTTAGTGGAGAAAAATGATGCTAGGAAATAAAGTGGAAGAAACTAATTTTTATAGGATATTTAAACGGAACTCTTGAAGAACTGTTGTTTTAAACCACTCCATTATACTTCCAATTTAATGCCTTGGGGATGGGAAAATGTCTCTCTGAGGGCCTCAATTCTTATTGCTTATTGCAGCAATTTGAGCCAAGCTTACCACTGAGGTCTAGAGGTGGCACATATTATGGCGAAGAGCCAGGAATTTTGAGACAATTATCTCTGGTTTCAAATCCTAGTCTACCATTTACAAACCACAGGAACTTTATTCAGTTGCCATCCTTGAGACTCAGTCTTCTCATACCTATAAAGGGAAAATAGTAGTACATACTTCAGATAAAGAATGTGAAAATTAAATGGAGTAAATAATCTTAAGTACTTAGAACATTTCCTGGTGCATAATATTATTTTTAAGTAATAGCTACATTCATTTTTATCTCTTATTCTCTATTGCCTTGACATACTTATTTTAAGTTTCTCATGAACCAAATTAGGTCAATGAATGAAATAAGATGGATTTGTGAAGATGAATATCATTATGGGAGTATCTAGAATTAGTCCTCATTCTCATTTTTTTTTAAAATCACAGTTTAGTTTTATCTATTAAGGAACATAAGCAAGGAGAGAATCAATGCTTATCTTTGCTTTTATTTTAAGTACTTGGAAAATAATTTTAGCTAAGTATTAAATATATTTATTGGCATATAATATTTATTCATTTATTATCTCAATATATTGAAACACCTCTTACATTTTTAATTTTTTGTTCTTTGATACTTCTATGGGAAAATAATGTGAGGTGAAGTTTTTATAATAATCCATCAACACTGTATCATTTAACTTTAAGGCTGCAAGTACTGTTACACAATTTTTCATTATTATTTAATGACACTTTGTTCTTACTTTGACTAGAAGTCTAATTACATTGCTTTGAAATTATGTGTTCCTATATTTTTTTTTTTTTTTTACTCAACATTGCTATCTACTCAAGGGCGGAGACTCCATGACTCATCTTTTATCAGACAAGAACTTAAACAGAATACACAGTAGATGCTTAATTGCTTTTTACTGAATGAGAAAACAGACTCAAGAGTGAATGGGAAATGCCCTAATGTCAGGTCAAATTAGAACTTTATCCTCGTGCTCAGTGGATCCCGGATCCTCATAATACTCAGTGGTATTTTGTCTTCAAGTGACCCATTTCACATGCAATGATACCCATAGGCTCAAAGTAAAGGGATAAAGAAAAATCTACCAAGCAAATGGAAAACAGAGAAAAATCAGGGTTTCTATTCTAATTTCAGATAAAATAGACATTAAAACAACAATGATTTAAAAAGACAAAGAAGGGCATTAGATAATAGTAAAGAGCTCAATTCAACAAGAATATTGAACTCCTAAATATATATGCACCCACACAGGAGCACCCAGATTTATAAAGAAAGTTAAGAGCCTTAGACTCCCATACAATAACAGTGGGAGACTTCAACACTCCACTGACAATATTAGACAGGTCATCGAGGCATAAAACTAACAAAGATATTTAAGACCTGAATTTAACACTTGACAAAATGGACCTAATAAATCTACAGAACACTTCACCCCAGAACAACAAAATATACATTCTTCTCATTTGCACATGGCACATACTCTAAAAGAAACCACACTATCAGACATAAAACAATCTTCAGGAAATTTTAAAAACCCCAAATCTTACCAACTATGCTCTCAGACCACAGCACAACATAAATAGAAATCCATATTAAGAAATTGCTCAAAACCACATAGTTACATTGAAATTAAACAACCTGCTTCTGAATGACTTTTGGGTAAAGAATAAAATTAAGGCAGAAATCAACAAATTATTTGAAATAATGAGAAAAAGACACAAGATACTAGATTCTGTGGACAGAGCTAAGGCAGTGTAAATAGGAAAATTAACAGCACTAAATGTCCACATCAGAAAGTTTAAAATATCTCAAATAGGCAGCATAACATCACAGCTAGAAGAACTAGAGAAGCAAGAGCAAACTAACCCCAAAGTTAGCAGAAGAAACTAAACAACAAAAATAAAAGCAGAACTGCAGGAAATTGTGATGCAAAAAACACACAAAAGATCAATGAATTCACAAGTTGGATTTTTAAGTACATTCATAAGGTAGATAGACCACTAGCTAGACTAATAAAGACAAAAAGAGAGAAGATTCAAATAAACACAATCAGGAATGAGAAAGGGGACACCACTGACACCACAGAAATAACAACAACAACAACAACAACAAAACCTTCAGAGGCTATTACAAAAACTTCCATGCACACAAGCTAGAAAACATAGAAGAAATAGATAAGTTACCTGAACACATACAACCTCCCAAGACTGAACCAGAAAGAAATTGAATCCCTGAACAGACCAATAACAAGTTCAGAAATTGAATCAGTAGCAAAAAGCCTGCCAAACAAAAGAAGTCCAGCGCCTGATCGACTACAGTGGAATTCTACCAAATGTATAAAGAAGAGCTGATACCACTCCTACTGAAACTATTCAAAAAAATTGAGGAGGAAGTACTCTTCCCTAACTTGTTCTATGAGACTAGCATCATCCTGATACGAAAATCTATCAGAGTCATAACAAAAAAAGAAAAATTTAGGCCAAGAACTTTGATGAACATAGATGCAAAAATTCTCAACAAACTTCTAGCAAGTAAAACCCAGCAGTACGTCAAAAAGCTAATCCGCCATGATCAAGTCGGCTTTATCCCTGGGATGCAAGGTTGTTTCAACAAATACAAATCAATAAATATGATTCATTACATAAACAAAAACTAAAAACAAAAAGCACATGATCATCTTAATAGATGCAGGAAAGGCTTTTGATAAAATTCAACAGCCATTCATGTTAAAAACTCTCAACAATCTAGCACTGAAGGAACATCCTTCAAAATAATAAGACCTATCTACAATGAACTCACTGCCAACATCACACTGAATGGGTAAAAGCTGGAAGCATTCCCCTTGAAAACCTGAACAAGACAAGGATGCCCTCTTTCACCACTCTTATTTAACATAGTACTGGAAGTCCTGGCCAGAGCAATCAGGCAAGAGAAAGAAATGAAAGGCATCCAAATAGGGATAAAGGTAGTCAAACTACCCTTGTTTGCTACTGATTCAGTTTCTGTACCTGGAGAAGCCTATAGTCTCTGCCCAAAAGCTCCTTGATCTGATAAACAACTTCAGTAAAGTTTCTGGATACAAAATCAATGTACAAAAATCAGCAGCATTCCTATACACCAACAACATCCAAGCTGAGAGCCAAATCTAGAACACAATCTCACAATAGACAAAAATGTATAAAATATCTATAAATGTAGCTAACCTGGGAGTCAAAGAGCTCTACTATGAGAATTACAAAACACTGTTCAAAGAAATCAGAGATGAAGCAAACAGTGAGAAACATTCCATGCTCATGGATAGGGAAAACTAATATTGCCAAAATGGTCATAGTGCCCAATGCAATTTATAGATTCAATGCTATTCCTATCAAACTACCAATAACATTCTTCACAGAATTAGAAAAAAAAAACTTTAAATAAAGTTTAAATGGAACCAAAGAAGAGCTGGAATAGCCAAGGAAATTCTAAGCAAAAAGAACAAAGCTGGAGGCATCATGCTACCAAACTTCAATCTATACTGCAGGGCTATGGTAAACAAAACAGCATAATACTGGTACAAAAACAGAAACATAGACCAGTGGAACAGAATAGAGACCCCAGAAATAATGCCACACAACTACAACCACCTGATCTTCAAAAAGAAACAAAAGCAAGCAATGGGGAAATAACTCCCTATTCTATAAGTAGTGCTGGGATAACTAGCTAGCCATATGCAGAAAATTGAAACTGGACTCCTTTCTTATTATACCACATGCAAAAGTCAACTCAAGATGGATTAAAGACAAATGTAAAAAATGTAAACTATAAAAACCCTGGAAGATAACCTATGAAATACCATTCTAGATACAGGACTGGGCAAAGACTTCATGACAAGGATGCCAAAGCAATTGCAATAAAAACAAAAACTGACAAAAGGTACCTAATGGAACTAAAAGAGCGTCTGCACAGCAAAAGCAACTATGGACAGAGTAAACAGACAAACTACAGAATGGGAGAAAATATTTGCAATCTATGCATCTGACAAAGGTCTAATGTCTAGCATACCTAAGGAACTTAAACAAATTCACAAGAAAAAAACAAACAACCCCATTAAAGAGTGGGCAAAGGACATGAACACTTTTCAAAAGAAGGCATACATATGTCCAACAAGCATATGAAAGAGAACTCAGTATCACTGATCATTAGGTAAATGCAAATCAAAACCACAATGAGATGCAATCTCACGCCATTCAGAATGGCTATTATAAAAAGTTTAAAAAATAACATAAGCTGTCAAGGTTGTAAAGAAAAGGGAGTACTTACACACTGTTGGTGGGAATGTAAATTAGTTCAGCCATTGTGGAAAGCTGTTTGGCAATTTCATTTCTGAAAGAACTTAAAACAGGATTACAATTCAACCCAGTAATCCTGTCATTGAGTATACACCCAAAGGAATGTAAATTGTCCTTCCATAAAGACACACACATGCATATATTCATCACAGCACTATTCAAAATCATGATGATATAGAATTAACGTAAATGCCCATCAATGGTAGACTGGATAAAGAAAATGTGGTATGTATACACCACAGAATACTATGTAGCCATAAAAAAGAATGAGATCATTTCCTTTCCAGCAACTTGGATGGAGCTGGAGGCAATCATCTTAAGCAAGCTAACACAGGAACAGAAAACCAAATACTGTATGTTCGTACTTATGTGTCGGAGCTAAACATCAAGCACATACGGACACGAAGGAAACAACAGACACTGCGGCCTACTTGAGGGTGGAAGGAGGATGAGGGTCAGAAAACTACCTATTGGGTACTACACTTATGACCTGGGTGATAAAATAATCGTACACTAAACCCAAGTGACACAGAATTTACCTATATAACAAACCTGCATGTATACCCCTGAATTTAAAATAAAAGCTTAAAAAAAGTCAGAGAGCATTTCAAAAAACTTTCCAACTCTGTGTTCAATCACCTTTTTTTTTTTTTTTTAAAAGAGACAGGGTCTTTCTGTCCCTCCAGCTGGAATGGTGTGATGGTAGCTTACATTCCAGCTAAGCCATCTCAGCTTCCCAAGTAGCTGGGACTACAGGTGCATGCCACCATGCCTGGGTAGTTTTCATGTTATTATTAGTGTTGTTGTTATTATTTGTAGACATAGGGTCACACTATGTTGCCCAGGCTGGTCTCGAACTCCTGGTCTCAAGTGATCCTACCTCCTCAGCCTCCCAAAATGCTGGGATTACAGGCATGAGTCACTGCGACAGGCTCAATTACCATTGTTATCAAGAAATATTTTCTTCTCTAATTGGAACTGCATGTATTGCAGTTCTTAGCACCTTTTCTTTTAGGACCACAGAACTCATCTCGGTAATATAATAGCTCACATGTATTTAAGAATATTCTTTATTTCTCCTATTTTTCAGCCAAAAAAAAAAGAACACAGTCATATCTCCATTTTTCCGAGCTTTATTTTTTTTTTTTTTTCAGGTGACAAGCTGATAACAGCAGTAATAATAACTATTCTGGGTAACATAATAATTAACATGAACTAGGCACTCTTCACGGGCTTCACACATATCAAATTATTTAACCTTCATAAGACTCTTAGGAGAGGTATTATTGCTATTTACATTTGACATCTTAGAGAACTGAGACAGAGAACATTTAAATGATTTGCGAAAGGTCACATAACGAATAGATAGTGAGCCAGGATGTAAAACCAGGATGTATGCCCGTGTCCATTAGCTTCCAAATTGCTTCCCCCAGAGTGAATATGTCTCTCTTCAGCTTATAACTTCTTTGGGGCTCACAAGCTGTGTGATATTGGTGCCATCTATGATAATGTCAAGTCACACATGGTGTCCCGAATTTTGCGATAAATAGGTCAAAGGGCTATTGCTATTGCCCAAAGAAGATTAACTGCCCTTATAATTGCATTTTTGCCATACAGCCAGAAAATTGGACAAAATTTATGAAATAATTGTTTTGAGAAATTAGACAACAGGCAGTGTAGATCTGTGCTCTCAAAGAAAAGGGTAAAAAGTGAACTTAGCCCATGATTGCCTTACTTCACTGTCTAAAGGCAGTTTTTATGGTGCCACAGAGACAGAAGGAGGGAGGGTGAGATGTCTCAAACAGAGCCCAGTAGTTGACCTGAGATGAGAACATAGAAATTAGAGTATCAGGACTGCAAGGTGGCTAGAATATAGGACATAGTACAGGAGAAGAAAGAGAAAGAGAGCTGGAGATCTGCAGAGAGGTGAATCTGTAATAGTGGACTGTGCATTTATTTGTTTATTCATGGGTTCAAACTACACAAAGCCATAGAAAGAACCATTAGAAAGTAGTAGCAAACCAGTTTCCAGCACTTACTCTGGTATATGAACTGTTGTGTTCCCAGCAAAGAAATAGTTGCTATTCCATCACTAGGAGATTGGGGAGGTGATTCAGGAAGGCATTTCATGACTTGGTAGGTAGAGGTTCCTATCTCAAAAAAAAAAGAATGTTTTGTTGTCATTATCATTGTTCACTACCTCACCCATACTTAAATAGAAGCATTAAAATTGATTGACCAAAAGGCGTCTTTGATGTCTCCGCATTGGGAAAAGAAGGTCCATATGTTGCCTAATGAGCAGGGATTCAAACTCTGAACTTTTTAGTTGCTGCATTCCTAGGGACTAGTCACTGGCCCCTGGGTTAATGAATACAGCTTGATAGACTATAAGAAAAACAGATCAGTGAATACGTTATTGGAAACCTATCCTTGACTATTGCAAACATACAATGCATTTCCAATTATAATCTAAATTTTTATTTTATTATTATAATTTGTTTAAGAAAAGAAGTTTGAGATTTTAATTTTTATTTAGAAGTCAAATAGAGAGCTGGCTCACATGGTTTTGGATGGTTGGTGCTATGGTCTAAATGTCTCACCCAGAATTTATGTGCTGGAAACCTAATCCTTATGCAACACTGTTGAGAGGTAGGGCCTAATGGGAGGTATTTGTTTCATGAGGATTCCTCCTTCAAGATTAATGCCCTTAAGGGCTTGAGGGAATGGGTTTACTCTCTTGCACTTTGGTCTTCCACTTTTCTGCCATATGAGGACAGAGTTCCTCTTTTTGCCCTTCTGTCTTCTGCCATGTGATGACATAGTCAAAATGCCCTTGCCAGTTCTAGTGCCTTGATCTTGGAATTGCTGGCCTTTACAACTATGACAAAATAAATTTCTGTTCATTATAAATTACCCAGTCTGTGGTATTCTGTTATAGCAGCCCAAAATGAACTAAGACAGTTGAGGGTACATTTAACATTCGAGTTAAGGACTTGATCTCATAGGATTCCTGAATTCCCAAGTAATGGGAGAAGACTTAACAGATTTCCTTTAATTTCTTTCGAGCCCACTTTGCAGGTAAAATAACCACTGGAGTTCAATAATTTCTTAATTATTTCTCCATGTGCTTTGGAATGTTTATATCAGAAATTGAGAAGAATAAGACTCCAATCATGAGTAGAGTGACAAAACAGAATTTGAAAGTGGAAATAACTGGTGTATTCCACTACTAGAAAATAGACATATTGAGGAGTACTTGATAAATATGTTCTGCTTACATCACATTTGCACAGATATTTTTTGTTTCAGTTATAAAAGTCTTATTTTTAGCCTCTTAGTGATGAAGCAGACAGTGGTAAGGAGGCAGCTAGACATAATTTACAGATACTTTCTTACTCATATATCTTTGTATATATGAGTAAGATATATAAGTATATATATATATATATACTGATATATAAGTACATATACATAAGTACATATACATAAGTATATATACATATATACTTATATATATAAGTATATATATATACTGATATATAAGTACATATATATACTTATATATCTTTGAATCCAGTATTTCTGACATCTCTAACAATTAGTAGGAAGCAATATGTAGATATTGGTTAAAGAAAAATAACCTTTCGATTTAGACTGCCAAATTTTAGAGTATATACAACTGATTCAGTGCAAGTATTGGAAGTATTCACTTTATGATCAGTATCTCAAAGGGACTAATGATCAATGTCAGAGTTGTGACTCATGAAAAGATGAGATAACCTTCTGTTTTGGGATGTATCACTAGCTAGGTTAGGTTAGTAATGACACTTTTACCAACTGTAGAAGTTTTTTTTTTTTTATTACTTCACAACAAATAATCATAAGCTTAGTAGCATTAAACAGCACAAATTTATTACTTAACAGATTCTGAGGGTCAGGAATCTAGTCATAGAGTAGCTGAGACCTCTGCTCAGGGCATTAGACAGCTGCAATCAAGATGTGCATCTCCTATTTGGAGATAAGGAATAATCCACTTCCAAGCTCACTGAGGCTATCGGCAGAATTCAGTTTCATGTGACTATAAACCAAGTGCCTTGGTTTCTTGCTATCTGTCTACTGGAGGCTGCACTCAGTTCCTGGAAGCTGCTCACAATTCATAGAGGCCACCCACGTTTTCTTGTCACATGACTTTTCCAACATGTTCACTTAGTTCATCAAGCCAGCAAAGAGAGTTTCTTGAGACAGTCTCTTAGCAGTACAGAATCTTATATGCCATAATATAATAACAGAAGTGGCATCTCATTAAATTTTCCATATTCTATTGTCTAGGAGTAGGTAATAATACCCCACTCTCATGCCAAGAGAGGGAATTATACAAAGCTGTGTACACAAGGAGGCCGGGATCATGGGCAGCCACTCTAGACCGTCGTCCACATCAGCTAATGTAATATAATAGTCACAGCCAGACAAAAGCTCTGTGACATAAATGCATCTCCTTTGGGATTTTTCTTGTCATATAATTTTCTTCAATCTTGTTAATAAATACAAATGCTGAAACTATTTTGATTAATAGCATCAAAGTCAGAAATACAGAAAAACTGAAATGAGCTCTGCAATTAAGATGTTTTATATTTGGGTTGCACTTTACACTTTTTAGAGTATTCATATATATATATTTCATCTTTATTTATTTATTTTATAAGTATTCTGAATGATATCCAGGGCAAGTAGTGTTACACATTTATTACAGGAGAGAAAAATAAATGGTTTCACAATGGACCCAGACCTAGAATATGGTCCTGCCAGTCCTTAAAGTTTTTTCTGGGTGAATTTCACTAACTGAAAATATGAGTGACATCCTCTTCTCTTGTGTTATTACCCAGCAATTACTGAAGCTGGGTAATTGCTTACAAGTACAAGAAAAATTGAGAGCTTCACATGAATATAGACTTATTTAGTGGCAATTTACTCCATTAAACTTTATTTTGAAATAAAATTTGAAAAATGTTAATAGTAATAATAAAAAGTAATTATATTAAGTAAGTAGTAATAATAAATAAATAATATGACCTGTGATTTCTCCAATTAAGGCTTAGTTTTCTTTTTTAAACAAAGCAACTGTGGCATTTAGATGATTAAACTATCCTTCTGCAATTGTGACAAGGCACTATATATTCTAATTTATAATTTATATATTTTTCCATCATAAAAATAAAACTTTTGTGTCTGCAGTAACCAAAACAGCATGGTACTTGTGCAAATGTAGACACACAGACCAGAATAGAAGAGAGACCCCTGAAATAAAGCTATACATATATAACCACCCATTCTTTGACAAAGTCAACAAAAATAAATAATGGGGAAAGATAGCTTATTTACTTTTTAATAAGTGATACTGGGAAAACTGGCTAACTACATGCAAAAGGATGAAACTGCACCCCTACTGATATGATTTGTATGTTTGTCCTATTCAAATATCATGTGGAAATGTAATTCCAAATATTGGAGGTGGGGTCTGGTGGGATGGGACTGGATCATGGCAGTCGATCATTCACGGATGGTTTAGCATCGTCCCCTTAGTGATAAGTGAGTTCTCACTCAGTTAGTTAACGTGACATCTGGTTGTTTAAAATAATCTGGGATCTTCCCCTTCTCTCTCTCTTGCTTGCTCTTGCCATGTGACATACGTGCTCCCACTTTGCCTTCTGCTATGAGTAAAAGCTCCTTAAGCCCTCACCAAAGCTTAGCAGATGCCAATGCCATGCTTCCTGTACAGCCTGCAGAATGGTGAGTCAATTAAATTTCTTTTCTTCATAAATTACCCATATATATTATAGACAGTTCTCAAAAGAAGACATAAAAGTGGCCAAAAAAACATATGAAAAATGCTCAACATCACTAATCATCAGAGATACAAATAAAAATCACACTGGCCAGAATGGCTATTATGAAAACGTCAAAAAATAACAGATGTTGGCAAGATTGTGCAGAAAAGGGAATATTTATACAATGCTGGTGAAATTGCAAATTAGTTCAGCCCCTGTGGAAAGCAATTTGGAGATTTCTCAAAAAATTAAAAATTGAATTTGACCCAACAATCTCATTATGGGTATATACTCAAAGAAAAATAAATCATTCAGCTAAAAAGATATCTGTCCTCCTATGTTTTTCACCACACTATTCACAATAGCAAAAACATGGAATCAACTGAGGTGCCCACTGATGGTGGATTGAATTTTTTAAAATGTGATACATAGATACAATGGAATATTACGCAGCCATGAAAAAGAATGAAATTATATCCCTTGCATAAACAAGGATGCACTGAAGGCCATTATCCTAAGCAAATTAATGGAGAAACAGAAAACCAAATACCACATGTTCTCACTTACAAATGTGATCTAAACATTGGGTACACATAGACACAAAGATGGGAACAATAAACATTGGGGATTTCAAAAGAGAAGAAGGGAGGGGAGAAAGGGTCAAAAAACTACCTATCAAGTACTATGTTCACTACCTGAAAGACAGAATCATTAGAAAACCAAACCTCAGCATCATGCAATATACCCATATAACAAACCTGCACATGTACCCCGAATCTAAAATTTTAAAATTAATAATTTAAAAACTTTTAATATTGTTAAATAAAATTCTGTCGAAACAAAAAAATCTATGTCACAATTTCCAGTTTAATGAAACTTGGGATGTAACTTTTTTGCTTCTTTTCCCCTATGATTTCCTCCAGGCACTAGAGACTACAATTTGCATTCCTCTTGTCTTTACTGAAGGACTACAGTGTGCATATTGTCCAATTTGAAAACATTTAAGAATACCATATGTATTAAGAATATATAACTAAGAAATAATATTTTTCTTACCACTGTCTCCACTATTTTTACCATTAAGTTCAATGGGTTAAATCTAATTTCTCAATCATGCTGAACATTCATATGTATTTGGCATATTAATTTTCAGATATACAAAATATCAATAATAAAACAAATATGCTTTGGAAATTTGCAAAAGATTAAGTATTTAAAGCATCAAAGAGGTAGCAATTTTGGTTCTAAAGTTCTTGCACTTTTCACTATGGCTCAGCTTCCATAAACACCATAATGCTTCCTTGCGTCCCTACGGGGTACCGTTCAATGAATGGTTCATTTATCAGCTTGTTTCAGAATAGAGAAAATATTGCCACATATAGTACCAAAAAATTTTATTGTGTCTTACAAATTGTGAGCATTTTTATAAAACAGTATGAGACAGTGTATAATGAGTGCATGACTTATTCTTAAAATAGTGAACTGAGACTCAAAATGTCAACTTGTGTGAATGACAATTGTTTCGATGTGGAGTAAAATGTACTCTCTAGTTTCACTTGGTTGCTCTGTACTAGAAAGTGCTGAAGGAATCCAGCAGTGATTAAGTAGGCTGTCAAATGGAATGTCTTTAGAGGGAGCCTAAACTATTATTTAGGTTGAAACAATGGTATTAAAATCACAGCCATTAGGGACAAAGCAAAGAAAGAGTGAACTGCAAAATGTGCAAATCTGTATAAGGGATATGAATGGAAAGATGTTTTCCTGGCTACTAATATCTCAATTCTAAGACTCTATAATTGATATACACTTGGAAAAGTGATGATGAGACATTTTCTAATAATGACATAATTCTCATCCATCATGGCTGGCCATCCATCAAAGCTTTGTGATGCTTTGATTGATGAAATGAGAAGAAAGCAAGCATTCCCTGTTTTAGCTAAAGGACAGATTCATTTTAAAAATTGCACTCTGCTTTCAAGATTAAAATAAATCTCTTAATCAAGTGGATGTTATCAAATAAATGGCTAGCTAGTAACAGATCCTTAGGTCTTGTGATAGCAATTAATACTACCATGAAAACAGGTACACATAAGCACTACCATTAGATTGCAAGAGTCAGCCCTTCCTATTGAAGCCCTCTTAACTTATGGGCTTCAGTGCATTCATGCCAGAGGTGCCTTGGATGCCTGACTGTGGGTCACTGTTGGGCAAAGAAGACATCCACAATCATGAGAGCCAGAGTAGCATGTGGAGAACAGTATCTTGAATAAAATTAGTGCCAGGAGCTCAGGTGGGGAGATAAGTGGATTAGAAGAAGCAAGCAAATCCAAGGCAAGGTTATTTGGGCTGATTCTGAAAATGGCAGTGTGCAGTAGGACAGGGATGATACCCATGTGTATGGAAGTTCTACTTAAAGTAAGTAGGATGAAATGAATCATGTGTGAATGTTTACCAACTCAGTATTGTGACTTGGAGGAGAAAAACAAACATATATTCCCGAGAAAGGCCAAATCCATGAGAGAAATGTGCATACTGTCCAATTTGAAAACATTTAAGAATATTATATGTATTAAGAATATATAACTGTATGTATTAAGAATATATACCATATGTATTAAGAATATATACTATATGTATTAAGAGTGTATATAAAGAGAAGGTGAAACAGTTTCTGGTGAAGTATATTTATTCTTTTCAAACAATTTTAGAGTAAATGAACACTGAAACTGGAATTGATATGTAAACATTGTGATTTATAAAATCACACAGACATTTTTCTACTGATTTTATTTAGAATTAGATTATATTAGTCGGCACAAAATGAGAACTATATTTTAAAATAACTAATGATATTTAAATAGGCTGTTAAAATACATGATTGAGTCACCAAAATCAAATAAACCTAATAGTCCAAAATAAAAAGACAGAACAAAATGCTAGGAAATATTTATTTTAATTACATGATCCTTTGTCAAAATTGAGAGTATAAAGGGTCAGGTTACTGAAGAGTGAGGAATATTTTCTTTGGAAAGGCTATTCCACATATCCCACGTTTTAATCTAAGCGTACAGGGAGAGTTTGATGCGTCCTCCGCATTGGAGGAGTGGGAGTGGAGAATACCATGAGTTCATATGTGTATCTACCACTACATAAATGGCCAGAGATGAAGTGGCTTTGTGGGGAGGGCCTGCATTCTCTGAGCATATAAAGGTTAAAGAAGAGTGAGTATGTCATTTGAAACTGATGTAGGCAAGAGTAAGATCGAACTTCAGTAAAATTATCTCAAGTCCTGACCAAGTGGGTTACTTGGAAGAGCAAACTCAGCACAAACATGTTGAATTCGTATTGACACTCTGATGGGTTGAGGAAGATAAATCAATGAGGTAAGTGAATGGGCCAAATCAAGAATACCACAGGTGAGGGGTCCTTAAAAATTGGGGCAGGACCAGGAGGCTCAGGAAGGAGAATTGCTTGAACCTGGGAGGCGGAGATTGCGGTGAGCTGAGATCGCATCACTGCACTCCAGCCTGGGCAACAAGAGTGAAACTCCGTCTCAAAAAAAAAAAAAAAAAAAAAAAAAAAAATATATATATATATATATACACACACACACACACACACATATATATACATATATATACACACAAATATATATATACATATATACACACACACACATATATATATGTATACGATCAACAAATATGCCTACACAAATTGAAGCTAGTTTTAAAAAGTGTCAAGGTCCAGAAAGTATAGAACTAGCTATGACAGTAACAATCAAATACAAATGTCCTTTCCTCTACTTAACTTTTCTCCCTCCCTATGCTCCAACTTGATTCAGAAACTATGGTTGGTGATATAGTGGCAGAACAGAGAGAGAAGAAAAAAGCTGAATAGACCTTCTTCTTTTGTTCATTTGTTTTTCTATCTGTAGACCCTAGCTGGGAGCAGAGTAGCTGTAACTTTGAATGAAAGTAGAAGCTTGGATTATTATATTAGTCTGGACATTCTAAATAATGAATCACATCTATGCATTTGCTGCTTTAAAGACACTTTGTGTTGTCTAAGTTTTGAACGCTAAGCTTTTACTCAGGTTAGAAAAATCTAGCTTCCCTGAATAAAGGTAAAAAGAACAGGGAAGAAGAAAATACATTTGCTTTGGGATTCGATTCCACTAGCATGGCTTGTTCAATATACTGATTGTGTTATATGCGGGTCCATTCAGAATTTTTGTAGCAATCTCTATACATTACCAAAAATGCATGCTGGATTTCCTAAAAAATTCTTATACAAAAAAACGGAGCCAGGATGTCCAATGAAATTTAAATGAAGATCAGATTTTTACTTATTATAGACATTCTAACATTCTGAGTCACGCTGTGTTTGGCAATTTAAAGTACCATGGCTGTTATCTAAGAGCCACCACATAAGCCCTGGCAGTGCCCAACTTTTCATACAATATCAGCAAAGAACTCACTTGAGTGGATGAAATTCAAAGAGACATTTGGAGATAAAATGAAGTCTCTTCATGACTGTACACATGTGTCATGGTATAAGAGGAAAATAACACACCAAGCAAGCAACCAATCAACAAAACAAACTCACCTCCTCAGAAGCTCAGTTTATATTCACCAAGTGATTTAGGCTCTGGAAGGTTATGTTCTTCCTTTCTACAAAAACTTGAATAAGCTTCTGGATGCTAAATTATGGTTATTTGATAAAAAAATGTAATGCTGGTCAAAATCAAAATTACATAGAAAAATATCTTTTTCGTGCTTGGGGTTTTTCTTGATCTGTACCTCCAGGTAGCAAGTCTATACTCAGTTCAATGCTATTTAAAATTTTCGGGGGGAAATCATGGACCCCTTTTAAAGTCTGAGGAAAGCCTTTCCTTTTTTGCTCTTGCTCAAAAACATGCATATATGCACTTAAGGTGCATCTGTTGCTTTTGGTGGCCCATATCACTCCCTCTTCATTACAGTAGATTTCCCCTCTCTTCTGTCGAGGAACACATTGAAGGTGCATTTGGAGCACATTAGGGTGCATTTGGAGCTGACCTCACCCTCCAAATGGAAAGCACTAGATATGTTACCCAGGCCTGACCCTTTAGCTATGGACCTCCCTTACCGTGGTGGTTCATTCATGTATGGACACATGAACTAAGCTAGACCAGGTACAGCTCTCCACATAACTCTTGCTGAAATTGTGGCAAGAGTGCCTTCTTTCCCTGAGGCTCTAAGGTGATGGAGTGTGAGACTTGGGCAGAGGGAAGACATCATTTCTGGCATGTTTCAAGGGTCTGTCTTGATGGTAGAGAGCAGATAAAGCCCCAATATCCTTTAAGCTTCTGGAACAAGAACTTCTTGAAGCCAACTGTACCCCTTGATTTTTGGGTAATATGAACTAAAAAATTCCCTTTCTAATTTAAACTAGTTCGCATTAGGTTTCTATTTGCTGTAACTTATGCCCAAATTGCTAATGTTGTATTATAACTTTATGGGTTCCTGAATCCAAGAAATTCATTAACCTCTCAACCCAAGTTAAGAAAATCTCTCTTTGTGAGTCTTCTTGAAATAGACTCCTGAGAATTAATGAGGGAAAAAGAAAACATTACCAAAGGAGAGAAAAAAAAAAAAGACATACATATCTCCTAATTCTTGAGTTTTTCCTAACTCCCTATTTCTTGTTTACCTCCATTACCTCTGGGAAAGAAGATATATGTCTCTTTTGAACAATAAAAAGCAAATAATATGTTAATGTTTATAGGAGGAGGGATATGATGGTTAATATACATGCAATCATTGAATTTGTTATAATTACAGGCAATTGTTCAATAGAACGTCAATTTATTTATATATCTGAAAGCATTTAGTACATAATAGGTGATTAAAAATAATTATAACATGTGTGAATAAATTATCAGTTAAGGGTGGACAAAGTTTGTAGGTAACTATGACTAGTCATGAATACAATGTGTATTTTTACAAATTTGATCCTGGCTCATTATTCTTAAAATGCCATGGCATGTTTATCTTCATGAGAATATGAAGTATTTTTCCTTGAAGAGTAAAGTTGTTACAAGAGAGGATAGTTTTGTGTGTGTGTGTGTGTGTATGTATTGTATAGTGTGTGTATCTGCGTTTGCTTCTACTTGTGTGTTTACATTTATGAAGTAAAAGAAGAAAGTGATAAAGGGGGATTTTTTTCCACCAATAGATGGAAGAGAAAAAAATCTCATTTCTCCCTTAGTTGCAAAGAAATGTCACACACTGGAAAACAGCTGGTAAACAATGGCATAAAAAAGATAAGTTACATTCACACTATGATCATTATCTCAGCTGAAGATTTTTAAATATTTTCTCTATAATTTAGAAATGACTTCTGTTTTCCATGTTTGAATTGTTGAGTTATGCTAAGCTTTCCATTGAACACTTTTCCTTCCTTCTTGACTATTATGCTCCATATATCGTCTAATTCAAAGCACCATCATCTCTTTGCAGAGCTACTGCAATGGCCTCCTAAAGTGGTTTTTCTGCTTCCACCCTTGCTTTCCAGTCTATTTTCCACTGATTAGGCAGAGTGGTCCTGTTAAAGTGTAAATGAGACAGTCATACCTGTGCCCTATCTCTGAGAAAATTCAAACCTTTCCATTTCTCATAGGCAAATTATCTGATTTTATCTTCTGATATTCCCCTCTTTGCTCTTACTCTCCCCTAGGCTAAGAACAGTGGTCTCTATTAAATTATGTTCTGCTTAGAGCACTCTTCCTCCTAGATACCAAATGATTCATGTTCTAACTTCCTTCAGGTCTCCGCTAAAACATCATTTTGTCAGAGATACCACTCTGATCACTTTATATATAACAGTTACTTACCACCATTATCATTTGTTATTCTTTTATCTTATTTTTTCTAAATCTGACATTATTTATTTATTTGTTTATTGTCTATCTGCCCTTTATTGAAAATAAGCTCCAGGAGGACAAGGGTTTTTTTGTTAACAGCTGTATTTCTAGTTCTTGGAAGAGTGTGGAACCATAATGAAAATCTGTTGAATTTATAAATTTTCTTAATGAAGAAGTAACTTGCACAGACTTCATAGTATGAAGGCTGAGACAACCACAGGCAGATTAAAATAGTAATACCTAACTTTTATTAATGCACCTGAGACAGAGTTCAAGGGATATGCAGGATATTAAAAGATAGAACCAAGGCCAGAGACACTGTCTTAGAAATTATTTCTTTTTTTGTTTTTCTTGCACCTTGTGAGAAAGAATCAGCTCTATATACTTCTAAAACATAAATCAGTAAAGTTTCTGACACCTGACAAAAGGGTAGAGAGGCAAGATGCCTTATTTATAAGAAGTCATGCTCAGAGAATAAAAATCCATGTGGCAGAGACTGTGAATCTATTGTAAGAAGGCTTGGAGGAGCTATCACAACAGTCACAATCCACTCTTCAACTTCTAGAATGTCATGAGGCATAATGCATTGCTAAAGAGCTGCCAGCTCCCTCCCCAGAGGAGATGCCATCTCTTTGACAAGTGAAGTAAATTTTCTCTGCTAATCTGTGAAGATTCTCCAGCCCTTGAGTTCTTGAGAGTATGAATGCAAGATACTGTGGGTGTGAAAAGTTAAAATAAAAAAGAGTTATTCATGTCATTCACAAGTAATTTGTTTTTGGGAAAGACCTGACTTCTTTTCTGAAGTGGTATATTAAGGTTTCAAATTAAATACTTATAGTAAGAAATATGTTATTTCATATGTGTAGTTGTAGATTACCTTACCTCACAATTACTTTATTATCATCCATTGAGAACGTTCAGTATGATTCCTTATAGCCTATACTTGAATACAAAAAAGGTGTTGAAGTGCGTGTCACTCTAGGGTTCCCTCTGGCTATACCCACCCTCACCATTGCTTCATAGGGCCCAATTTATGGAGGAATATGGTAGCATATGGAGTCCAATTTCCTTCTATTTTTGTCATCACCTTTTATTTTTAAGCTCAATGAAATAGAAATAAAAACTATCTTTCAATTAAAAAGTTCAATTAAAAAATATATTTTTTGGTTTTTTTTTGTTTGTTTTTGAGAAAGAGTCTCTCTCTGTCACCCATGCTGGAGTATAGTGGCGTGATCATGGCTCACTGCACCCTTGACCTTCCTGGGCTCAGGTAGTTCTATTCTCTCAGCTTCCTGAATAGCTGGAACTCCAGGTGTGCGCCACCATGTCCCGCTAATTTTTCTATTATTTGTAGAGACAGGGTTTTGCCGTGTTGCCCAGGTAGGTCCTGAACTCCTGGCTTCAAGCAATCCTCCCACCTCAGCCTCCCAAAGTGCTGGGATTACAGTTGTGAGTCACAGTGCCTGGCTAGGAAGTAATTTTATTTAAAGGAAATTTAGCAAGATAAAAGGGGACAATAGAGAGAAAAAGAAAGGAGCTCAAGCATTGGAATTGAGAGAAGATTTATAATGGATGGGGGGATAGAATGAGAGAAAGAGAAAATAAATGGGAGAGAGTAAAAAGTAGAGGAGAAATGTGTAGTTGAGGAAGAAGGGATGTTTGCCATTGACCTTGCCAAGGAGCACTTGCCTGGGAAGATTTCTTCCTTTCCAGGCTCTGTCTTTTTTTTCTCTAAACACCCAGAGCTTCCTCTGTCTCCACAGGGCCCACCATCCAAGAACTGTATCAAAGCAGTTTTGTTTTAGAAGGTGGAACACAATGAGAAGAATCAAAATAAGAAAAATATGTCAGAATATTTTCTCATTATTTAGGAAGTTCCATGAAGTAATACCTGACGTTGTTTTCTACTTGTGGATTATGAAGTTATGACTGGCACTTTTAACCTGAATTATTTTTATCTTAAAGCAGTTCTCTTCTCTCTCCTTTGTGTTACTAACTCACATTGTTGAGGCATGTAGCTCTGTAATTCACCAATGCTTTTTTTTTTTTTTTGCTTTGAACGGCACCTGTGAGGGACCTGCCAACCTAACTTCTGGCCTCCTTGTGCTGTCGTTTCATTGCAATGAGCATCAGTAGAACTGGTGAGGGGATGCTTGATAATTTCCTGCTCAGGGTTAGCCCAGTATGGCTACTTTATATTTTTCTAGGACGTAATCATAAGGAAGGGATATAATGTTGACAAGACATGACAAGGTTTCTGTGATGACAAAGTTTAAAATCTCGTAGAGGAGACAGACAGACAAGAAACTGTTAAAGTGAGATTTCTGTGGTAAAAGAGAAATGAAAAATATGTGTGTGCAAAAGACTAGGGGTCCTGAATAGCTGATATTTAAAGAGAGATCTGAGAGTTATTAAGAGTTCACAAGTGAAGGACAGAGTGGGAGGAACATTCTAAGCAAAGGCAGGCAAAACCCTGTGATGGGAAAAATTATAACGTATTAAGGAATGAAGAAAAAGTTGCTGGAGCAACGAGTAGGAGAGGCAGATGGCATCTAATTCAGATGGGAGATGTTGGTAGAGGCCAGAATACTGAGGTCTTAGAGGGCATGGAAAAGATTTTGGATATTACCCCAATTGCAGTGGAAATTCACTGATGTTATTCAGTAGACGGCTGGCATGACCAATTTAAATATTTTAAAAGTTTCTCTTGTTTCTCTTTAGAGTGTATATCAGTGGAATTCAAAAAATAAATGTGGAAACCTATTTAAAGGGTGATTGCAGATAACAGTCAATGGTAGCTTGAGCTGGTAGGTTCAAGTTGGTTTGGAGAGAAGTTGATAAATTCAATGGATGTTATAGAGTGACTTAAATACTAAGTAATTTAAATACCATTGGAAGAAAGGGTGGATCAGTGGCATAGCTGAATTATCTGAATTCAAAATTGAGATTTATTGCCTGATGATTCTCATAATATTTATGGGAAGAAAAGATAAAATGCTTGAAATAGATGCTATAGTTTGGAATTAAGGTGTACTATGTTCATTTTCTCCAAACCTCATGTTGCAATTTGATCCCCAGTGTTGGAGGTGGGGCTTAATGGGAGGTCTTTGGGTCATGGGGGCAGATCCTTCATGAATTGATTAATGCCCTCCCTTGGAGGTAAATTCTCACTCTATTAGCTCCTAACAGGTGGTTGTTTACAAGAGCCTGTACCTCCCACCTCTCTTGCTTTTCCTCTTACCCTGTGATCTCTGGACATGCTGGCTCCCTTTCACTTTCCACTGTGAGTGGAAGAAGACTGGCCCTCTCCAAATGCAGATGCCCAACCATAAACTTTCCAGCCATCAGAACTGTGAGCCAAATCATCCAGCCTTAGGTATTTCTTTATAGCAGCACAAAACAGATGAAGACATTAGGTGTATCTCAGAAAATTAGAGAGGTATGGTGACTGTCTATATAAGGGTCCTAGGAGGTTACACTATTATAAAGAGAGTTTTCATACCAACTTCTTACTCTGTCATAATATTTATGTTTATATATTATGTTTAAATATTATGTTTATAGCTCTAAACATAATACTTACCAATTGTTTACTACTGGTCTAATAATTGTTAACAGCTTCACTTATACCATCTTGATTGTTCTTCCAACACAAGTATTAAAATTTTTTCAGCATCAGTTCTTCTTTTTAATATCAAATGACTTAAAGTTATTAAGTAATTGCCCTTTTCTTAAAAAGAGGAATAGAAGGTAGACTATTTACATGTCTGGCATTTTTGTAAATGCATATAACATATCAGCCTAGACTTTGTTCTATTGCCTGCACATAGCAATAAAGCAGTCCAAAAAGAGAATTTTTGTAAAAAAGGTTGACATTTTCTTCTATCGTGATGATAACATTTTAAAGCCATTTAGTAGAGACTGCTTAGTGGGAATTAAAATCATGTATTAAATAATTTTAAAAAGTTATGGGTGTTACTAAAATGAAATAAGATATTGTAACTTAAAATTCAGCAAATTAAAAACTGCCACTTTTAGTGAGTTATTTAATCTCATTAATGTATGGTAGTTAAATTCCACATTTCAAAAATATCCTTTTTTAGAAAACTTCTTAAGTTAACAACAAAGAAATGATTGGCAACTTATTTATGACTAATAAAATGTTTTCTTCATAATTTACCTTCCAACATTCTAAACTAATTGCATCATTCAGATTAAGCACTTTTGGATTGGCTCTATTTAAAATCCCATTGCATTAATGCTTCACTATTAAAAAGTTCCACTATTAGTTCAAGTACAGTGGGGAGATTTTTATGTCATTTTCGTACCTGGTGTTTCCTTAAAGTGTCCTTGAATATTTTTAAAATTCTACTTTTACCCCAAATCTGCAATGTCAATACAGGGCATCCTTCATAAAATAGACACATAATTAATGGGAGCAAATAATGAAGAGAAATATATTCATTTGTTCACACAGCTTTGTTTTCACTCACTTTACATCCTCACACAGATTCATCTCCTCACTCAATATTTCATTTGACAAACATTGAATAAGCACACCATGTGGGTTTTAACATAGAGATAAACACACAGAAGTTGCCCATAAGAAAAAGAATGCAACATAGACATCTGTAGAGGGAACTGTGGGAGATAGAGAATTTCTCTCTCTTTTTTTAAAAAGATAGGAGTTTTGCTATATTACCCAGGCTGGTCTCAAACTCCTGGCCTGAAGTTATCCTCCTGCCTGAGCCCCCAGAGTAGCTGTGAAAGATTTATAATAAAGAGAAATGTATTTGGCTCATGGTTCTAGAGGCTGGGAAGTTCAAGTGCATGGTGCTGGCATCCTTGTGCGGCATCAATTCATGGCAGAAAGCAGGAAGGCAAGAGAGGGTGATATCGGGAAGCAGCTGTCACCAGTTTCGGTGTTTTCTATGTTTTGGGAGATTGCCAGTCCTTGGTGCTAGCTGTGAACAATTACTATTTTAGAGAGACAGCTAATAACCGTCTAATCATCACCTGGTGGTCATCTGACATTCTGGGGGGTGTGAGTGTGTGGAGCGGGGCCCTTTCCTGCCCTGCTCATGACTGACTAGCTACCTACTGTAACAAAGCCTTGAATCTATTTCAATGTTTTTGTTATCATTTCAATGGAGTGCAAAAAATGAATTAAATAAATAACATGCCAAGTATTTTAATGCTTCTGTCAATTCATATATTTTTAAGGTTTGGTAAGGATGATAGACTTATTGCTACTGTATCAGTTATATGTTTTATCTATCATACTTTGTATAATCATTGCTGCATTATAGTTTCTATCTGGTTTATTAAACATGTGGCTAAGTGAGAAGGAAAGCTCTTAGATGAAATCCACTACTCTTTTCTGTCCATTTCTTTCATTGGGAGTAGATTAGAGCATGTTTTACTGAAAAACCATTGCTGTACTCAAAGGCAGAATTACTTGTGATACGTTTGGTTTAAATTAAACCCATACTATAGCTTCTTTTTTTATTTCTGATTTCTATGTCCTTTTTAATAACTTTTAAGTTTTATTTTATGAAGTACAAATGCAGGTTTTTTTTACATAGGTAAACCCCCGTGTGTTGTGGGGGTTTCTTGTGATTATTTCATCACCCAGATATTAAGCCTTGTACCCACTGGCTATTTTTCTTGATCCTCTCCCTCCTCCACCCTCTACCTTCTGAAAGGCCCCAGTGTGTGTTTTTCCCCTCTATATGTCCATGTGTTCTCATCATTTAGCTCCCACTTATAAGTGAAAACATGTGGTATTTGGTTTTATAGCTTCTTAAAACTGCTGATATTAACAAGATATTTTTATTTATATGTACATATATATATGAGAGTATGAAAAATACGTGCAGGTGATTTTTTGTGTGCCAATCATGGGCCTGTCTATAGACGGCATGCACTGCTGAAAGTAGAAATTCAAATCACACTAAGAAAATATAAAAACTCTAACAGTCCTAAATTGTGCAATGTTATTGTTTGTTATTCTGTAAGTTGCTTATATAAATAGAGAAATGATGGCATGAAACTATATTTAAGAATTCTTAATTTTTTTTTTACCTAAATTCTGTGTCTTCCAGTTTTAATAGTAAGGCATTTTCAATGTGCACATTTCTGCATTACCTTCCATAGCCTTATTATTATCTTAGTTGCTTTCTACTTGCCAAAGACATTCACTGTATTTTCTCTTTTAAAGTTCAGTACTTGATTCCTTTCTTTTCTCTATGGAAAACAGACTACCTATCATTTATTGAGCAAACATTCTATTTCTAGTAGTGAGCTAAATTACATTATATTCAGTATATCATTTAATCCCCACGGCAACTCTGAGTTTGCTATTATTATTTTAACTAATTGACTTAGAAGATAAATGGTAATGGAGTGAAGTGTCTGACTGTTTAAGTAAGTGTCAGAACCAGGATTTGCATTCATATCTAGACTCATATGAATTCAAAGCCTTTACACTTAACCTCTTCTAGACTATGCAACTTTCCAATATCTCCTGACTGTGAATGATAAGACTCTTAGATTGAGTCAACATTCTGTCCAACTTTGCATTCAGTGATACTTGGAGAATTAGAGAGTGGGTCCATCAAAAATCTATTTATATAATACATCTTGGGTAATTAGTTATACAAAGGAAAAAGTCAAAATCCATGCATCTGGCTTCAGAGCAATAGGTACATATAGGAAAAGTATTATCATTAAGATACACCTATAACTTGGCTCTATAAGAGCTCCTATAAATATAAGGCAGCTTAAAGATAAATGAACTTTACTTCTCTATACATTGTGGTAGATAATGAAAACAGAATTCTCGAGTAGTTCCGGTACTAGTAATAATGGCTGGGGTCATTTTGGAAATGATACTGGTTATCGTATTTCCAAAGGATATCAAATCTTTGGCAGGGGTAGCACTAGAAGTTGTCAGGCTAAGAACAGTGGGTGGCTAATAACAATGTCAGGCTAAGCTCTTGGTAGCTCATTTAGTACTTTTATCACTAGACATTGGTATTCTTGGATGAACACTGCAGTTTGTGCGATTTGCAACTTCTATGGTAATCCTTGGAATTGCTGCCTCCTTTTGCTAAGTTTGCCTATAAATGTCCTCTTATCTTTCTTGAATTTCTCTCTTTCTACTTCTTTTGTTTCTTTTATTTCTACCCTTACTTGAATAGGAGACACAAGGAAAAATGTCATTCCTGATTTTAAGAACTTAGAGCTGAGGATATGCCAGAAGCCAAATTCAAAGCCATGATTTTAGTCCTATCAGCTAAACTCAACTCATTCTAAGATGAAGTACAATGTCCCTACTGGGCAAAGGTTTACCCTACTGTTCAGTAAATATTAGGATCAATTTTAAATAATGCCAGGGAAACTCTCGATGCTACTTCCTTTTGATTGCAGCTCACTTATTAACTTTTTCACCACAAAATTTGGGAAACATGCTATATGCATAATACTATGCAAGGCCATATATCCCACAATTGCTACTGTTAATTTTTTGTTTGTTTTATTTTAAAAAATTCTCCTGTATCTGTCATCTAACTTCTGGATTATCACTATACATTTTTATCTAATCATGTTCTGTCCAATGTCCCTGCACACAAATTAAATCTTCAGAATTAAACATGTTTAATTCTCTAAGGATCACTGCTTTTTTTTGGCCATATTTCTGTATTCAAAAATCTTAAAGTTTACTTTATCACACCGTATTATCCATTTTGAAGATGAAGGCATGGCTTCTAAAACTGGAATTGAAGGCACTTCCCAACAGGTGACTGATGGCTAACTTTTTAAACCCATTCTTTTCTATTGTTTTTATAAACTTTCAAATAAATAAGTTCTTAAAGCAGACTTGATAAATTGCCATCTCCAGTCCTTTGATGTTAATATTTTCTCATTAACTGGCCATTTTTCACTCATAATTCAAGATGTAGTCTAAGGTTGATCTCCTCTACAAAGTCTTTCTCTACTCCACAGTGACCTTCCTCCCACACTCCTGTAATTCTTTTCACATTCGACGTTAGCTATTCTTTCAACACTTAAATAACCTGCAAGTGTCATATGTGTACTTCTCCATAGTTCCTATAACACCTAAATAGTACTCATACGTAGTAGGTTTTCATTTTATGTTTATTGGTTGATTGACAAGTTGGTTTACAAAAGCAACATGAGCACTATTTTTATTGATCTTTAAGACTAATTATACTATTGCATTCTTTTTTCCTGGATATTTCTCAAGGGATACAGAAATATTCTCACATCATGACTCATAGGGTGAGCCATGGTTAACACACAGAATCTTTTTCCCCCAAAATGAAAGTGTTGTTCTATAATATCCACCAGAGTTCTTTCTGCTTTTATACTAAGTTCTGTAGACATGCAGAGAAATAATATATTAACCTGGAGAAGATGAGGCTTCTTTTAAGGTTTTGAGGAATTTAAAAGGTCACAGAGGAAAAAAGAAGGGATTCTAGGTGGTGAGATCCCCAAAATAAATAGCTGAGAGTAATTCATGAATAGTCTATATTTAGGGTATTATAAGTAAAGTAACCTGGTGTTGATACAGGCTTTTTGAGTTGGCAAGATGGGAAAGAAGCCTGGAGAAGTAAGGTTGGGACAGATCCATATACTGCTTCCTTCAAAGACATGCAAAGGGGAACTACTTAAGATGTGAAGCCAAAGCAATAAAAGGGAAAGGTTGCTTCTAGGTCACAGTGCTGCTGACACTTAGGAAAAAAAAAAAAGCTTCAGAAATCAGTGCGTGGCTCTCTGCTTTGCAAGCCTGTTATATGTGGCTTTTATATGTATCTGAAAATAATTTTAACAGTCAGTTTTCTTTTCTTTTTCTCTATTGAAGTTCTCCAACTTACTTTTAAAAAAACTCACAAGTTATTTTAGAAAGTACACAATATATCAAAGGTTCCCAGAATTGACTTGAAGAAAGCTCTGAACATGACTTCAACTAAAAGAGAAAAATTTCAAATATTTTATAAATGCTTGCTATATTACCTGTATCAGTAACACAGCTGCAGAGAATTACGAGAGAATTACTGCAGAAAGAGGGTAAGACCTGGTGGTACAGTGAATGGTCTAAAGCTGATCGTCTAATAGTTCATGCAAGTCGTATCATCTGTGCCAGGATGAACTTGCACTGGTAAGAAGAATATTATTGAAAGCCAACAGGCTTGTTATATCCATTGCTGTGAAAAATGGAATACTCAGATGTAGGGCCCATCAGGAATGGCTAAAAACTGAAATATAAAGTTTGCCTCCTGAAGCTGCATACTGACTAAATATGAATAAAAATATTGAAAAGGTGTCAGCCTTTACTGATGCCATATCTTAAACAGTAATATATCCAATTGGCAGAATTAATTAAAGCATGTTCACAATTTTACTTCCATAGAAAGAAAGTTTTATATTTTCAGGTAAAGAAATATTTGTTAATATTTGTTAAGTAAATATTTCTGTGCTCATGTAATGGCTGAGGAATATCAGTGCTTTTTAGATTTCCCCTAAGAAAATACTTAAAATAAAATTCTCTTTGAAAAAGAAGATGGAAATGTACATTTAGTTTCTTTGTCTAAGAATGTTCCCCTTCAATTTACTTGCTTTCCCTGAATGGTTGTTCACAGCATCCAAGCACAGTTAATCTCTCTGTTTAGTGGGCATGGCTATTTTTGCAGTGCCTTAAGAGTTTTGTTGGTTGCCAGATCATTAATGGGCTATGAATTATGCAATAAACTTCTCCTGCACCAATAAAGAAGAAACCAGCAGTGAAGTCTGGCCTGAGAATAGATGAAATAGAACAATAAAAGCCATAAACACATTTTTTCACTTGGAAGTCCTATTAAGAATTAGAAATAATTCATGTTCAGATGGTTTTGTATGGCAGAGATGCTGCAATGAAAGAATTTGCAGGACTTTTACAAAATTAAAGAAGAAAAAGCAGAAGATCCTTGGACTTGAAAGAGAGGCTGTGACTAGGAATTAAGGACACACTGTCTTTGTTTCCTTCTTCCTATTAAAGTTTCAGGCTAGTAAAAGTTGCATGTATAATCACAAGATTATGAATCTATATGCAATGTGCCAGGTAGTTATTTTTCTGGAAAAAAATAACCACTTTCTGTTTCAGAAAGTACTTTCATGTAATGTCATTTTAAATTCATGTTAAAGATCTAAAACTGTTTTTTGTGTTTGAAACTACTTCTCTTAATAATATAGTTTTTCCTAGGTCTGAGAGTAAAAGCATGAGAGGTGAATAGAATTTCTTCCTTAGAAAAATAACAATTAGGGATGCTTTAGCCAGGAGTTGCAGTTTATTTTTAAGTGAGTCTAGCATTATGTGAAATTTGGTTATTTACTTTAGGGTTCCTATGTAGTGAAAAAACTACTTGAAATAACCATGTATAGTGTTTAGAAGCATGACATAAAATATGAGGGCATGGTTCATGTAATCTGGTTGTTTTTTCTCTTACTAATTGGGCATGGGACAAATTAGTCTTTTTTTTTTTTTTTGGAATCCCCCTACTCTCCCAATATGGTTGGAATCTCCCTACTCTCCCAATCATATGCTGTAGTTTTAACCCCCAGTACTACACAATGTGACTTTAGAAACAGGGTTAGTAAAGATGTCAAAAGTTAAGATTAAGTGATTAGGTTGGGCCCTAATATGAATTCTGCCCTTATAAAAATGGGAAATTTGAATATAGACACACTATTGGAAAACATAACTTACAATATAATCTTCCAATTTGGAAAACCTCTTCACAAAGGCAGTAGAGAAAGGAAACAATTTTATTATTGAATAAGCATTTAGCCAGAATATGATGCATGTAACAGGTAATCTGCTAATATATTTCAAAGACAGAAATAAATCTTACCGTTTCACATATATGTTCTTTTTTTTCTTTTTTTTTTTTTTTTTTTGAGACAGCATCTCACTCTGTTGCCCCGGCTAGAGTATAGTGGCGTGATCTCGGCTCACTGCAACCTCCGCCTCCCGGGTTCAAGTGATTCTCCTGCTTCAGCCTCCTGAGTAGCTAGGACTACAGGCACGCACCATCACGCCCAGCTAATTTTTGTATTTATAGTAGAGATGGGGTTTCACCATATTGGCCAGGCTGGTCTTGAACTCCTGACCTCGTGATCCACCCACCTCAGCCTCTCAAAGTGCTGCGATTACAGGCGTGAGCCACTGTGCCCAGCTTCACATGTATGTTCTTAGGGTAAATAGTAATTAGTGCTCAAGAGAACTTGACAATACCATTTGTCATATATAATTAATTCTATTTTACCTGGTAATTGGGATAACCATCTCTGTTAACTAATTGGTTTTATCTGTGGAAAAAACAAATTTCTCATGTCTTTATGGCAGAAGGTAGTTTTGCATCCCGGAGCAAGGTACTCACTGAAGTTAAGCCCTTACCCTCTCACAGAAACTGGGAGATAGGGGTGCTATCTTCCTTTATATTTACATTTCAGAGGGATGGCTCTGATATCCTTAATAAAGATATTGCTGAGTCAGTAGAGCTGAGAAAATGCCTATATAGTTTTTAAAAGGATTTATATGCACTTCAAAGATAGGATAAATGAAAAGTTTTCTAAGGCCAGTGCTCTAAGAAACAGGAAGGGAGGGAAATCTCTTACTTTATTTCAACACGGAGAATAAATTTCTTATTTTAAATTTGTATTTTTCCTTACCACATCCAAACTGGAAGAACACCCTGTGAAGAGGAAGGCAGAGATTGGAATGATGCAGAAGAAGCCAACAAATCTAGGAGAGAGGCATGAATTTCCCCTTCATAGTCCTTGTAAGGAGCCAACCCTGCTGCACCTTTATCTCAAATGTCCAGCTTCCAGAACTGCAAGACAGTAAATTTCTGCTGTTTAAGACATTCAGTTTTTGGTACTTTGTTAAAGCAGCCATAGCAAACTAATATATCCTTTATATCTCCTTTTTCTGTTGGGGTGAGTGGCATTTGGGAAGGCATAAGAACTGTAAGAAAGATATGGTAGTGATATCTACTTCAAAGAGTTATTAAGAAAATTAAATATGTTAAGGCAGCGGTCTCCAACGTTTTTGGCACCAGGGACTGGTTTAGTGGAATAAAATTTCTCCACAGACTGGCATGGGGGGGTTGGTTTCCAAATGATTCAGTGCATTACACTTATTGTGCATTTTATTATTATTATTATACTGTAATATATAGTGAAATAATTATACAACTCACCATAATGTAGAATCGATGGGATCCCTGAGCTTGTTTTCATGCAACTAGACAGTCCCATCTGGGGATGATGGAAGACAGTGACAGCTCATCAGGTATTAGATTCTCATAAGGAGAGCACAACCTAGAGCTCTTGCATGTGCAGTTAACAAAACATTTTGAGTTCCTATAAGAATCCAATGCTGCCACTGATCTGACTGGAGGTGGAGGTCGGAAGGTAACGCAAGTGGAGTTCAGATGGTAATGCAAGCGGTGGGGAGCGGTTGTACAAGTGAAGCTTCCCTAGCTCAATCACTGCTCACCTCCTGCTGTGAGGCCTAGTTCCTAGTAAGCCACTGACCAGCACCAGTCTGTGGCTTGGGGGATGGGGACCCCTGAGTTAAGCACATAAAGTGCTTAGGAAAGTGCATGGAGCATAGTACTCAATGTGTCTTACTTGTTATTACCATTCTTTTTCCATTGAGCAAGCTACATGGTATTTTTGGATGTAAAAGCAGAGGATTAGACAAAATTCTCCCACATCCTTTCTTTCTCAGAAATTCAATTATTCTATTTTTTATATTTTAAGATTAGAAAGCTCTTTTGTTCATGTCACTACAAATCAATCCATAAAATTATATTACCTTCCATGCAATTCAACAAAGCACAGGAGAGGGAGAAATCAAATCTGGAGAAAAGATGAGTAAGTGAAGACTTCACAGACTATATCATGGCTGGAGTAAAATTTGGAGGTTGAATTTATCACCCAGGAAAGAGCAGAGATAACCATTCCAGGACTTGAAAGCACCAGGGCCAAAAAAAGACAGTTAACAAGATAGAATATCGGGACAGTTAACAAGATAGAATATTGCTTGTTGCTGCAAATGTTTCTGGAGCCTAAAATTATAGGGCAAGCAAAAGGAGATATAGATAACAGAAAATATCTGGGCCAGATTTTGCCAGAACAAAGGGATACTGTTGAGTTAGAGATGGAAGCTTCAAAGAACAGAGAAAACTGCAATAGGTTATATAATTTTGAATTCTAAAGATCTCTAACATGTAATGAGAGTTTACCATATGCCAGGCCCGATTCTAAGTACTTTTACATGTATTAACAAATTTAATACTCATGACAACACTGTTACATGAATATTATTTTAGCTTCACTTTACAAGAATAGAAACCCTGGCACCTAGAGCTCCAGGAAGATGTGAAAGATCATATAAACTAGTAACAAAGCTATAGTTTGATACAGTTTTGATATAGTTTTATAGTTGGATATAGTTTGGGTTCCAAAAAGTAAACGTGTTCACATCCATTATGCTACAGCAAAGGTTATCAGGTGCTAAATGCAGACTAGGTGGGGGGAAGTATATCAGAGCAGACACTAATTATCATGTAGAAATCCTATACTGTGTGTTTTTCCTTTAGCTGTTCAAATACCACATTTGTTTTGCAAATTTTTTTTCCCAATACCCTCACCAGAAATAATCTCCCCTCTTGTATATTCATTTACTACCCTTTTTGGTAAATAGTATGTAATTTATAACATTTTTGAAATTTGTACCAAGGTGGACTTCACTGCCTTAGCTTTTTTACATGGGTTAACACTTTAACATTGAGACCTGTATATGAACAGTGTTTTGTAAATAAGAAGTGCAAAATAAGCATCTAATGAATAATTAGACAGAAAGAAAAGAACGTAAGACAACAGTGATATATTTTTGGAAGTCAGTAGTCAACCAAAGAGATGATAACTGAGTAACCTGTAGCACTTTCTGAATAAGCAAAGAAAGGTGGAAAGTAAACTGGTTTCCAGAAAATATTTTCTAAAGATTTAGACACTGGTAGCCTTGGGTTTTGGAATTAAGGAAGGGTGGCTACAATAGGCAGGGAAGATGAGGTCCAGTAACTTAGACCTGAAATCTTACTGTCTGTATTAGTCTGTTCTCATATTGCTACAAAGAAATACCTGCGATTGGGTAATTTATAAAGGAAAGGGGTTTAGTTGACTCACAGTTCCCCAGGCTCTACGGAAAGCAGCCTGGCCATCTGTTCAGCTTCTGGAAAGGCCTCAGGAGTCTTACAAACATGGAGGAAGGCGAAGGGGAAGCAGACTTGTCTTACATAGTAAGACAAGTAGGAGGAAGACGGGGAAGGTGCTACACAATTTTAAAACAGCACTGAGGGGATGATGTTAACCCATTCATGAGACTTCTGCCCCCGTGATCCAATCACCTCCCACCAGGCCCCACCTCCAACACTGGGGATGAAAACTCAACATGAGATTTGGTAGGAACACACATCCAAACCATATTCCTATCCTTTCCTAGAAATCTAAATGTCTCCTTTTGCTGGAAACCATGTGTTGACATTTCCTTAGCACATTTTTGGGTACCACATTGTTTAGCTTCATCCCAGGTTAACATTCCACTCTAAGCACTTAAGGTGTGTAAAGTCCTTGCTCTAATTTCTCCTTGGTACACTGTCCTGTATTCCCTCACTTGGTCTTCCCTAGTACAATCGTTCCTGTTATCTGGCTGTTCTACAGAACTTGCCCTGAATTGTAAAAACAAATTTTGTGTGTGAGATGATACTGACCAAATTTGCTTCATATGAAAAAAAACAGTTCAAGATGTTTATGTAACATGGGATTTCCACACACTGATCTTCCCCCTATTTTATAATTAAATTTTAATGATATAAACTAGAAGTTGTTGAGAAAATCCATTGAGTGACTCTTTCCCAATTAAACAAAATAGCCCATCAGATCTGCATCTTCAATGGTCAAATAAAACATATTCCTTCTTGAGAAAATCCATTGAGTGGCTCTTTCCAATTAAATGAAATAGTCTATCAGATCTGCATCCTCAAAGGTCAAATGAAACCTATCCCTGAACGAGGGGGTTTATTCTTTAGCTATACGTAAAGGAATTTCCTGGTGTTCACACATTTCTTTTCTATGTTCTATTTTTGAAGGCTTTTTTTTCTTGGCTCTTATTTGTTTTACTTGAAAAATTAATGAGAATGAAATTGAAAAAAATATATATTTGAATTTAACCATTATTTTAATTTAAAACTTTTCAATATCAAAATAAACTTATACAAAGGAAAGGTGTATAATTAATATTTTTAAATAATTTATATGCTAGCTGCTTGATGATTATTATCTAGTAAATTAGCCTCTCTATAAGGTACTTTGCATCTCTATTTACAGGTAAGGAAGCTGAGAGTGATAGGGTTTAAGTTGTGTATTCTGTTCAAAGCCATACAAGTAAGTGGCATGGGTATATTTTGGACTCAATTTTGTCTGACTTCAAAGCTAAGGTTTTTTTTTTTTAAATAATATGCCACCTTGCTTTTTGTTTTCATGAAGAGCAATGACCAGTGTTCACATATACTGTTGTAAAAGGGAATTAGATGACTATTGTATCCAGAAGAATTTTAAGTTATTGAAAATGTCATGAAGTTAGAAGATCTGGTTTTATATAATTTCCTTCTCCATTACCAACATTGGTGTGACTTTGAACAATACATTTTGTTATAAAATAAAAATGGTATTAATACGTGCCATCTTGATGTAAAAATTTAATAATGGGATGTATTTTAATGAATGTAACTAAAATAGTTTTCATGAATAATAATATTACACTTTAGCCACTGATCGATCCATTTTTTCAGGAATAGATGATGATCAAGAGGTAACTCATAAACGATAAAGCATTGTGTCTTCTACACATAAGAATAATTTTAAATGAGCTTCTGTTGCACTGGCAGAGGAAGCCTAACTGGAAAAATCATTTTCACAGCAAAATGGGAAGGAAGTCAATGAAGAGGGTTGGATATTTTGGTCATGTTCAATGTAATGTTTAAAACTATCAGAGACCGATAAAGATAATGTCTTGTTTCAAGTGTATTTTTTTTTGTTTTAACTAATGCTTTGTACCACAGGGAGCCACTCAGGTTTTATTGATAATTGATAGTATTTTTCAAACAAGCTCACTGTCATTTTATCATGCCAGCCCTTAGGCCTTCTGAGTTTGGCTTAAGCTTTTGGGTTTTCATTCCAGCACACAAAATAGTATGTGCTGGCACAGGCTTCCAATAGCTACTTCTACTCTGGGGTCACCAATACAATCTTTAAACTTTATCTTTAATTACATTTAGACATAATTGACGCTTTTATTTGTAATGCAAAATATCTCCTTCAATAAAAAAATGAAAAGGAAACAAAAATCATGAAAATGGGATTAGAAAAATATCTTTATGTGGTTTGCCCTTTATTGGTATAAAACAAAACATAGTAGTATAGAAAAAATGACACTGGCAGAAACCATGCCTTTCTGAGACACTTACTTTTATATTAACTCATTTATGTTCATTTATGTTAATAGTGAGTTATAAAGAATTAGAAGACATTTCTGGGGAATATAATTTCTTCCTTATTTTCTGACATATTTTTAAATCAGCATTAGGCCAGATTCAGAATAACTTGTTGGAAAAATGAGACTGGGAGATTGGAAGTAATTATCTCCAATGTCCCTTTTTGACTAGTTTGGGAAGTCTGGTCAAAATAAGAAATTCTATCATATTGTTTTTAACTAACTCTAGAAACAATAGCATTTCCTGACATAGACATTCTGATATTCTTTCAATCTAAAATTAATAGGTGAATTCAATTAACTTAGTTTTTTGTGATTACAGTACAATGAAGTTCAAAATTCTGCATAGATTTGGTGTGTTAACTATCACTGTAATGATTCCGAATCGAGATATTTTGGGGCAGAGTGAGACACCTGCCAACAGCTCCTATTTCTGCCTCATTGCATCTCTTGGGTTTTATCCACATATCATAGTTGTGACTTTTGTATAATATCATAGAGCTTCTGTTTGCTAGAGTCCACTGGCACTATGATATATGAAAACATTTTTTTAGAAGTTAATAGAAGTAATCATCTGTGAGAGCCATCAAGATCCAAATTTTGAATATTTTAAACTCTCATCTCGTATCTTGTTTTGTTACAAAATTTTTTTTTCGACATGTGCAGTTCTTATTAGATGACTTGATAATGTGATTTTTAGTTTAATCATTTAAGAAATTTAATCAGTTTATGAAATTTTCACAGCTCAGGAAGCGGCTGCCATTTAAATTCAATTTATTTATTCATTAATAATATGGTTAATACCATTTTACCATTAATCAATATTGCTTATTTTCTATGTACAATATGCCATGCATTGAATCAGATATTGTATGTGCATTGCTTTTAATTCTTATGTCTGTACCTTGAGATGATTATTACCATACTCTCTTACTCATGTCACATATTAGATAACCAAGGCTGAGTGAGGGACAGAAACTTACATACTTAATTAATTTTCTGAGGATCAGGTAGGTATATATGAACTTGGGGATACATTCAGTGCTTAAGTTATGCTACAACATACAGGACAAGAAATCATGCCAGTATTCAAAGGTCTGAAGCTTTTGTTTTACTGTTCTGAAGGAGCAGCTAAGATGTTTGAATCTTTACTTTTGTTACCCGCAAATATCTATGTTGTCTACTTTAAAACGTGTGTTAGTTTCCTTTCAGTTCAAGTAACAGAAATCCAGCTCATTCTAATTAAGGAAGAAAGAAAATAAATAAGCTCCAGTTTCATGTGAAGAATCTTGGGACTGTTCAGATAATTGAAGGAAGAGCTGTAGAAACCCAGGAAAATGTGGGGCCAGGAAGCTATTGATAAGCAAGAGGTAGGCTTAGACCAACACACACGAGTCAGTAGTTAAGGGTCTTCTCTGTGAATTCAGGATACTTTCCAAACTCAGATGTAACTCCTGCCTCAAAAATCTCTTTTTTCTTGTATAATTAAATGGATTCAATGATAAGAAGTAGTAAAAAGGAAGCCACACAAAATATATACGTAACATGGTACATTATGATTGTATCTCAAAAAAATAAATGAGCTCTCCACTCTGGCAAAATATCAAGTCACCTCCAAAGGGAAAGACTTCAAATTAGCTTCAGACTTCTATACAACAACTGTCACATACTAGAATATGATTACCACCATATCTAAAAAAATGTTCAGAGAAAGAAAGTGTGGTATATTTAATAAAAGATAAGAATAGGCCAGGTGTGGTGGCTCACGCCTGTAATCCCAGCACTTCGAGAGGCTGAGGTGAGCAGACCACTTTGAGCTCAGGAGTTCGAGACCAGCCTTGGCAACATGGCGAAACCCCGTCTCTACTAAAAATACAAAAATTAACTAGGCTTAATGCTAAGCACATGCCTGTAATCCCAGCTACTTGGGAGGCTAAGGCTGGAGAATCTCTTGAACCCAGGAGGTGGAGGTTGCAGTGAGCTGAGATCGCACCACTGCACACCGCACTCCAGCCTGGGTCAGAGAGCAAGACTCTGTCTCAAAAAAAAAGAAAGAAGAAAGAAAAAGATAAATGCAAAACTTATTAAAAACAGACATTCTAATACAAACCAAATCATCAGAATTTAGATGAAATACTTTATATCAGATAGGCAATGTTTTCCCCATTTTTTGTTTTTGTCAGGTTTGTTGAAGATCAGATGGTTGTAGGTGTGTGGTTGTATTTCTGGGTTCTCTGTTCTGTTCTGTTGGTCTATGTATCTGTTCTTGTATGAGTACCATGCTGTTTTGGTTACTGTAGCCCTGTAGTATAGTTTGAAGTCGGGTAACATGATGCTTCCAGTTTTGTTCTTTTTGTTTAGAATTGCCTTGGATATTTGGTCTCTTTTGAGGTTTCATGTGAATTTTAAAATTGTTTTTCTAATTCTTCAAAGAATGTCAATGGTAATTTAATGAAATAACATTTAATCTATAAATTGCTTTGGGCAGTATGGTCATTTTTCACAATATTGGTTCTTCTTATCTGTGAGTATGGAATATTTTTCCCTTTGTCTGTGTCCTCTCTGATTTCTTCGAACAGTGGATTGTAGTTCTTCTCAAAGAGGTCCTTCACTTCCCTTGTTTGCTGTATTTCTATGTATTTTATTCCTTTTGTGGCAATTGTGAATAGGAGTTTATTTGTGATTTGGATCTCAGCTTGCCTGTTGTTGGTGTATACGAATGCTAGTTATTTTTGCACATTGATTTTGTATCCTGAGACTTTGCTGAAGTTGCTTATCAGCTTAAGAAGCTTTTGGACTGATGTGATGGATTTTCTTGATGTAGGATCATGTCATCTGCAAACAAAGGTAGTTGACTTCCTGTCTTCCTATTTGAATACCCCTTATTTCTTTCTCTTGCCTAATTTCCCTGGCCAGAAAGTTCTAATATTATGTTGAATAGGAGTGGTGAGACAGGTCAACCTTGTCTTTTGCTAGTTTTCAAGGGAAATGCTTTCAGCTTTTGCCCATTCAGTATGATATTGGTTGTGGGTTTGTCATAGATGGCTCTTATTATTTTGAGGTACGTTGCCTCAATACCTTGTTTATTGTGACTGTTTAACATGAAAGATTGTTGAATTTTATCGAAGGCCTTTTCTGCATTTATTGAAATAGTCATGTGGTTTTTGTCTTTAGTCCTGTTTATGTAATGAATCACATTTATTGATTTGTATATGTTGAACCAACCTTGCATCCAGGGGATGAAGCCTACTTGATCGTGATGGATAAGCTTTTTGATATGCTGCTGGATTTTGTTTGACAGTATTTTTGTTGAGGATTTTTGCATTGACGTTCATCAAGGATATTGGCCTGAAATTTTCTTTTTTGTTGCATCTCTGCCAGGTTTTGGTATCAGGATGATGCTGGCATTATAGAATGAGTGAGGGAGTAGTCTCTCCTTTTCAATTTTTTGGAAAAGTTTCAGGAGAAATGGTGCTAGCTGTTCTTTGTACCTCTGGTAGTATTCAGCTGTGAATCCGTCTGGTCGTGGGCTTTCTTTGGTTGGTAGGGTATTTATTACTGCCTCAATTTTTGAACTCATTATTGGTCTATTCAAGGACTCAATTTCTTCCTGGTCCAGTTGTGGGAGGGTACATATGTTCAGGAATGCCATAGGACCATAAGGCATCTTTTCCCACTACTATCACCACCAAAGGGACTGCTAGATTGTATAACTCAAGCAATAAAGCTGTTTGTAACACAGTCTGAATTTGTTGCACAGTCCTATCCTCTGGGACTGACTCAAAGTAGCCCAATACATGGTCATGCTTAATATGTATAAATATAAAATCTGTTAACTTCGGAAGTCAAAGACTGTTGTGCTTCCCTAATCGTGGTAGGGAATGAATGACGCAGAAACTTTTACTTTGGCATGAACCTGATGATTGAACCTCTAAAACATTCACAGAAGTGGTAGGTCTTGAGCATTCATAAAATTTACCTTGTACCCTCTAGTGTGTGTTTGTCTTTTAAACTTGCAACATCCTAGATGCCTCTTCCTCATTTTATCGTTGAGTGTGATATCACTGATGCAACGAGTCAGCGTGATGTTTCCTTGAATGCTCAGATTGTCTAGGTCTCTTCATAGTGTATTATGACTACAGGGCAGGAGACTTAAGAAGCCCTAAGACAAATCTGTAAATGAATATTGTTTGCTGACATATTAAATACAAAGTTTTTCAGACCCTGTCTTCTAATTGGAATGGAAAAGAATGCATTCACTAAATCAGTGGCCACATACCATTTATCTAAAGTCAAATTAATCTGTTCTAGTGATGATACTACATTGGCAAAGCAGCTATAATAGGGGCTACTGTGTGGTGGAATCTGAGATACTCTACAACCATTTTTTAGGATCCATTCAGTCTGTTCAACGGTCAGGCTTTTTCTCTACCATTTTCCAGGGCAACTCGAATATTCAAGGTTTTCTGAATGTTGCCTATCACTTTTTCTGTGTTTCTAAGAGTCATTCCATCAGTGAGTTAGGCCCATCCCCTGATATCCTTGCTGGGCTGTTAAATTCCATGTCCTAAGAAAATACCCCAATCATGAACCCTTATCCAATCTGATATTCCAAACAGCTTGATCAAGCACTCTAAAAATTTACTCCTAGAAATACTTCCTTGGGTCCTGCGGCTACAAGCCACTTAATTCTTACAATTATTGTTGGTATATAGGCTATTTCCCTTCTTATCAGTCCCAGAATACCTCCAGCCACTTTCTGCTGTTTTTTTGTTTTGTTTTGTTTTGTTTTGTTTTGTTTTGTTTAGGTGGAGTCTTGCTCTGTTGCTCAGGCTGGAGTGCAGTGGCACGATCTCGGCGCATTGCAAGCTCCGCCTCCCGGGTTCACGCCGTTCTCCTGCCTCAGCCTCCTGAGTAGCTAGGACTACAGGCGCCTGCCACCACACACGGTTAATTTTTTCTATTAGTAGAGGTGGGGTTTCACCGTGTTAGTCAGGATGGTCTCAATCTCCTGACCTCGTGACCCGCCCTCCTCGGCCTCCCAAAGTGCTGGGATTACAGGCCTGAGCCACTGCGCCCAGCCTTCTCCTGGTATTTAATTATTGTTATTGGTCTGACAGCTAACAAAGAAGGTAGAGGCAGCTTCTGAGGGGCCACCTGCAGCATTCTAGGAGAGAGGCCTCTGTAGTGTCTTCCAGAAGTGTGGAAATGCTACATCTTACTAGGGTAGAGGTGCTAGCTCTGCAAACCTCAAGAGTTTGAGACGTAACACTGCAGAGTCAACATCTAAAGGGAAATCCATGCAGATGACCTCTTCTCATGTGCAGGGTCCTGGGGTTTCTTCACCAGAGTCCCAACCTTTGTATAACAGGCCTGCCTTCTTTGAGCATTTAAATGTGTGGAGCTCTGGAATGCTAACAAATAGATCATTGGCCTGTGTGTCAACTGAGTTTGCCCTTCTAACTGAGGAGATAAAGGCCTCTATAAAAGCTACAACAGAGACCTTCTGGCTGTTGGCTGGAGAGAACGCTTCATCAGTTTTGACACCTATAGGAGTGGAATGGTGGTTCCACAAGAATTGCAGAAGGCGCTGACGACAATGGGATTTAGGTTGAGTCCCAAGACCGCGAATTCAATTGGAAAATGATACACCACCAATGGAAAGATCACCATCGATGAATACATCACCTGCTGTGTCAAACTTAGGGCTCTGACAGATAGCTTTCGAAGATGGCATACTGCTCAGCAAGGCATTGTGAATTTCCCATGTGATGATTTCATTCAATGGGTCATGAGTGTTTAATTGAAGAGTAAGCTGCATGAAAGTAATTGATATTCCAACTGGAACTCTCCTTTGCCCTTCCTCTTGGCCTTCAGCAATGTTTGTAAATTTGCATCACCACTTTCCCTCAACAGCTGTTGTAAAGGTTTGTTACTTTATGTACAACTGGAGTTTTGTTTTTAGTTTTGATAATAAATTCTTTGGAACTTTAATAAAAAATATATTCACTCCTAGAAATACTTCCTTGAGTCCTGATGGTACATGCCACTTAATTCTTAATTAGTGGCTCCCACTCAGCCCCTAATTACATGTTATAGTTTATTGGCCCTGTGGGTCGGTCCAAAATCCCCATCTAACTGCTTGTTTTCTCTGACATCTTTGGGTACACATGAACATGATAGTTTAAGTCTTCTGAAGAGTAGACAAGATAACATCAAACAAGGAAGTGATTTATTAAGGGAAATGACCATGAAAGAGTATGGGAAGTGAGACAAGGGAGGCTGGTAGAGCCATCAGACTGTCATGTGTGTCTGATCCTTAGGAAGAAGAGAAGGAAGGAAAAAACTGTTTGGGGGATGAGTCTTAAATTTCAGCACAGTTCTAAGGAAATTCAGCAAGGCCCATGGGGAGTCTAAGTGAAAATCATACTATCTGGGTCACACTCATTATTAGCTGGGAGCAGCCCACAAGATGCTTGGCACAGGAGTAAATGATGGATGTGGGAATGTGGCAACTGTGGCCATGCGTTAATTACAATCCTAATGTCAAAGATTTCAGAGACACATTTTCAAGACTGGAACAGTATCGGCATGTGTTTATATCTACACAGATACATACATCCTCCCATATAAATAACTACAGAGCAATTTCACTTATGAAAATTTCTTTAATAAAATATGGGCTGGGCACGGTGGCTTAAGGGTGTAATCCTAGCACTTTGGGAGGCTGCGGCAGGTGGATCACTTGAGCCCAGGAATTTGAGACCCTGTCGCTACTAAAAATACAAAAATTAGCCGGGCATGGTGACAGTGTGCGCCTGTTGTCCCAGCTATTTGGGGGGCTGAGGCAGGAGGATCACCACCTGAGCCTCTGGATGTCAAGGCTGCAGTGAGCCGTGATCATGCCACTGCACTCCAGCTTGGGTGACAGAGTAATACCCTGTCTCAAAAACAAAACAAAACAGAACTATTCACTCATGTACTCATGTTACTACGGTATACCAAAATATACCGTACAATAATACTATATAATATTATGATACACAACATTAGTAATTCTTGTTTAAACAGGCATGTAATCATGTTTTAATAACAGAAAATCTGTTAGTCATGATATTAAATAAAATTAAAAAATCATATGATTGCCAGAAATGCTAAACTTACATTTGGTAAATATTTTTTAGCTATTTTAGATACATACAGATTTTAAAGCTATTTTAGATTTAAAAATCCTTAGTAAACAGGAATATATGGATAGCTTTTTAATGTGATTACACATATATTTAGCATTAGGTCTTGTAATAAAATACCAGCATTTCATAATCAAGATGAGCAAACATGTTTAATTAAATTTTAGTTTAATTAATTAATTTAAAATTGTTCTAGATTTACTAGTGCTACAAGTTATGAAAAAAATAATAAAATATGAAAGTAAATGAAGGAGAAAATAAAAATTTATCATTGCAGATGACATAATCATACAACTCAAGACAATGAAATGGAATACTATTATTGCTAATAGGAACATTCAGTAATGTAGCTGCATCCATTATTTATATGTAAAAGTATTTCTCTTCCAATATACCAAAAATTTCAATGAGAAAATTAAATTAAAGAACACAACTCATTTGCATTAGGCATATAATGTGTAAAATACTTAGAAATAAACTTAACACAAACTGTGGAAGATCCATGTGAGAAAACAAATTATAAAGCTATGTAGGGTTGTAGAAGAGGGCTTTAAATAATAGAAAGACATAATTTACTATGAAATTGGGCAGCTAAATATAAATATGTCACTTCTCTCAAAATAATATATTATTTTAACTGCATACCCTCCAGATACTGTCTTATTTTTGTCAGATTATCTCACTTTTAAAGTCTTATTAAAAGAGAACAACTGTGTATATAACCAATGAATTTCTGAAAATGGAGAGTAATGCAGATAATATATAATAGGCATTATAGCTTGTCTGAGAGAGTAGTATAACTCCCAGTGACAAAACTGACCCCTGTTCCATTCCTACAATTATTAAGTTCGGCCAAGCTGAGTTATCTCAAGACATTGAGGGTGATACATAAAGAGCTGTTTCCACTTGAAGTATATTGTGTGCTTTATCCTAGAATTCTTTCCATCTACGCATTCTTCATTCAGCAATTGTTTATTATATTCCTATTCTATGTCAGGCTCAGCTCTTAAACCTGGGAATATAAAACAATTGCTCTATATCTCCAGGATTCACCTCATGCCATGCACATTCTAGTTGGAGTCATGCAGTGCACTGTGTAAGTGTAAGGTTAGGTTAAGATGTACCCCAGCCCAGTGGGAGTGGTCTCTAGGAAGTGTCCAGGCAGGACTACAGTGCTATCATGTCATTCTTTTAAGTCTGCACCTAGAAAGAGGACAGTTGAGCTTGCCGTGAAGTTCTGACTTGGCTCTCCCTGTCTCATATTTATGATCTACCACTGTGTGTCTGTTCTGGAGACCGAGAAGTTAATGCTTCATCTATTTCTTGAGAATGTTTCTAATTTCTCTAGTCTCAAAATTGCTGAGCTGATATCTTTATCTTTGGTAAAACTTGTTTGATATGCCCATGTATCTCATTTCTCTTTTGAACTTGACTCACTATCATCATTTGTCAATTAAATGATTTAGGTAGGAAACTATTCTTAATACATGTTAAAATAAATTATAAAGTTGTAATACCTAAAATGCTATAATGCTGATATTGTTGGTCTGTGTCCCCACCCAAATCTCATCTTGAATTCTAGCTCCCATAATTCCCACGTGTTGTGGGAGGGACCTGGTGGGAGATAATTAAATCATAGGGGTGGTTTCCCTTGCATTGTTCTTGTGGTATTGAATGAGTCTCAGGAGATCTGATGGTTTTATGAGAAAAACCCCTTTCACTTGGCTCTCATTCTCTCTTGCCTGCTGCCATGTAAGACGTGACTTTTGCCTTTTGCCATGATTGTGAAGCCTCCCCAGACACGTGGAACTGTGAGTCCATTAAATCTTTTTTTCTTTATAAATTATTCAGTCTCAGGTGTGTCTTTATCAGCAGCATGAGAACAGACTAACACAACTGCTGATTCAAAAATTAAAAATCACATCAAAGAAACACAATAGAGTTTAAAATCTATTTACATAAATATAAGAATTAGTATGTAATACAAGTGGCATTGATTATAGTGGGTCATTTAATTAGAGTTACTGAACAAAATAAAAATAGCACACAGGAAAACAAAACAAAATTTGGTTTTCATGTTAATTATTAGCCTAACAGGTTTTCAATGAGCCAAATATCTTAATATAAAATAAGAATCATTTTTTAAAAGAAATCATGAGAAGAAAACATGGGAGACTTTATTTGCACTTATTTTTAAGCATTTCACAAAATTCTCATGCAACACTAGAGATCATTGTTGAACTCAATTGAACCATAAAATGTCTCCATAGAAAATATGTTCTTAAATAAAATCAAAATACAAACAAAAGTAAAGAATCAAAATATTCGCAACCCATATCATAGAAAAGATACTAAAAAAAAAGGATACCATGACTGTTATTTCGTTTTCCTTACTCTCTTTTTATTTTTACATCTAATGGTTGCCCTTTAGAGAGTTTAAGTATATTTTACTACTATATTTACTTTGATACTTTAAAAAATGACATACTGGTATAAAATGAATATTTGCTCCTTCCTTTTAAGTAATTAATTTAATGACAGTAAATTCAACTTTGGTTAATGTGATGTAAGCCTTTAAATTTTTATAGAAGTTTAGTTTAAAAGGCTAAGTAAAAAGTCACTATTGCATATTTAAAGTAATAATCTATCAGTAATACAATAATATGTGAATCTACACAATATGTAGTCATTCTCAGGAGGAGATAAATCTTTAGTGAGAAACATTATGCAAAGTTATGATATATTTAAATGTCAATTTTGTATCCAAAATATGTTTAGATAATTTTGAAAATTGAGAGATTGTACACTATGTATTTCACTCTCCTTTTCTTCCAGTCAATACTGAATCAAAATGTTCTTTTTTTACATCACCTGAATATTTTATACATTTGTGATTTTATGTCAAAATTCCAAGGTAAGAAGAAAAACTGGGAAATTATGCAGCAATAAGTAAAGGAATATTTAATTATAACCAAAATAATATACCCATTTTTCCAACCTGAAAACAAAGTTACTGGTATTGTTGGCATGCCAAAACCAACGTGTTCTGGCCAGATACAATACATTTTGATTAGGTAAGATTATGAGAGCTTCTAAGACTTTCTTACATCTCCCTTCTTAGATAACTATATTGTCACTGCTAGGAAATGACTTTTGATATATCTGAATGCCTGGCTATTGCTTTATTTTTGTCACAAATTGCATTGCATTGTTTTTTTTTTGTCAGAAATTTTTATTTATTTAAAGAAATAACATTGGTTATTGATTAGACATATATCTTTCTGGTTTAGGGTATGAGATACAGTGTCCAATGCAGTATCATTAGTTTAATATATATCCACTTGTGGCAATAGTGAACAGTTTCAAGAGATGAATACATAATTTAAAGGGGAAGAATGACATAACTGCACTTTCATTTCAATGTCTGAGTTTGATAACCAAAAGGACTTGCATTTTTTAGACTAAAATTTTCTATTTCCCAAATCATAGATATATCTAACATGTCCCCAAATAGTTAATGGTATTACAATGCAGAAAAATGCATGAATTAATTTTAAAAATAGAGATTCTACCTTCTTTTTCTGTAACTCAGAAAAATAGGTTCAACTCATTTTAGTTATCTTGTTATAAAGAAAGCATGTTGACGTATTCTGAGTGTCGACATGTTTTTGCTGAAAGACTCTGTACAATGTATATAATAGGTTTAATTAGTAATTTTCTTACCTGTGTCAACTGAGCTTTCAGGCTGATCTTTCAAAAATGTTAAGCAGATCATGTTTTACTTGTGTTTAAAACTTCCAACTCTTGTTCAGACAAAATTTCAATTATTTAACCTGACTTAAAAAGCTCTTACTATGTGACTTCTCCTTACCTCTCCAGTCTTAGCAGTTAACACTTTCTCTATTTTACCCTCTCAACTCCTAACTTCTTAAACTCTAATTATATTGGTCTTTGTATTTTAAATTCTTTAACTGGTCATAGATTATTTCACCTTAGGACACTCACAATCTTTTTTTTTGAGAAAAATGTCTAAAATAAGCCCTACTCTTGATTTTTGATAAGTAACCTTATGATTGTCTCTTTGGTCACACAGATTTGAAAACTTTAAGTCTTCCAGTTCTCTGCCTTCCTTGCAAATTCCCAATCCCATCCCACTCTAACTGCTTTCTCTTAATCATCTTTTTACCTTTGTCACCACTATTCTCACCCAGTCCAGGGGCACGACTTCCTCAATTATTTGAACAGCCTTCTACCTAGAATCCTTGCCTTGGAGACTCTCCCATTCCTTTCCATCCTACATGCCCAGTAAGATTATTTTTCTCCCACTTCACTACTTTGACTATTTTAATCACTTGCTCAAAAGTCTTTAAGATTCCACAGAACACTTTGAATTAAAACTAAATATTCTTTTTAAAAACATTCTTAAACTCCCTATCTCCCACTACTTCCTTAAACAAATTGTTCTACATCTGACCATTCCCTCAATTATTCTTTTTTACTTTTACTCATACCATACACAACTCCAAGAATACCTACCTTCCTCTACCCCTCACATCCTTAATTATAGTCCTTTCCATTTCAGATACTGCAAGTTCAGACATTATGCTGCTACACTGAAAACCGTGAGTGATGTCTAATCACAATCTGTGATAGGTATTTGCTTTAAGGTGCATCTAATAACATGACAGTGATTTTCATCTCATATAACCTTCATTAACTCTGGTTCCCTGCTAAGATAAAGCCTTCCCTATAAGCCAACTGAGAATACTGTAGTCAGAATTTACAGGTACTTCCCATTGTGGTTGTTCACCTTATTTGTGCCAGTTTTTCTTCTTCTTTATTCATACCTTTTGCCATGTGAATTTGCATTTCTTCTGGGTTGGAGTCAAGTATATATTTATCCTTTTTACCTTTGACTCTGAGGCTGGCCAAAGGAATAAGGTGGATGTGACAAGGTACAATTTCTGAGCCTAGCCCTTAGAGGCCTTCCATGTTTCCACTTGTTCTCTTGCACTTGCGACGTTGCTGTCAAAAGAACATGCAATGGCTAGCTAGCAGCCTGTGCACCTGCAGTGAGAACCAGAGCCACCCAGTTGCTGCAGCCTGAGACCAAGCTGCTCAGCTAAGCATAGCTTAGATCACCATTGAGTTCTGAGGTGGTTTGTCATACAGCAATGGCAATCAGATATATCCACACAAATATAATTTTAGTTTATATTTTTGTTACTGCAGTTCTCATCTTATTCTGAGGATACGTGACAAAATAATTCTTTCAAAAATATTGATGCTGTGCCAGATTACTATTTTGAATGAATTATTAGACAAATACTTCATATGTATCTTATTATGTGGGTTTACACATTATTTATCTTATTGATTTAACTTCAAAACTAAACTTTAGTTTAGCTCTTGGGCCCTATCTGGGAAAGGGTCATCTTTTAATCACCATTAAATCACTGAAGTCATCAGTTTATTCAAAGTACTCTGCACAAAATTAGCATTCTTTAGTGGTTGTGAAATAAATAGACTTTAAACTTATCATTAATATTCCCAATGGTACTATGGGGGAGGCAAAATTTTCTATCTTCTTAGTGGTTTTTTTTTTTTTGGCTAGGGCTAAGGATTAAACTGTCATATGACAGATTAACAAGAGGAAAGCATACAAATTTATTTAATACATGTTTTATGTGGCACAGGAGCCCTCATAAAGTAATAAAAAATCCCCAAACACAGTTAGAGCTGAACATTTATATACTAATCTGGACAAAACATTTATATACTGCGTGGACAAAGAGCAGTAAATTGTGAAAATGGAACAAGGCAAGGGGGCTTAGACTACAGTAGTTAATCATCAAGAAGTGACAAAAAAAAATAAGGGTTAGTTAATAAGATTTGTTTAAGCAGATTTCTCCCAGCTTTAGCTCTCTGTCTCTGGTGATCAGAATGCACTCCTTCCTTCAGACTCAGTGAGCACATATTCCACACGGAAGATTTCTTCCCTAGCTTTTAGGAAATCCAGAGAACCCTTTTTGTATCTGTTGTTTTTTTTTTTTTTTAAATGTCTTGTCTTTAACTCAAAACAATTTATGTGCCAGGATGACATATCTTTGGATAATGTGTTCTGAACTCCTTCAGTACATACGTATATAAATTAAAGCAAATATTTTTTATGATAAGCTGGCATAATAGTTTCATAATTTAATCACTGATTTAAAAATTTAATTAAAATTATTTTTTAATATTTTGTGTAATAATTTTTGAGGAGTATCTTTTGTGCTTAATGAGTGGCAGATGACACCCATGTTCTTAGCAGCATCATTCACAATAGCTAAAAGATAGGAACAACTGCGTATTGATGGATGAATGGATAAGCAAAATGAGGTATATACATATAAGGGAATATTCTTCATCCTTAAAAAGGAAGGAAATTCTGACATATGCTACAACAAGGTTGAACCTCTAAGGACATTATGCTAAATGAAATAAACCAGTCTCAAAAAGACAAATACTATGTGATTCCAGATACATAAGGCACCTAGAGACAAACTGATAGAGACAGAAAGTAGAATGAGTGATTACCAGGGGTTGTGAGAGGAAAAAAGAGAGGGTTGTTTGATACAGAGTTTCAGTTTTGCAAGATAAAAGAGGTAGACAGAGATAGATGGTAGTGAATGTTGCACAAGAATTCAAATGTGCTTAATGCCACTAAGTTGTGTAGTGAAAAATGATTGAAATGGAAAAATTTTATATTATATGTATCTTACCATACTAAAAATTGTAGAAAAGGCATGGATGCAATACATTTCACTAGCTCTTTCTAATGTGTAAATCATAGAATATGAAAAGGTTTTATTAGATATTTGAAACTTGACATAAGTCTTATGGCATTGTTACTATTTGTTAAAGAGTTTACGTGGTGGATGAGTAAAAAGAAGCCATATATTTCTTTACAGTGACATTACCTGTGTATGGTTTAGATGGTGGTCTATGGTTGGCATACAACTAAGTGTGTTGATCACTAAATAAGCATTTTAGCAGGATGATTAAGACACAGATACAGTAGTCAGGGTGCAGGGATTCTGATCCCAATTCGAATATGTATCAGCTGCAAGAACTTGAGGAAATTATTTACTCTCAGTTTCCTCATCTGTGCATGAATCAATATATACAAAGTGCTCAGAATACGGCCTGGCACATTGCCAACATTACAATGTTAGCTTTCACTATTCTACTGAGAAATCTTGAGATGAAAATCTAAATTCTGTCACCTTTCAGGAAAGCCTGGCAATAAGAATATTTTAGTAAACATGACCTAATACTAACTTTACACTCTCAGGAAGATGTGGATTCTAAGAAAACAGATATTTTGCAGGAGATAGGCAGAATCTCCCTTTCTTTGACTTAATTGAATGCTGTACCTAGGTAACTGGTTCTTCTAAGTGCTTATTCAGTCAAGCCTGTGGAAAGTAAAGGTACAAGAATTTATAGCTCAGGGCTTCTTTGTTTCTATATTGAATGTACACATATACGTGAGTAAAGGGGAATAGAACCTATTATTACCATGGTAGAGGTATTTTGGCCTCTTTCTTTTTAAGTGCACTTCCAGTAGGCATCTCTCCTCCCTGTTCATTTAAATAATCAGCAATTGGTGCAGCCTTAGCAGCTTAGCAGAAGGTGGGAGCTTATTTATGTCTCCTATTAGTCCATAAAGAGAAGAATCAGATCAAGGAGTACTTTGTTATCATTTCTCTAGAGAAATGAAGAAGTTTCTTCCCTCTATGTTCATATTTCTTGTGTTGTGAAGCACTAATGAAGACACTAATTAGTCATTTCATGGCCTGGAGTTCCCTTGGATGTTTTCAAGGCCGTCTTAGACTGTTTTCTGTTGCTGTAACAGAATACCACAGAGTGGGTAATTTATAAGGAAAATAAACTTGTTTCTACAGTTCTGGAGACTGGGATGTTCAATATCAAGTTGTTGGCATCTGGCAAGGGCCTTCCTGATGCACAATCTCATGGCAGAAGGCAGAAAGGCAAGACAGCCCAAGAGAGTGAGAGAGTGAGAATATTGTTGCAGGACTTTTCCTTAGTTCAACTAAAGATGGGGTCCTTGTTCCATGGCCATGAAAATTTAGGCTCGCAGATGATTTGAAGAGTGAGTTAAAAAGGGTTTTATTGGGTGAAAAGGAAAAATGGGGGAACCCGGACTTTCTGCAAGGCCAGAGTTCCTTTAGTGTGCTTCCCATCTCACAACTTGAATTCCAGGTTCCATTCCGGAAGAGAAGGAACCAGACTCCTACTCACTGCAAAGGCACAAACTTCTCTGGCTCCACCCCAGTGTGCACTTCTTCCAGTGCACAGGTCTGTTGGAGACTCTGGCAGGCAGCCCTTCCCACCTGACTGTCTCAGAATGGGGACTGAATTCATCCCTTTGTCAGGAACTCACTCTGGTGATAAATAACCCACCCGTGTTATGACAGCATTAATCCCTCATGACCTAATCACCACTTGTAAGTGCCATCTGTCAACACTGTTGCATTGGGGATTAAGTTTCCAACACATGTGCTTCGGTGGATACATTCAAACCACAGCAAAGACCCACTTCTTTCCATTTTGCATACACTTCTCTTGTATGTATCCTGTTGCTCATTCCTAAACTCTATCTGTGAGATGAAAGAGGAAGCCAAAGCAGAAGAATCCTCTCTTTTCTTTTCAGGTTCATTGTGTCTAACAGCTTATATTCAATGTGTGTCAAAGAAAATTTACTCCAGTAAGACAAACACTAAATTGGCAACACATCAGATAAAAACAAAGTAGCGCTGAGTATAATAAAACACAAAGATTAGAAGTTCAAATCTTCTCCTGATATTTGTTCTGGCCAGTATATTTGTACTTCTCACTAGCATGTTGCAATACTGAGAGCAGAAAGTGATATAACAAAGAAAGTTTTCTCTACTGGTTAGTACCAAACCTAAGATTCCCAATAGCTTTAACTTCATGCTCATTCTAACTTTCAATTGCGTCAGATATAGCATGGGTTTCATTAGATTCCCGGATTTCATTTATTAGAAAATATTTACAATGTTTCCACCATTCAATATAATTGTGTAAATGTCACAATAGGCGAAAGTTTACCGAAGTCATCAAACTAAACGATAAATCTGTTCAATGACAAAGTTATCAGAAATTATTTTGGATGACTGGATAAATGGATCCAATCTAGCAATGAGAATATTGATATATAAAGACCTACACAAGTACAGTTTGAGAACATTCTAGGATTTCTATCCTACTCCATACTCGTGTTGAGTCAATAATATGGTCAGTAACCAAACAAATATTAAACAAATAGTAAAATAAAAGCAAAAATCAGCTGAGCCTTAAGATGCAATCACAGAGTTATAGAAGAATATGCTTTAAAGAAGCATTAACAGATTAGAAAGTATTCATAGAAGAACAATGAGTGAGGAATTTGACTAACAGCTTGAAGAAAGGAACTGTTCAGCTTGAAAGACTGAAGGCTTAGTATAACAGTCATTTTTCAGTATTGGAATTATTCTACATGGTCCCAGAGATTACCTATCAATTTATTTATTCATGCATTAATTTATAATTTTATTTATTCAGAAATATTTACTGGGCATATATAATAATCCACACACTTTCTGCGTAATATGAATGCAATGATGAACAAAAGAGAAATGGCCCCTTTTGTATTCAAGGTTATAGAATAAAAGGAGAAAGATCATTGGCCAATGTAAAGTCAATACAAGGTGATTTTAGATCAATATAGAGAAGCCTTTCTCTTAAACAAAAATGCTCCCAAATGGAATGAATTCCTTAAAGCTGATGTGTTTTTGCTACTGGAGGTATAATTCAGACCAAATAGTCATGTGTTTGGAAATTTAAGGACTGAGCAAAGTCCTAAACAAGTCACTCTCTCCTTAATGTCTTATCAATATATGTCTATTTTTGTTTCTTCATTTGAGGACAAGATAATATTTAGTCAGGTACAATGCAAAGGAAATGTTATGATAATAATATAAGCAAATATGAAGTACTTTTATGCAAAAGCTTAGACTAAATGCAATCAACATGAAATCCTAAATTTCACGTTTCATATTATTCACTGAAACTTATACCAAATTATTTCAGAGTTCTTGGAAAAATTATACCCATAAAGCTTCCAAATTATGGTGAATACTATTGGGTTTGTTGCTATGGAATGGAGGAGCATGAAGATGGGACAGAAAATTCATGTTCTACAGTAGATAGAGCTTATAAGAATGGGTTATTCAGGTGCAAGTTATAGAAACCCAACTCAAATTTATTTAAGACATAGATGATGTATTTATGTATAACCATGTGGAAGTCCAATGGTGGACAATTGCTGCAATAACAGATGTTTGCACTCCTCCAACCATGCCATTAAATATCTGCTTATTTCTCTCTCCATCTTTCAGCTCTGTTTTCCACTGTGGTGACTTTAATCTTAGCCTCTGTCTATATGCAATGATGAGACCCAGTAGTTGATCTAAGCTGTCAATGTTCATGGGATTTGCAATATTGAAGGAATGCTTCTTCCATCTAATGCCTTTATTGGTTTTCCTGCCATGCTTCTGATTGGCCTTCCTTGAGTCATGTGTACACTTATATGGGCCACCTTGTGTATGATGAAGATTACAGTAAAATGTGGGAGTATGGTATTAATGCAAGCTTTATACCCATCTCCAAGATCCCAAAATAGGTAAGAACTCAGAGGCTTCTCAGAATTACTAAGCTAATAAGACAGGTGCAGTCAAATCACAAAAATTTTATCTTACGACTTTCTTCTACGCATTTTTATCCACCCTAACAAATTTTCATATATCTTAATTAGGCCTTAATTATATCACTTGCAGCTCTGTGCTTAACATGTCCAGGTATTGAATGAGAATACTTCATATTTATTAAGCTTTTTTTGATGTAGAGATGGTATATAATCTTCATGGCATCCTCTTGAAGATAACAGGCATCATCCATATTCTCTAGATGGAGAATTGGAAAGCTTTCAAATGACTCAAAATTACTTGCTGGTTGAGAGCTAAGTACAGTAATTCTAACTAGCACTTTACTGTTCTATCTGCCAAACCCAGAAGGCAAAATGTTATGAAAGTTTCTTCTTTGATTCATTTCAATTCAATTCAGCTCAATTTGATTCACTAAGCAGTAGTAAGAATGTATAATGTGCTCAATGTCATCCTAAATACACTGGGCAATGAAGAATATGAGTAAGGCAAAATCCCTTAACCTTAAGTATTACATAATTTAATTGAAAGTACAACACATAAACTTAAGAAATAGCAGCATAAAATTTGAGTTAATATTTGCTATTCTATAAATTCTTAACTGCAAAAGGAGTGAGAGAGATAATAAGTGCAATCATAGTTAAGATCTTATATAACGAAGCTTGGCATTGAGTCTCTCACATACTGACAGTTTTCTATAACAAAATTTCTAAATATATTTTTAGAATTTATCCACTCCACATTAGTTTTTGTATACTACAGTAAGCCAGCTAGGGTCTTTAGTGCTGCAGGCACAGTGGTAACTAAAAAAAGTGCCAATCTAGTCCTTATGGAATTATATTTTAAAGAGGAAGGATATTAAACAAACATGCATAACAACCAATAACATAACTTGTTCTGTGTGCTTTAAAGGGAAAGTACAACTTGCTAGGGAAAATATAACAGTAAAACAGATTTGGGTTTGGATGATTAGGATGGTTAAGGCTGAGGCATTGAGGTTGAGACCTGAAAAGGAGGAAAAGATAGTCAAATAAGGTGCCAGGTGAAGAGCATCCCTGAAAGCAGAAAAAGCATAAAAACATGTCATCTTAAACAACAGCTCAGAATAGGTAAATAAAACAAGGGAACATATGTAGATACCTAACAGTGTGATTTCCCTTGTTTTTTAAATTTCTGGGGAAAATGAAAATTTGGCACTTATATCTGTTTAGAAAATTAGTGTATGTTCAGGGACTAACAACTGTAAGAGAAAGCTCAAAGAGAGAAAACAGGTGACTTTATGAACATTGTCTTTAACAAGAATGCTTGGGCAGGTTTGAGGGAGGGCTCCAGAAATCAGAATAAAGGAATTAGCGTTATCTGTAAAGGTTTTGCCCCAGTAAAAAGCTTTAAGGTGACATGTGAATATTTTAGATTCAATCCACTGGATAATAGGAATGCATTGCAGGATGTCTAAATATCTTTCCATTTGCTGGTATACTATGTCACTAGCAATTTAAGCTTAAAAACAAATCTTTATCATTTTGTGTTTTTCCAGCAGTATTTAGAATACTCCCTTGTACAAAATGAGTGTTCAGGAACATTTTATGGATCTCCTGAAATAATGATTTCAAAATATAAGTTTAGTAAAATTAATCAAGATAATTACGATGTTTGGAGTAGGTAGATGATTGTATGAAGATGGTGCAATGTTTTCCCATTAATCGCTTTCTTTTACCTCAACAGCAACTTTTGTATTACAACACTCAACCCTCTGCAGCAGAGTATACACACACACACATATATATATACACATATATATCTATTTTGTATTTATACATATACAAATGTTTATATTTTTATACATATTTTCATATATATATATATATATATATATATATATAGGAAAAGGGGTATCCATTTATTTTTAACATATTTTTGACCTTTTATTCAATATATCTATGTAAACTGTCTTAAATCCTTTGTAGAATAAGGTGGGGTACAGAGTAACAATTATGAATACAGCACTTCACATTTCACACAGTTAGATATACATATTGTATATACATATATAATACAACAGATATTACATATTCATTGTAATAGATATTACAACTTTATATTACATTTTACACCCAAAGTTACTGGTAAGCTTAATACATGTATTATCTTTATATCCTTGTTCTGTCTCCCTGAGATCAAATTTGGATATTGGTTTGAAATCAGTATCCTATAGTCACAGACACCCAACTAGCTTACCAAAGGCAAAGCCTTCTTCACAAGCATACGTGCTAAAGATTCTAGCACTATTGGTGCCTTGAATACTGCAGACTAAATTGAGCCTTTTCCAGACATACATGTCATTATTTAAAGCATCGGAGTAGGTGATGTCTTCTTTGGTGCATCCAAGGAGGGCAAAGGATGGTCTGAAGATCCCGTTTTGCCAAATATCCCTCTCTGTGTAAGGCATTTCCACACAATGTCAGTCATTGCCCTTGTATTGTGAGCCCAGACAGGGGCTATATGTTTGGTTTATTTTTATTCACAGTAACTATAAGGCATGTGGCATGAAACAAGTGCTTCATATTTTTTAAATGGCAGAATGAGCAGATAAATGAAGTGAGCAAATGAATGAAGAAATGAAATGATCCCGTCATGTTGGATTATTATTTAGTTACAACTGATGCAGTAGAAGGGAAGGACAAGGGAGATGCACACTGTACAATAGATATTAGTCACTCAACAAGCGTGTGCTGCTGGGCATGTTGGTATGCACCTGGTACTGGATCTCCTAGGTACTGGAGAGGCTGAAGCAGGAGATTACTTGAACCCAGGAATTCAAGACCAGCTTGGGCAATATAGGGAGACTGTCTCAAGAAAAAAAGTGTGTGCTGAATGGATAAAGCGGCGGTGAAAAAAAAATACTGATAAAATTTGACATTGTACTGGGTATGTGAAAAGCAGTGATGAGCTGAAATATACAGAACATTTATACTTTCAGTGGTTTTTATACTTGAATCACTTGAGGTATTTTTTTTTACAAGTACAGATATACTGAGGCCAACCCCTAAAGGTTCAATTCAATGGATTTAACAAAGCTAGCAACACCTGTATAGCCAGTGGACCCAGATAATACATAGAGAGATTCTGCATTAGATATAAATGGAAATATTGTTCACTGTGTTTAAAAAATTGAAAGAAAAGTAATGTTTTTTCCACTTTGGGTTGCTAAAGTGCCATTCTAAACAACTCAAATTTGCTTTTTTGTAACAGAGATCTGTGAAAAACATAAATAAATAAATAGCGTATGTTGCTAATTTCTCCCTTTGACTCCTGACCCGAAGAAAAGCACGGTGAATTGTAAACTGTCCATGAACATTATGCATCGCTTAAACACCTTTACCCAGGTATTCTAGGTAAGTTGAGCAGGTTAAAAAACTAATGCTCACTACCAAATTCTGCTGGGAGCTTTCCCCACAGCTATGGCTTCAGAAAGTGCTATGCTGGTAAAACTAAGCAGGGAGGAGCCGGACAATCAGAAAGCAAGCTGTGGAACCACTATAAGCAGCAAGGCTAAATGTATATCTAGCATGGCCAGTTGTTAATAGTTTCCGGGGGGGGGGGCCCTATTCTCCTTTGAAATAAAATAGGGGATAGAGCCATACAAATAAAGGATTGAGGATCTCCTTGACATTCATTTCCATCTCTTCTGGAAGAGCTATTTCATTCCAATCATGTGGCTTTAGGGGGCCTCCATGTTCTCATAGGACCCTGGGATTCAGCAACTTTTCATTTCAATGAAAATGAGTACACAAATCAGCTCAGATGTTCAGAACATGACATGAGGCTTTCAAACTAGAGAATAGAGAAGTGTCCTATCCCACATCTAATGGTGAGATGGGCGTGGTGCAGCAGTTGTTTTCTGCTTTGGAAACTAGCTTAGACAAAGAAAACCAAGACAGCAGCATGCATATCTGGAGAGCGGAGTGAGGACAGAAGTAAAGAGGGAGACAAGAGATAGAATGGAATGTTGGCAGGGGAGAGAAAGAGAGTTTGGTAAGCAGTCCTGCCCCCTTGTTCCTGGTGTCGCTGAGACCATTTGCCTTTTTTTTTTTTTTTTTTTTTTTTTTTTGAGACAGGGTCTCACTCTGTCACCCAGGTTGGAGTGCAGTGGTGTAGTCTCGGCTCACTGCAGCTTTGACCACCTGGGCTCAAGCCATCCTTCTGCTTCAGCCCCTCATGTAGCTGGGACTACAGAAGCATGCCAGCACGCCTGGCTAATTTTTGTGTTTTTTTGTAGAGACGGGGTTTCACAATGTTTCCCAGACTGGTCTTGAACTCCTGGCCTCAAGTGATCCTCCTGCCTCAAGTGATCCTCCTGTCTCAACCTCCCAAAGTGCTGGGATTACAAGCGTGAGCCACCATGCCTGGCTACCATATGCCTTTATCTTGGCTACATGCACTCTACAATTACTCTGCTAACTTGTCTAAATCAATTTGAGTTGGATTTTTGATATTGCAAACAAGAATTTTTAACGAATTTGGGTGTGGGAGTTTTCTGCTTTAATTCTGTTAAATTGGACCTACTGGGTGAATTGTGGAGAATCAACTCTTTGGAGGACTAATATCTTATATTGTGAAACTAATTTAAAATTTGACACAACTGTGCAATACATTATAAGAGAAACTCTGAAGAAGCAAAAACAAAACCAAAAAATTTTCCTCTGCTACCTACACATACTTCTCTCTCAAAGGTAAACATTCATGAAAGATATTTATAGAAGTCTTGGATATGGGAGACAATATATCATTGTATAGTATCATTTAAGAAAATATGTTTCTATTACACTTCACTGGTCAAAAATTATGCTTTTAGTTCTGATGCCTCTTGACCAAGGTCTATTTAAAATGTCTGCCTTATGTGGCAGACAAATTTTGCTCAAATATTGTTAGGATTATATATATTTCAGTCTTTCATGTTTTCCTGCCTCAGTAAGAAATGGTCCAATTTTTTCTAATAAACCTTCATAAATAATCTGTTGACTAAATGCCCAAACTTTTGCAAAATTCAGTCCCTCAAATCTCATCTTAAATTTAAAATTCACCCATGCAATTATCTGAAGTCTATACATCATCTTTGATTTTGTTCTGGTTCCCCTGCCACTTAGTGAATGATGATTATCAACTTTCCAGAGTCTGTCTTCTTTTCCTGTTGTTTCAAGGTTTTTTTAAATTCAGATTTGAGGTTACTGTTTTCTCATAAATTCCTACCTATTGTTCCTTAATATTTTCTTAATTTTGAATCTTGGACCACTGTTACAATGTGCCTTTTTGCTTTAACGACTTAAAGTTACTTACAACTTTCAAAGTTTACGGACAAAAGATATGCCAGAAAACAACATATTATGCAAACTCAAGAGAAGAAACAGATTAGATTACCCCCAATATTCTGCTGAATAAAAACCTTCATTTATCTTCAGACTTCAGGCAATAAACATGCAATACAAAATCACTGGAGATAATGAGGACAATTCTTACAGAAAAGTTTGATAAAGAGTAGAGAATTTGGCTTTGCATCTGTCCTCCCAGAATTTGGAAATTGATGGAAATAGGGCGGTAGAGGAAATGAAACAGCAGCTTCAAATGCCATGTAAGCCTAACAGGTAAAACTTCAAGATCCATCTTTTTTTTTTTTTTTTTTTTTTTTTTTTTTAACTGTCTTGTATGGAACACACAGCTGTTTTGCAGAAAGGTTCATTTAATCCTCTTAAAATGAAAACATGAGATATATCTAAGACAATTTCCTATCATTCACAATGCTAGGAAAGGGTCAAAAGGGAGAGCGATTTTCTCATGTAAAGCTCATTACATGTGACCTTGTTCTATCTTTAGAATTAAAAAAAAATAATAAAATAAAGGCTTTCATCATTACTTTCCAGATGCTATGCCTGTCAGTTACTCACTTGTATTGGTCTCTAGGTATTCTCCTGTCCAATTCCAGAACACCAGAATTATGACAAGTTTATCCTACAAGTTATCTAAGATTCTAGGAAAGAGAAGATTTACATGATTTGTTGAGTTTTAGCTGCCGGTTATTGAGCATTCTTTAAGTGAAGAGTTGCTGCATGGTATTTTTATAAACTTTACAATAGGAACCTATAATTATCCTCATTTTTATGAAAATTTTGACAATTTGGAAGGTTACATAAGTTGTTCTAGGATTTGAAAGTTTTGAAAACACAGGAAGCTTATTGGAACACAAATTTCTGTATTAGCTCATAAGCATCTCAAAGGCCGATTCTAAATCTTACATCTGCAGGGAGTTGAATGTAGTGGCCTCTCATTTGTTGAATGTATGGACAAGCAAAAGTAAATATGACATCCAGGGTCACTTTTCCTTCACATATACAGCCTTTCTATTTTCCTTAGATTATAGGTCAATTATTAGAAGGAATTTTTCAGAGGTATATATACCAGATGACAGTTGAAGTGGCATTTCATTAAAATTAAATCTATTTTGAATACATTTATGTATATAAAGCATTTAGGACAATTCTGGCTCGGTTTAAAAAATGCATTCTTTCTTTTTCTATTATTATTATAAAGTATCTATGTATGGTTCACATTCATATAAATGCTACTAATATACTCAGTAGAGAAGGAAAAGCAAAAATTAAAAAAAGGAATTAAACCAGTTGCTTAACTCTAAAAGCCAGTTTTCTCTTGAAAGAGCACACTTTGTAATTCATATTATAGATTATGAATTTATTCATGCCTATTTGATTAAAGAAACATCACTTTCTGTTTCTGAACATGATAAATGGTTCCTGCTCACTTGAAAGGTGACAATGGAACATTAGTTTGATTTTTTGTGTAGGGATGTAATGGTCTTTGCTAATGGCCTAAAGCAATAGATTCAGATGAAAAATTAAAATGTTTACTATCTTTTCTCTGTATTATGTAAGAAGAGTCCCTCAGAGAATATTGTTTTCATTATTGTGGATGATTTATCCTTTGTGAGTTATTTTGCTGTGAAATTTGGAGGGCAGACACATTTCTGACTTTATACACAGTTTTATCTCTTCATGAGGTAGCAAGAAGTGAAATAACCTCTCAGGAAAGGTTGAAAGTAGACACTTATTATATAAAACAGTTTGAACTACTCAATATCCACGGCTAATTTTGCCCTCCTTTGCTGAAATAGTGCAGCATTTAAACACTGAAGAAGCAATATACTGATAATGAAACCATTTCCAGGCAAAGAACTTAAAACAGGTATTTAGTCTGGATCGTTTCAGTATAAATGCCTATGCATCCTCAAACAGTTTAGGCTAATGCAAAGCAAAGAACTGCATCTGGGGGTAAAGGTATATATCTGTTTTAACCAGAACTTACTATTGGAAGAATCTTTTTAAATGAAGATTCCCTTCAGTTGCGAAACAACCCTTTGTTGGATTATGAACACACATATAATTAATTCAACTCTCGGTGTTATTCACTTATTATTCAAATATGTTTTCAAATATTATATTTATTTGCACCTTTACAATAAAAATTAAAACGTGAATTTCTGATAATAGCTGAGTATTTTTACTGACTACAACAAAAATAAGTGTGTTATTTAGAACACATTCTTGTTTCTTTTGTTTGTTTTGTTATGTGTGGGTTTTCCACATGCCTAATAAAAATACCATACATATACTACAGGACTGCAGTAACCAAAACAGTATGGTACTGGTACAAAAATAGAAACATAGACCAATGGAACATAATAGAGAGCCCAGAAATAATGCTACGTATCTACAACCACCTGACCTTTGACAAAATAAATAAAAACAAGCAATGAGGAAAGGACTCGCTATTCGATAAATAATGTTGGGATAACTGGTCAGCCATATTCAGAAGACTGAAACTGGACCCCTTTCTTACACAATACACAAAAAGCAACTTAAGATGGATTAAAGACTTAAATGTAAAACCTCAAACTATAAAAACCCTGGAAGATAATCTAGAAAATATTATTCAGGACATAGGACCTGACAAAGATTTCATGACAAAGACGCCAAAAATAATTGCAACGAAATTTGACAAATGGAACTTAATTAAACTACAGAGCTTCTGCAGAGCAAAAGAAACTATAAACAGAGTAAACAGACAACCTACAGAATGGGAGAAAAGTTTCACAAACTATGCATTTGATAAAGGTCTAATATCCAGAATCTATAAAGAACTTAATGTACAAGAAAAAGGCAAACAATACCATTAAAAAGTGGGTAAATGACATGAAAACTTTTCAAAAGAAGATATACACATGGCCAAAAAGCATCTAAAAAAGGCTTATCTTTAATCATTAGAGAAATGAAAATGAAAAACACAATGAGCTACCATCTCACATCAGTTAGAATGGCCATTATTAAAAAGCAAAATAATAATAATAATAATGTTACGGTGAGGCCGCAGCTAAAAGGGAATGCTTATACACTGCTAGTGGGAATGTATATTAGTTCAACCATTGTGGAAAGCAGTTTGGTGATTTCTCAAATAACCCAAGATAGAATTACCATTTCACCTAGCAATCCCGTTATTCAGTATATACCCAAAGGAATATAAATGGTTCTACCATAAAGACACATGCATACATATATTCCTTGCAGCACTATTCACAATAGCAAAGAGATGGTATCAACCTAAATGCCCATCAATGGTAGCCTGGATAAAGAAAACGTGGTACATATACACTGTGGAATACTATGCAGCTATGCAAGAAAAATGAGACTGTGTTCTTTGCAGTAACATAAATGGAGCTGAAGGCCATTATCCTAAGCCAGGATGTACAGGAACAGAAAATCAAATACCCCATGTTCTCACTCGTAAGTGGGAAATAAACAATGAGTACATATGGATACAAAGAAGGGAACAACAGACACCAACGTCTACTTGAGGGTGGAGGGTGGGAGGAGAGAAAAGATGGAAAACTACCTATCAGGTACTGTGTCCAGAATTGGTTCCTTCCGGTGGATTCTTGGTCTTGCTGACTTCAAAATGAAGCCGTGGACCCTCTCAGTGAGTGTTACAGTTCTTAAAGATGGTCTGTCCGGAGTTTGTTCCTTCAGATGTTCAGATGTGTCTGGAATTTCTTCCTTCTGGTGGGTTCGTGGTCTTGCTAACTTCAGAAGTGAGGCCACAGACCTTTGCAGTGAGTGTTACAGCTCTTAAAGGTGGTGCATCCGAAGTTGTTCATTCCTTCTGGTGGGTTCGTGGTCTTGCTGACTTCAGAAGTGAGGCCACAGACCTTTGCAGTGAGTGTTACAGCTCTTAAAGGTGGTGCATCCGAAGTTATTCATTCCTCCCAGTGGGTTCACGGTCTCGCTGGCCTCAGGAATGAAGCTGCAGACCTTCACGGTGAGTGTTACAGCTCATAAAGGTACTGCAGCCCCAAAGAGTGAGCAGCAGCAAGACTTACTGTGAAGAGCGAAAAAACGTTTCTACACCACAGGAAAGGACCCCAGTGGGTTGCTGCGTGGCCAGCTTTTAGTCTCTTATTTGGCCCTGCCCACATCCTGCTGATTGGTCCATCTTACAGAGCGCTGATTGGTCCATTTTATAGAGTGCTGATTGGTGCGCTTTTACAGAGTGCTGATTGGTGCGTTCACAAACCTTTAGCTAGACACAGAGTGCTGATTGGTGTGTTTATAACCCTTCAGCTAGACAGAAAAGTTCTCCAAGTCCCCACCCGACCCAGAAGCCCAGCTGGCTTCACCTCTCAGTACTATGCTGACTACCTGGGTGAACAAATAATCTGTACACTAAGCCCTGGAGACACACAATTTACGTATATAGCAAACCTGCAAATGTACCCCTGAACCTAAACTAAAATTAAAAGATAAAGAAATACAATATGCTACTAGTTTGAAATGAAGAAAGGTAAAAGGAAATAGCTCATTTAAAATGAATCAGCTTTCTCTAGTTTGGTGGCAGAAGGCAGTTGGCAGAACTGTAACTAAATCAAGAAAAAAAATCAAGATTATACGTTTTAAAAATGTTTATATTTTATAATAAATTTTTGCCTTCTCTTCCCCTGCTGGTTTTGGTAACTAAGTTCGAAAAAACAGTGGTTATTTTAGTAGACTTTGCCAATTATTCTTCTTTGCCTTTAATCTTTAGGTTGGCAAATAAAATCACACAGATCTCCTCCTCGTTCTGCTACTTAATAGCAATGGAACCAGGGGCAAATTACTTAAAAAATCTAAGCTTTGCTTTTCTCATCTGTACACAGGGATAATCAAACTCTCTCTCTTATATTGTGAGAATTCAGTAAGACAATGTACATAAACTCTTAGTACAATATAATTATTCGATATATATTATCTACTGAAAATCTTTGATTTGCAAATTGTGCAGGCTCAAACTGAATTTTAGGAAAAGGCAGTTTTCACAGGTGTTACACTGGCTGTATCAGCCCTATTAATCATCAAACGCCTTTGAAGTCTGTCCTTAAGGAAATTACATTTTACTCTGTGAACAAAGTACTGATGGGCAATTGTAGGCAAAGACTGGAAGAAAGGCTACTTTTACTCAGTCATGGATTCTCAAGAATTTTTACTCAGGGATCCACTGTATTGTTTTCCCAGGAATGGGAGATGGGCTTGTGAAGTATTGAGCTCTTCACCAGAGATGTTTCCTTTATTAACTACAATTAAGGCTGTTGAGACAGAAATAATCTGATGAAGGTTTAATTGGATGCCAAATGTGAGACACACCAACAAAGTTGGCAGTGTTTCAGGGCCTGTTACAAATTGAAAGGCTTTTATCAGAATGTTTAGGAGAAGGGAGGGTGGCTTCTCATATTGGAGTTGTCCTTTTTCATTGGAGAGTGCAATATAGAGGTTGCAATCATTGGGTACAGATTGCAGCATCTAGGCTAAAATGTCTATGTGCAGGACAATCAGGAAAACTTCCTGATTTAGAAACAGATCAGCAAAACTTCATGATTCAGAAACAAATCAGCATCCTTTTCAGTGTCGGTAGGTTACATAGTAATCAGTACATCAATAATTTTAAAGAAATCATGATAATATTCTTTACTCAGGGACAAGATGCTGCCGTGAATCACAGGACCTCCACCAGGTCGGTTAATTTGGAAGCCTGCCAAAGATGACCTGCAGATTTTCAACTTCTTAGGATGGTAGGGTGAGATTTTTACCTCTCATGTACATGTGCATTTGACAAACTTTGCTTAGGGAAGTAGGGAGTGAGAAATAACTGGGGAAGACAAAAGACTATAGTTTCACTCATTTCTCCTGAGCATTCTTAGGTCAAAAGTGGAGAGAATTTGAAATGGATGCCTGAGAGCTACATTTTTAAGTACTCTCCCTTCTATAAATGTATATGATAGAGACGTGATAAAAGTAAAAGTTTTTGTTTCAACTTAGTAAAAGTATCACGTATTTTTCTATTTTTATGTCAGATTAACTTCAAGACTGTTCACAAAATATTAGTAAAACAAAAAAAATTGCATCTGCAACTCAACAATTTTGTTAAATATTGGGGATGTCTACTGAGCAAGTTATCAGGGATATACTCTACTATGGGTGGAAAGGCATTTGGTTTTTCTTAAATATTTTCCCCTGAATGTTTTTATAACTGCCTCAAAACCTGGTTTTGGGAATTCCCTTTAGACAAGCGTTTGAGTCCTTGAACTCACAATTTACAGAGATGGTCAGAGTGCATATGTTTTTCTTTACAAATTCTGCAATATGAATTGTTTATTTCTATAAATAGCTGCTCACTATTTGCATATAAATTAAGGAAGATTTTGACACATATGAGTTGATTGTTAATGGAGCCTATATCCTCAGAGTTCAGAGCCTATGAAAAATAGTAAGTTTCACTATATATGTCAAAGAAGTATATCAGAGCCTTCACTCAGATTTGTGCTAGAATGCAAACATATAATCAAGATTATGAGGAATGCTGTCTAGTTTGTGGAGTTCTTTCAGTGATATCTCGAGAAAATAAAATTAGCTTGCCTTTATCATATTTGACCAGAAAATAACTTTATGAATATAAACAATAATATTTATTTTGGTCAAATACTAGGATCCCAAGGCTGAATTAATATTCTTAGGAAAAACTGGGTATTTGAACATTAGCACTCATTTGATAAATTAAATTACTGTTTGAGCTGGTGCATGCACCAAATAAGGTAAGATAGCATCTGAGCTATAATGTAAGTTGTACTTATATCTGCTACCTTTGTTTCCTCATGTACCATAATGTGCTGTTTCTAGTTTGACAGGATGACATACTGCTTCTAGTATGACAGGATGGTGCTACCCATTGTCGGTAATTCTAAAGTCCTTATTTTCACCTGATTTACCAGAGTCTAAGCTATGCTTACTGCAGTTAAGCTCTGCTGGTCTGAGCATATGTGACATGCCCATGAGTGAACAACTGTCAGTAAAAGTGCTTTAAATCTGGGTATGTGGGTGGGGAGATCTAAAACAATTTAATTCTTCTAAAATTTCTACCAGTCCATACCTTATGTACTATACATCAAAGTATAGTATATAGTACAAAATATTTTATATACCATGCAACAAACTATGAACTGGTAGAAATTTCATGAGAATTAAATTGTTCTAGATTTTTCTGTGATTGAGATACATATACTCCATAAACATATTTCAATATACATATATAGAGACATATAAATACACATAAATTCCTATCTATATCTATTTATATATATTCCTCTATATCTATTCCTCCTATTTCTCTCTCTATATATAGATATCCCTCCCTCTCTTTCCTCTCAAGAGAGAGAGAAATATCTATATATATTCCTTTCTGAGTAATTTGTGTGTGAGCATGGGATATGGAGATATTACAGACTCTTGCAAATGCAAAGTCAATCACGCAAATTGTTTAGTGGGTTGCAAAACTGAATCCCAGCTGCAATACAATAGTGCAGAGAAAATATAATTTCTTTATTTGGGGTATAAGCAATCTGTTCTTCCTTTTTTAAAACCCCTTTTGCTCATTAACTGGAAAAGCAAAACTTAAATTTCTAATCCTGTTTAAACCTGAGTCCACTTTAATTGTTTACAAATATTGTCAAGTAATGTCAGACACTTGAAAAGTTTCATAGGTATATCTTTTAGAAGATTGTTTAGGGTGGTGATAATCTTGTCATGAAACGATAGGTCAGTGGGTACTTTGACACCTGGTTCTTCTGCTCTCCAGGAGCTCTTTCTCATCCACTTCATGGCTAGGTAGACTGCTGGCCACTGAAGCCAGAACCTACACCTGGTCAGTCAGTTTTGTTTGCTTGGTTACAATCCTGCAGCATTGTCTGGCTCATCAGGTTTCATTTTATCTCTGACTGGGGTTAGAGACTCCTTGAATTTGTTTGGCAGTGAGTTTCCTTTAGTCCTGGTGTGGGTGATCGGTTTTGTAGCTTGTAATACTCAGCCATCTGCTCCTTTAGTAAGTCTTCCATCTGAACTTTCTACTTTTTCTGGACACAATCTAGTCCTAGAGGTCAAGTGGTGACCCAGAAAGGTAAAAGCTCACAGTGTTCATCTGAATGTAATAACCAGACAGAAATAACTAAATTGATAGGTCTGCGCCCCACCTGGGTGAAGAGGTTGTCTGCCACACAATCTGTTGGAGGTTATGGGGGGTGATAATAGATACAGGTAAGGTGGGGATGACAAAAGAGCTTATCATCTTTGTTCTTCGAGTTACTGCACTTATCCAATACAACTTACTATCACTTAGCCAAAGTCCTGCAATGGGAAAATAGGGATACATATGAGTAGCCGTTTAACCTTCTCCTTAGAAAATGCAAAGTTTGAAGTGGACATGCCAAAGGCGCATCTTTATCTTGGGGGTTTTCTTTAGAGAAAACTCTATAATCGTATATTTTTCAGGCTTCATTATTTAGATACTGGTGAGGAAATTAAGGAATTTAGGCAATTTTCTTTTAAGACAGTAGCCTGCCGTGCGTAGTATATGCTGTAATGAGTACTGGTGAAACAACACTGAACAAGTGCCTCACCCTGCTGATTGCTCTCATCCTCACACTTCATGTGAGTTGACCAGAGGCCTATTAAATAATTTAGTAAGGAACTGGAGTTTCTTTCTTCACATCTTAATATTAATTGCCAGAATTACCTTACAATGAATGAGAAGTCACATTCATAATTGGAGACTAATTTTCCTCATCTGAAGTCTTGGAGACACATATGAACATTAACAACAATATTTCGTTCTATCTCATGCCTGTTTGCACTTTATCTTGTTTATGTAAGATATATCCTGCATAAACAAGGTAAAGAAAAAGATATACCTCATAAAGAAAAAAATTATTGCAGGTGCAATGATTTTGACATTAATTACCCAATCTTGGTCCAAACTTCAGATGCGAAGGGCACCGTTTTCCACAAGACTGGCCTTACTACAGACAGTGGCCACAAGTTCATCAGTTCCCAGGTTACCACTTACTTCTGACCAACAGCCTACAAATTTGTGGGTTCCCAGAAACGTCCTGGTTTGATAATTTGTTAGAAATATGCACAGAGCTCATGACAGCACTAAACTTACAGTTGTGAGTAAACCTACACTAAACTTATTGTAGAGAAGGGGTACAAATCAAAACAAACCAGAAAGAGACACAAAGGGCAAGGTCTGGAATTGATCTGAACATAAAGCTTCTGGTTTTCCTCTCCCTGTGGGTTTCTGGACAGCATTACCTCCTTCCAGCTACATTGTGTGAGCAAACTCAAAAAGTACTGTGAACTGGGGAAACTCACTCAACCCTTTGATGTCCAGACTTTTTTATTACAGTTTAACCACATGGTGTTCACATGTGGCTGGCTTTTAGTTTTTAGCCCCTTCTGGAGGTTTGTTCTTCAATTCCTCTGAAGATCATAACTGATATGTCATGTTCCAAAGGCCCCATTATGAGGCGCATTGTAAGACTACCCATTGACCAAAACACCTGGGCAAACAGAGACACTTTTTCGGATAGGTCATTTCAGGGGCCTAGAGACCACCTCCCAGTAGCTTAAGGCAAATGCCATGTCTCCCTTTGGATAAAGTCAATTCTTTAATACACAGCAGAATCATTTTACAAACCCAGGTACTTATACAGATGCTTGTATTTGTACATAGTCCTGAACTTGAATCCAAGCCTGGAATTGTAAACACACCTGAACTTGTGCATGAGTCTGCACCGGCCTTCAAGAATTTCAAGTAAGAGTTTGTAGTTAACATTTATCTGTTTCTTTTACTTCTCTGTGAAGAGAGTATTTCTTTATACAGTTTGTTTGGAAAAGCCCATTTTATTAATCATCTGATATAATTTGTGAAATATGCTTTAATTTCAATTGACACATATAATTGTCAATTGACAAATATAATTAAGCACAGACAGCTTTTTATTTTTTTAGATGGAGTTTCGCTCTTGTTGCCCAGGCTGGAGTGCAGTGGCTTGATCTCGACTCACTGCAACCTCTGTCTCCTGGGTTCAAGTGATTCTCCTGCCTCAGCCTCCCAAGTAGCTGGGATTACAGGCACCTGCCACCAAGTGCATCTAACTTTTTGTACTTTTAGGAGGGACAGGGTTTCACCATGTTGGCCAGGCTGGTCTTGAACTCCTGACCTCAGGTGATCCACCCGCCTCAGCCTCCCAAAGTGCTGGGATTACAGGCATGAGCCACCACCCTGGCCAAGCATAGGCAACTTTCAAGTAGTTTAATTTAAGTATGTTTTATGAATATAGTTTCTTAAAAAAATATAAGCTATTTGAGGATAGGAATTATATGTCTTTTCATTGTTGATTCCTAAGGTCTTCAAGAGTATGTGTTTCATATTATTGTTATTAGTAAATATTGGTTTACGTAAGTGTGTGCGAATGCAGCCAATCAGCAGGAGGGTCACATTACAGCCTATAAAGGCATTGAAATGTAAAACAATGTTTAAAGAACGCTTATGGTTCAAATTAAGCAAATTATTATAGTGACCGCAAGTCATAACAGAATGGGAATTCAACTGCAGATATAAACAGTGACAATTCTTATCACCATAAAGGCATCACTAGCATCCAAAATATAACAACACTTAATGTTATTTATATGGTGCACTATGACCACTTCCAATAAAGCTAGAAAATATTCCAGTATGTCCTTTATCATCTTTTTCTGATATATTCTTCATATAGTGGAAGTTTTAGTTGTAGTCCAAACTATTCTCAACATATCAGACACATATTGGTATTTCCAGGAATTAAATTCGCATGAGGATATTTGAAAGAAAGGCTTACACATATCCGAGGAAGGGGCATTTGGGAGCTGCATGGAGAAATTTGTCTCCAGACTCCAGCCTTGCAAAGAGAGCTGTGGTAGACAGAAGCTGAAAGACCTCGTCTCCAGGAAACATTGAGTTGTTTGTAGCATAAGAAGCCCTGCTTTATGTAATGATGTGTGAATCAAGGAGTAGCAGAAATGGATTTCCACCCCTTATTCCCCCACCACCATTTTGTGAAGATGAAGCATGGCCTCTTTGCATCAGGAAATACGGGGCGATTTAAGGACATCAAGGGACTGCTACAGCAACAGCGACAGCAGCAGGAGGCTAGGAATGCTTTAAAAGAAGACATCAGAGTCGGCCAAGAGATGGCTCAGGAGTGGATGCTCAAGATAGCAACAAAGAATCCTGACCCTGCTTTATGGCAGCAAAGGATGTGGCAACAAGAAAGAATTACCATGACTGATGCTTTTGTGATAGAGAGGGCTTTGCGTTCAGCAACTGTGATGCATGGCTTAGGGAGTCTCGGCAACTCTTGTTAATGAAGGGTTGAAGGCCCTGCATTACCTGGTGTAGAAAAGAGCCAGGGAAAAGGCAGCACCTATTATTAAGATGTTCCTAATTTACTCTTTTGATGAAATCTTTGTAAATGTGGGTTATTTTTGCTAGCTTGTATTATCTGTAAAAAAATGATATATAGTCTATTTTGAAAATTATACCAGGTTAATGGTTGTTTTTATGCTTTAATCATCACCTAGAAATCATCAGTGTGCTAGGTATCTTACTGCCACCACTAGTCTACAACTTTCCCGGATGAGCCTCAACCACTGCTTAAAAAAACTCATCCACCCAAGGTTCATGATGTTTAACTTTCCCTTCAGAAAGGTCTGTGCTCTCTGAAGTCAGGAGTAATGGAGGTGAAAAGGCATGAAGAGCAGAGAGCAAAGGAAGAGGCAGGTGAGGAAGCTTTTTATATTGTGAATTTTCCCTTTGATCCACATAGTGACAGTTCAGAGTGGATTTTAAGTATAGGAACTATGGGGATGAGCTCTGGGTCCATATTCTGGGCTTAAGTGGAAGGTGATGGTAAGGGAGGTTTTGGCAAAAAGCACAAGGTGATAGAGGAATTGGTGGTGTCACCTATTGAGGCACTTGGAAGATCTGTAATGGCATCATGATGAGGTCACCACAGACAGCTTCTTATGCCTTTTTTTCCAAACTTTCTCCATCTTCTACTCCAATTCTGATATTTCAGTTCAAGGATTTAAAGTTTTCAAATTTTGTACCAGTCGTGCAAAGTAAATTCTGCTAACATCCTTTGTTACTAGATTTTGCCTATTTTGTCATGTAGTGCATTTTTGTAGTTGAGGGACATTATTATTTAAAGAGATTTTGTGAATTAATCTATGGGTATACATAGTATATATGACACCATTCCCGTGGAGGTATGCATTTTGAAATCCAATCAAATAACAGCTATGCAATTGTGTGGGCAGGATAATGCACTACCGAACTCACCCAAAAATATATCTACATCTTAATCCCTGGAACCTGTTAATATGTTACCTTATAAGGCAAAAGGAACCTTGCAGGTATGATTTTGGTTAAAGAAATCAAGATAGGTAGAATTACCCTCTGTCATCTTGGTGGCCCATCTAATTATGAATCTCTAAAAGCAAAAATTCTCTCCCAGCTGAGTCATAGGTTGTCATCAGAGAAAGATGTGATAATGGAAAAGTGGTCAAAAGGATGCAGTGTTCTTATTTTGAAGATGGAGAAAGGGACCTACGAGGTAGGGAATGTGGGTGGCTTCTAGAAGAATAAAACAGATTTTCTGCTAGGACCTAGTGGAAGGAATGCAGCCCAGCCAAAACCTTGATTCCAGCCCATTGAGACCTATTTTGTGCTTCTGACCTCCAAAACTGTAAGACAATAAATTTCTATTGTCTAAGCCACTGTTTGTCATCATGTATTAGAGCAGCTTTAGAAATCTAATGCAACAATAGAACCTAACCAATTAGTAAGTTAGAAGACCCCTTGTATTGATTGCTTCTTTGAGGTTTACAAAATACAGCATTTTAGGCCAGGCACAGTGACTCACATCTGTAATCCCAGCACTTTGGGAGGCCAAAGCAGGTAGATCACTTTAGGCCAAGAGTTCAAGACCAGCCTGGCCAACATGGCAAAACCCCGTCTCTACTAAAAATACAAAAATTAGCTGGATGTGATGGCGGGTTCCTGTGGCTTCAGCTACTCGGGAGGCTGAGGCAGGAGAATCGCTTGAACCCAGAGTGGGAGGTTGCAGTGAGCCAAGATCGCACCATTGCACTCCAGCCTGGACAACAAAGTAAGACTCTGTCTGAAACAAAACAAAACAAACAACTATTTTTTCACCCGGGCACTGTCCACTGACCTATACGCAGGTGCATACCTACAAATACATGCATATACATACACATTCTACTATTTTGTGACTCTGTTTAGGCACAGAGCTGAGGGTTTAATGACTGTTCTCTCATTTAGTCATCATCCATTACCATTTCAGGAAAGGACTAGTGCTGCTCTTCAGAGATAAGAAAGCAAGTTTTATAAAAGTGGTGATTTTTTAAAGATTATACAGTTAGTAAGTGAAGAAACTGAACTAATCAGGCCTGTTTCGCTCCAAAGCATTCTTTCTCTACTGCCACACAATGCATTCAAAACTAAAACTGTTACGCAGGGTGTTATTTGTGCTTTATTTAAATCCATTATGTAAACCAGAATAGTATAAATCATGAAAGATGCACAAAGTGATAAAATTAAGTGATGTAAACACAATAAATAAAGATCCTCATGGCACAGTGATTTTCTGAGCTCAAAAGATTCTATTATAATCTTAAGATGACTTTTTATAGAAAAAAAGAATCTGCTCCCTTTCTAGAAAGGAATTGCCAAAGCATTACATTGTTACACATCATCTTGATATATGCAATCTAAGATACATGAAACATTGTGAGATTTTGGACATGCTTATGAGGAGCTATATCTCAAATGTAGATGAATGTACTTTTTAATACTTGTCATATGCTCCTTTCCCAAGACTGTCAGCTCTACGTCTGATTTCAGTTCATTCCCACAATTCACACGGACAGGCCTACTGGGCTTGGAGTTTGTGTCCCACTTTGAGATTTTGTACCCATGCCTTCTGAGACAAAGTGTTAGAAAATAGGGTGCCCAGCTAAGATTTGTGGACATTGAGTGTCAAGAAAGAGAGAGGCACCAGAACTAAAATAATTATAAAATAAAAACAGAGTAATTATAGTGGGAATTAGGTTGTGTGTGTGTGTATGTGTGTGTGTGTTTGTGTGTGTGTATATGTATTTTCCTGATCCTTGTCCTAGGCTGCAGAACAGCATCATGAGAAAGATTGTAAAGGCAAAGAACTGAGATATATGACTGAAAGCCTGAAATATGAGGCCCTTGTTAATACTCGTAAAAGCACTCTGCTTCCAAACTCACATGAGAAAGAAAAATTGAGTCATTATCATTCTATAAATTAGTCATTTTGAGAACTACCTAGTTCTTTGGTTGCCCTTCTTATAATAAAATGTTTTGCTACTACCTAATAAATCTTTATTTTAAGGCAAAACAATGTCCAACTTGAGATTTCTGCTGTCGAGAAAAAAACATCCCATCAATTCAACAGGTCCTAGCATTGTGGCAACTGAATCTGAAGAGAATGTAGTTTAACCCAGTGGAGTACATATAACATCTTTATTTTTTTTTTTGAAGTTGATTAAGGTAGACCAGTTGGTACCTGTGGAGTGCCAAGCATGAGCTAGACATTGAACAACACGCGTCTGCAAGACTGCTTCTTGCCCCATGGGCTAATCTTTCAGCGCACACTGATGTGATTGGGGGCTGATGAAAGAATAAGACACAAAAAAGATAAAAGAGCCTTTGTCATAAATGTAAAAGAGTTTTTTCTCCTTTGAGGTTTAATTATATTTTGCTTCATAAAATCCCTTAGAATAGTATACTTGGAAATTTATTCTCCAGTGAATTTTATCAGGGTAGTTGTCAGAGAATAAACATGAGAAGCAGTGTCTAGAGGAAAGCAAAAACATTATGATTAAGAAAATACACTCGAATACAAATATATCTCCAAGGTCTGGGATTTATTGTTCTTTAAATTTTCAGAAACAATAATCATTTCCACAACGATCATTTCTAACAGAGGTATTTCAAGAGTTTTCCAAATCATGTTAAGAAAATAGAAATAGAAGCTAGAAGAAAATTGAATCGGAATCAGGAAATACAGGCTTGGTCAGGGCCTACTTTAGTTGCATACAATTTGAACTTTTTCTAGAAAGAATTTCCTGTGACTGGTGAATATTTTGTTCTTCTCATTTCTGTGGGTTCATTTGTATTAATTTATCTCAAGCTCTGTGGATTTAGCATCTTTATCTGATTCATCTTTCATCCCTCAAATGTATTAGTGCAGTGTAGGCACGTAGTAGGTACAGAATGTTAATAATTATTTTCTTGCAATAATAAAAGAGTGAGGAAAGGCTTGGATGAAGTAGCTCCTTAGCTCCAAAGACCAAAAACTGAAAGTCTACCTATGGGTTTAAAAACTCTGTTATTATAAAAGTCATTCGTATTATGAAATACTTTAAACAGTTTGGATGACATTTAAATTAAATGGAACAAAGTTGCTTTTAAACTTCCATATATTGAGGTTTGCAATTGACCTACTCCGTGGCAGTATTTTTATGTACACCTCCCATTAATTTCTAATGTCTACTGACATTGTTCTCTGTATTGTGTCTGCCCAAATGGATTGAGGCCATCCAGAGAGAGATATATTAGAATCAGCAGAAAGTGATTATAGCTGGCATCTGGCAGGAGTCATTTTCTCTTAAGGCTTTGACACGTCATTCCTGGTATATCAGTTCTATTAGCTATCTAAAGGCACCAGATGTACCGTAGGAGATTATGCCAATAAATCTTTTGTGAATTATATATAGTTTTTACTATTGCTGATCCATTGCCATTCACGCAAGCTCAACCACGTTTGTCTAGGAATGGATTCCAATTTAAGCTTCTTAGGTGCTTCCTTACTGAAAAAATGTTTCTGAAAGTTGTTCTTGCATGATATGACATAATATCAGAGATAAACTCTTTCAGCAGATACTGGTTTATTGATAAGTTATTTCATCTGTTTGACTTCAGATTTTTCAGTAGATTATTATCTTGGTGAATTCACTAGATACTGCAAGTATATTTTTAGTAAAATATTTTCTGTAAGATCTAACAGTCATTAATTCCATCTGTGTAAAATGGTGATTGGTAGATAGTGCAAAATATGTAACAAAGTGAATGTCTCAAAGATAATATTTAGCAAAGATCATTTGATGATAGATGTGAATTTATTGAAGTTACGTTTTTACATAGTTCTGCATATACTTTTTTGGATTGCCTTTCTTCACTTTATGAAAACTGGCCGCAGTTAACCTCATTCGTAAACAAGGTTCTTATTCCTTATAGCCATGTGTAGTTTCTACCTCTACGCTTATTTAAATTGTACGCTTCTTTCTGAGCTCAGTTTATGTTTGATCTTTGAAAATTATTATTAATTTTTAGTAATCATTAATACATTCTCTATCTTAATAACTACTGCAACACGTAGAGCCAGAAATAACTATCACACTTGGGTTTTTTTTTTTTTTCCAAATAGTGGTTGAATTTCTATTCACGTCTCAAGACCCAGATCAAGTATTTCCACTCTGATCCATCTGAGAAAATTGATCACTGCATCCTTCCTGCCACTCTGATGCCTGACATACACCATTATCTTTGTATTTGTCATACTCTCTTGCTGTTTTCTATTTTTATTTTGGTGTCACCTACCCTTCTTTCCTGAACTCTTTTGGTTTTTGCTTCTCACTATAAAATATAACAGAAGCAAAATTAAAATACAATGTAACAAAAATATGAGCTTTTCTCTATCTTTGTTTTTCATTGTATCTAATAAGACTAAAATCTATTAATATATTCATGCGTTTTAAACATTTGCTTCTGCTCTTAAGCAATTTAATCACTGAGTTTTCATTGGTTTTACAGGTATTTACGGAATGGCTACTACTGGGCTCATTTCTCTGCTTGGTGCAATGGGGAGAACACATAGTATTAAACAGAGTATTTACCTCAAAAGAATTTATTTCTCTTTAGGGAAACAAAATACAGATGCCTGAAAAACATCAACACTACACTACACAGAATCTGAGATTTTTGGCAATGAAGAAGTATATGTAAGGGCAAACATAATGAACTGAGTGGGGATATGTGATATGCAGAGCTGTCTTACATATAGGTGTCTTCATGCAAAATAATGGACAGCCTTCAGAGATCTAAAGTTAGCATTTTAGATTCCTTTTATACCAGTATCAATTCCTTTGCACAGCATTCTTAGCAACTTGCCTTTGTCTGAAAATTCTTGCCTTTCAGTTTGCACACTGAAGTTGAAAATAGATTCGTCCATGAAAAATTAAGAATAGAGAATTGGACATAATAAAACATCCTTATGGAACATTTTGGCCATGCCACTATTCATCTCTAGCTTTTGGTCAGTCTGTGAGATTTAATACTCAAGAACCAGTGGATCCACTTACTGCAAGTTGTCTCACCTGCAGTGAAGTCATCATTTTTAAGCCTGATTTGCTCTTCCAAGAAAAGGACAGGTAAAACAAAACCAAAAGCCAAAAACCAAAACCCTGTATCATGGTTATCCTCAAATGTTTTACTTAATAGGATCAAGGATCTCGCTCATATTTTTTGATTGTGAGATGCTGGTGCATGAATAAAGTGGTTGATCATGGTTTTATGATGTCAGAGAAACTTCCATAATACTAAATCTGACACTATTAATTTCTCTCCTATAATTGTGTCAATAGCATTTTGTAATTTAATATTAAATCATTTTTTATAAATAACAGATTGGGCATCAGTCTGCCTTATTCTGATGTCTGTGGGAGGCAAGCCAAAGATACAGCTGATGAAATACAACCTTAGACAAGCTCCATCTGTCCCATTTAGACGATATACAGTGTCAGATCTCAGTAGCGGAAGTAATAACTGCAAGCTGCTCTCCAGGGCAGACAGCAAGAGAGGGCTACTGATCACATTGATTAAAATAAACAAACCCTTTGGGTGGGTTGTAGTAAGTATAAACTTGAACTAGATAACCACTTTCAAAGAGATTTCTGCATTTAGGGCCAGTGTTATGGTGAAAAATGAGGCCAGCTCATTTCAAATATATGTACTTTTTATTTGGTCATTAAGAAAATATTTTGGAAGAAACGTTGCTTTCCCTCCTTTAGAAAATAACATTGAAAGGACACAGACCTGTACAAAATGTTTCCCAAAATTATCAGGACTCAGGGGTATCTTTAAGCTGGATCAGGAGCCTATAATTCAGTCAGGCTTTCCAGAGAAGTTTCCAAAAATAAGGTCAGCAATGGAAGAATGTGTTTTATCCAGGGTCTAATGGAAGCCTATCTTTCCACTCTGAGCTTTAATGGGAGTCTCAATTATCAGATAAAAGCCATTAATGCAGATGGACTTCCTGGAAGCAGAAAACTTCTAAAAACCCTAAAACATATTGAATGATGTGGGAATTCTCCCAGAAAAGGTTTCCATTTGAGGTTATCAGTAAGTATGTAGAAATATTTCAAGGTTAAACTTTTTGCTATTGCTTATTTCTAATAAATATTAAACTGGTTCATACACTAGTCATCTAGTCAGCCCTTACAAGCAAAATCTGAAGCGGTTTTGAGAACACTGAAAATGAGCAAAGGTGATTCAGTCTAAACTAGAGTGAACTTTTTTTTGTAATCACAAAATGAAGCTTGATTGTCCATATGTGTATAATCGACTTCTATGATCAAAATTTATTTTAGCCTGACTTTTTTATATTTCACTGCAAATTTGGTGAAGAAGAACATAAGATTATTTTTTAACTCAATGGCAATAGTTCATTTTTATAATTATCGAGCAACATTTATTGAAGAACAGCTAAGTATATATTTTGTCTTGAACTCTAATGAGAATGTTATTATGTAGAAGTGAAGCAATCTTTTTTTCTGAAACAGGAAGCTATCCAGTAAATTGAATTGTGGTTACACAAGATGCTAACATAACTCTAGGAATGGAAAGCATTTTCATAAAGCATCAAGCAGATATCTAAGTGGGCAAATCAACATTTTAAATATCATGCTTCCTTAATCATCAAATAAGAAGGTCAAGTTATATGATTTCTAAAATTCTTACTGCTTCATCCTCTTTGATTGATGAATTATATTTATAAATGAAAATAGCACAAACTCACTGTTACCCATATCTGTAGCATGTAATATTTTAGAAATCTTTGAATGTCTTCTAGGTCGGAGTTTTTCAACCTCAGCACTATTGACATTTGTGGCCAGATAATTCTTTGTTGTGGAGCTGTCCTGTGCTTTATAGAATATTTAGCAGCATCTCTGTCTTCTAACTACTAGAAACCGTTAACAACCTATCCACTTTCAGTTGTAATTAGGGAAATACAAGTTAAAACAACAATGAGATACTTTTATACACCCAATTAATATGGTTAAAATTTAAAAAGTTAGATATTATCAAGTGTTAGCAAGAATATCAAGTGCTGAACAACAGAAATTCTGTTAAACATACTGGTGAAATATAAGTTACTTACTCTGAACCAGTTTGATGTTACCTACCAATGTTGAAGATAGTCTTACCCTTTGACTAGTAGTTTTTCTCATTTTATGCATTCCAGAAATGAGTATTTAGTTTCACTAGAATGCATGTAGAAGAATGTTTATAGAATCTTTTTCTGTAGTAGTCCCATACTGGAAATGTTTTATATCGCGGGAGAATGGTTTAAAAATAAGACATATTTATAAATCAGAACACAGATACGAAAATGAGTTAAAAATAGATACACAACAATAACATGGATAGGTATTAAAAACAGTTTTCAGCAAAATAATTTATACACAAAAGGAAACATACTCTGTGATTTTATTCACATAAAGTTCAAAACAGGCAAAAATAAACCATATTATTTAGAGATATATCATTAAGGGTTAAAAGTATAAAGATAAATGTAGGTTAACCTTGGGAGGGAGAAAGGGTGTTGTCACCAGTAAGGGGCATTTGGGGACCTTTTAAAGGACTAGTAATAGTTTTTCTCTCGTTCCTGGCTATCAGATATATAAGTGTTCATAGTGTAGTAACTCATTACATTGTACATTTATACTTTAGCATTTTTCTGCATGTGTGCTTTGTTTCCACAAACATAAAAACTGAAAGTTATTTACTTGCACTAAAACCATGAAACTGGCACACGGGTAAAATGTTTTGAAATTTTTTACAGTCTTCAAGTAGAAGAAAATTGTTCAAATAAAGGATCCAGCTAGAAAGCATCTCTGAATTTTTAAAGTTTTTAGTGGATTTCATAGAGATTTTGAAGAAAGAGGCATTCATTTAAAACAAAGAATAGATTAAGAGACAGTGTAACATAACCAATTACAATTTCAGACCTTTCAAATGGAGTCCAAGGTCTTCATACTATACATCTAAGTGCCTTTGAATTATTTCTACTTCTTCTTTCACATTAACTTTCGAGTTGCTCTTTTTGACAAATATTGAAGATGAAGTAATGTAAGGCCAGTTACACGTATTTCACAGGTAGGTGGGTCACTACCCTTTCTTCTTATCATCCTAATCATCTCATTATATAACCAACACCACTTTTATCCTTTAAAAATTGCATACCTTATCAAAGATTCTCTTGCTCTAGATCTCATAATTTCCAGCGATCAGAGTACACCTTTTTCTTCCTCCATTAGTCAAATCTGTAAGCTAAAACCTGTATCTCTAACCATTTTCTGTGCGTTCTGTCCTGTTCCAATGGAAGAAATTACCCTGTTGCTATCAAATCCAAATCTTTATATCCCTCATGCTTTTATTGTCTCTTTTCTTTCTGAAAATATTTCCTCTTCCTGATTTTCAATATTTTTTCTCCAGAAATCAACAGTCTTTTCTTTTTATCAGCATAAAACGTATAGTAGTATTTCCCATCTTAAAAAAAATCCTTTCTTTACAGCCCCCTTCAGTCATATACCTATTTCTGTGCATCCCTTCACAATAAACTTTTCAAATATGTTATTTACACTGATATGTCTATATTTCTTCAAAATTCTTTAGGTCTCAAATTTGTTTCTGGACAGTCAAGATAAGTCTATCTATCTGTTCATGGTTGTCATCTGTATATTCCCCTGAATCTCTGAATCTACTCCTGTCAGAGAGCACCAAAACCACCAATTTTTAAAAAATGTAATTACCACCTCAGCATCCTTATCCTTCTCAAAACCTAAGCAGCTTTCAAATTTGACCTGTCTTTTTTGAAACATTCTCTTTACTTGGCTTTTTTTTTTTTCCATATTTACACTCCTTATTTAGGTAAGCTTGCCCAGCGTCAAGGCTCAAAAGTCTATCTATATGCTGATGTTGCCCAGTTGTATATCTTGTCTAGAATTATCCCTTGATATTCAAATTTTTATTTTCAAATGACTATATGATGTCTCCACTGGGATGTTAGGTGAAACCATCTTAAATTCAGTAAGACTAAATATGGAGTTCTCGATTCTTTCCTCTCCATCTCTCTACCTTCCCTGTTCTTTCCCATTTTATCATTAATTATTAAATTAAAAATCTAGTTAATTCCTCTGCTTATCTCATCTGCCTACTCATATTCCAAATATCAATAGACCTTTTAAATTAACTCCCAAAATATTCTGCATTTGTCCACTTGTCTCCACTACTACCACAGAATTTCCAAGCCACCATCATTTCTTGCCTAGATTTCTTTGCCAGTATCTGATTTGTTTTTCCTAGTTTTATTCTTACTTATTTTCCAATATGTTGTAGACACAAGAGAATCAGTTTTTTAAATTAATTTTTAATTTAATAACATCTTACTTAAAACCTCAGTGGCTTAATTGCTCTTGTAAATAAGTTAAAATTCCTCACCAGACTACATGAACCTACATAACCCAAATTCTGCCTTCCTTTCCAACTTCATGTTTTGCTACCCACTGAGCTTCATGAGCAATGATCATTTTCTGTCACCTTCTTGAACACCCCAAGTATTTTCCTACTCAGAGCCTTTGCACCTGCTCTGCCTTATGCTTGGTTCTTTTCCCAACTCTTCCTGACAGCTTATTTTTATTTTCGAAACTTCAACTCTTTAAAACAGCTTCCAAATATGCACACATATTTCAGTTACTTTCTACGACAGTACACAGTTCATATCCTTTATAGAAACAATCACAAACTGTAATTCTCTTGTTTGATCATTTATTAGTTTAATATACATTTACCTAGTAATATAAGCTGCAAGAGACAAGGACTTTACCTGCCACTGTACCAATACCTAGGAACTGCCATGCACCTACCAGATTCTCAGTAAATACCCATTGCAACTGTAACAGCGTGGTTGATTGAAGTAATTAACTAAGTACCCAATTAAGTAATGAGTGAGATAAACAAAGCCGTTATTTCTAGAAACATGGTATCTATCAGTTTTTAAAAATTGTCATTGGATACAATTTTTAAGAGGATAGATCCTAGGAAGAAGTTGATCTAGGAACTTCCTGATCTGAGTTTTATGTTTTTGTCTATTTTGGATGCAGATAGTTAGCTTTGAGAGAAGAATGGGAAAGACGAGACTTTTTGCTTTCAAGATGTTATTAAAAGCAGTTAAAAGAGAGGTGTGGTTTAGGGCATTTTTCTGAAAAAAAAAGATTATTGTATATTTAATGAAATAGTTTGATCAACAATAATTGAAGTGAAATGTTGATGGTCATATCTTTTTGGTGCAGTCATTTTTTTTCTCATCTAAGATGGGTTCTGATTTCACACATAACTAAGGCTGTTAGAGCATTTATTTCCTGTGAATCAAATCAATTTTATTTTTAAAATTTATTTTGGTCTCATATTTGTCTCTGGACATTCAAGATAAAAAAAGAAAAATAGTTTGTTTTAACTAAGTTTTTGAGTGAATATTATAAAGCCTGCATATTAAAGGTACACAGAAAATATTTTTTAATAAAAAAGAATTATATATCTGGTAATTGATTATTTCTTACCTGGTGAATTCCCCATCTTACTAGACTTTTTTTTTTTATTTAATCACATTTATTTGCTAAACAAAGTCAGAATATTTTGAAATTTTCTCTGTAAATCTATTTTTATCCCTCCAACTATAACAGATTTCTGACATTTCTGCACAAGGTTGTCAGCTTATAGAATCAAATAGACTTACGAATTTTGAAAATAAACCTGAGAGATGCTATAGTTATTCCTATTTCACAAATGTGGGAACTAAGGTACAGAGAAATTAATTTACTTGCCTATAGTCACAAAGATTGTAAGTGACAGAGCCAGGCTTGAAAGCTCTGTAGTCTGACTCCACAATTTGCCTGTTAACCTCTAAACTACAACACTGTTTATTGGCACCTGGTTTGCTTTTCTGAGTGAATTTAATATCATAATACAGTAAGATTTAGTGATACATTTCATATAATTGAATTTTGCAAATTTAGTGTTTTGAAGTTTTTCTTATCACTCAAATGAGTCAGTGTACATAGTGTGAGATTTTGATTCTGATTTTTTTTTGGTATAAAATGAGAATAATAACACTATTCCTAGTACCAAGTAGGATATTGTAGACATTTAAAAATGTAAGATTTATTCCACCCCCTTGAATCAGAGATATGAATTTTTATATTCTAGAATAAAAATCTGAGATGGGATTCAAGTGCTAGTGACTGAAGATGTCTTCAGAAGAAGGCAACTGGAGGAAACATAATAGATTAGGGGAAGAAGATAAGCAAAAATGTAAGTTTAACCTTATCTTGATTACACTGGGAGCTCTAGAGTGCCAATTACACTGGAGATTTGTTCCTTGATACAAAGGGAACAGCCATTTTAATCTGTCTGTCATTGGCTACCGACTATGAGGAAAGAAGGATGAGGATGAGGAATGGTGTGCATATTCCACAAGACAAATAGCTCCTATTTAGTCAGTGGCAGCTGTCTAGAGAAGAGGTAGCTGTGACCCTTAATCAACCAGCTTATAGCAGATGGGGGATGCCTGCATCTGCCCTGGTAAAGGGATTTGGGTGAGGGCCCAACAGTATCTACTATATTAATGGTGTCCAGAATTTGAAATCACAATTCACATATGTTATAGGCCTCCTTAAGTCATGAATAATATGATTGAGATGTTAAATTAACCACTGACTGTGTGCATTTGTCCCTCAGCATGGTGATACTGCTAAGATTTACAGAGCTTAATTCAAAGTGGATGAGATTTTCTAAAAAAATTAAAACTTGGAGCTTTGAGGCCTGACCTTTATTTTTTGCACTCAGTGAATTATAAAATAATTAGCAGTTTCCATGTCACCATGACACAAGTTGCTGGTACTATTATCAGCATAACATGCTGTGGAATTAACATGAAATATACTACAAGAAGTCACAAAATTATAAGAAAATCAAAACGTAGCTGTAATATTGGGAGTGAGTCAAACTTTTATAAAATTTTATATTGCTTACGTATTTCTTCAATAACTAATCCTTAAACACAAATGAGCTTGTCCCATGATGGAATAATTAATCTCTGAGATCCTCCTTTATTCAGTCTGACTTTCTGGCATGTTTTCCACTTCCCATGATCCTCACATGTTCTCCCTTCTGTCATTCCTCGGTTCAGTCTTGCCACAAAAGCTCTTTGAGAACGCGGTGAGTGTGTTCACCCTTCTCTCTGACACACATTCCACAGCATCTTTTGATAGAAATGTATGTTTTGCTGTTGTTATATGACATGTTCTGCACATCTGTCAGGTCAAGTTCACTTATGGTGTCATTCCATCCTCCTATTTCCCCATTGATCTTCTGCCTAGTTGTTCTATCCACTGTTGAAAGTAGAATATCCAGGCTTCCAGTTAATATCCAGGCTTCCAGTTATTATTATTGAATTGTCTATTTATCTCTACAACTCTGTCAGTTTTTACTTCATATGTTTTTGGGCTCTGTTGTTAGATTCACATATGTTTAGAATTGTTATATTGTTTCTACTAATTTCCTCTATAATTATAGAATGTCTTCTTTTTTTTAGTAACAAGTTTTGTTTCAAAGTATCTTTTGTCCCTTTTATTAGCATTTGCATGGCATATAATTTTCTATTCTTTTATTTTACTTCAATATAAGGTTGGTCTTTTGTAGAGTTGGAACATTTTTCCTATCAAGTGCACATGGAGGATTCATCAGGATAAACCATATGCTAGGCCATAAACAGTGCCTCAATACATTCAAAATAATTAAATTCATACAAAATATGTCCTTCAACTATAGTGGAATTAAACTAGAAATCAATAAAAGAAAGAAAATGTGAAAATTCACAAATATATGGAAATTAATTGACACTTCTAAATAACCAATAGGTCACAGAAAAAATCACAAAAAATTAGAAAATATTTTGAGATAAATGAAAATAATACAGTATATCAAAACTTACGGAGTGTAGCTACAGAAGAGCTTAGAGAAAATTTCATACATATAAATGTGTATGTTAAAAACAAGAAAAAATTCAAATCAATAACCTAACATTTCAACTTAAGACTAGAAAAAGAAAACTAAACCCCAATAAAATGTGAGGCAGGAAATAATAAAAATTAGAGAAAAAAATAAATAAAGCAGACAACATAGAAACAATAAAGAAAATCCTTAAAACCTGAAGTTTGTTCTTTGAAAGAATCAATGACATTAAGAAACCTTTAGCTAAAGTGAAGAAAATAAAAGGAGAGAGGATGTAAACTAATAATAGAAATGAAAGAAGGGGATTACTATTGACTTTAGGGAAATAAAGACGTAAGGTAAACTATTGGGTAATTATATGAACAATTATATGCAACAAATCAGATAACCTAGATTAAATAGAAATATTTATAGATGGACACAAACTATCAGAATTGTCTCAAGAATAAAATTTTAAAATATGACCTATAACAAGTAAAGACATCGAATTTGTATTTACCAACCTCTCAATGAGAAGCCCAGACCTAGCTGGCTTGAATGGTCAATTCTACCAAACTTGTAAAGAAAAATTCATATCATTCTTTTAAAATCTCTTGTAAAAGTACAGGAAGAAGGAGCACTTCCCAACTCATTCTATGAGGCAAGTATTAATTACCCTGATACTAAATCCAGCCAAACACAACACAAAAGGATAATCACTGCCCAACAACCTTATTTATATGGTTGTAAAAATGCTCAAGAAAAAAAAAATGCCAGAAAACAAAATCCAGTAACATATAAAAAGACTTATATACCATGATTGAGTGGGACTTATCTCAGGAATGGTAGGGTTGTTTAACATCTTAAAAATCCATTAATGTAATACTTCCTATCAATAGAATATATAACAAAAATTGCATGATCACTTGAATAGAAGCAGAAAAAGCATTTGACAAGTTGCAACACCACTTCATTGTAAAAATAGTAAACAAACTAGAAATAGAAAATAATTTCTTTAACATGATAAAGGGCACCTATAAAAAACCCTCAGATAACATCAAGCTTAATGGTCAAAGACTGGATGTTTGTTTTGCAAAGATCAGGAGCAAGTCAAGGATGACTGCTCTTGCTCTGTCTATCTAATATTATACTAGCGGTTCTAGACAAGTTAATTCATCAAGAAAAAGAAATAAAAGGTACCCAGATTGGAAATGAGGAAAGTAAAATCATGTACATGAAATGTCAGATGAAATGGTCTTGTACATAGAAATCCAAAGGAATCCACTACAAATCTACTAGAATCTATCAATGACTTCAGCAAGGTTGCAAGATACAAGATCAATATACAAAAATCTATCGTATTTTTATACACTTGTAATTACTAATGAAAAAATAAAATTAAAATCCCACTTGCAATAGCATCACAAATAATAAAATATTTTAGAATAAATTTAACAAAACAAGTATAAAATTTATACTTTAAAACTATGTAATATTTTAAAGAAAGAAAATTTAAAAGACCTAAATAAATAGAAAGACATTGTGTCCATGGATGGAAAGACAATGTTGTTAAGATAGCAATAGTCCCCAAATTGATCTATAGATTTCATATAATCTCTATTAAACTCTCAGCTGACTACTTTGCAAAAATTGATTAATTAATTCAAAAATTTATATGTGACCTAGGAGACAAGGGACTTAGAAGAGTCAAAAAAAGTATCAAAAATGAACAGAGGACTTCATGATTTTAAAACTTGTTGCAAAGTTATAGTAATTAAGGACAGTATGCTACTGGCATAGGGATAGATGTATAAATCAATGGACTATAATTAAGAGTCCAGAAATAAACCCATATGTCAACTGATTTTTGACAAAGATGCAGAGACCATACAAAGGGGGAAAGAATATTCTTTTAAACAAATGGATAGACATATGCAAATGGATGAAATTGTATACATACCTTACACCATATACAAAAATTAATTCAAACTGGATAAATACTTATATGTTAAGAGCTAAAACTATAAAAATCTTGGAAGACAACATACGGATACATGTTTATGTTCTTGGATTTGACAAAGGATTTTTGAATATGACACCAAAAGTACAGGCAACAGAAGAAAGTGAATAAATTAAACTTTACCAAAATTTAAAAAATCTTGTGCATTAAAAAATGCCATCAAGAGGCCGGGCACAGTGGCTCATGCCTGTAATCCCAGCACTTTGGGAGGCCAAGGCGGGCAGATCATGAGGTCAGGAGATCGAAACCATCCTGGCTAACACGGTGAAACCCCATCTTTACTAAAAATACAAAAAATTAGCCAGGTGTGGTGGCGGGCACCTGTAGTCCCAGCTACTTGGGAGGCTAAGGCAGAAGAATGGCATGAACCCCGGAGGCAGAGCTTGCAGTGAGCTGAGATCACACCACTGCACTCCAGCCTGGGCAACAGAGCAAGACTCCATCTCAAAAAAAAAAAAAAAAAAACCAAGAAAGTAAAAAGGCAACCCACAGAATAGGGAAAAAAATTGCCAATTATGTATTTGATAAGGGACTTGTATTTAGAATATGTATAGAAATAACTCTATTTGAAATGAAACACAAAATAAAGAAGATAAAAAATTACAAGTGTTGATGATGGTATGGTAAAATTGAAACTCACGTGCATTGTGGGTTGGAATATAAAATGACTCAGCCACTTTGGAAAATGGTGTGGCAGTTCCTCAAAATTAAATATGGACAGGTTGCCGGCAAGATGGCCAAACAGGAACAGCTCCATTCTGCAGCTCCCAGCGAGATCGATGCAGTAGGCGAGTGATTTCTGCATTTTCAACTGAGGTATCCGATTCATCTCACTGGGACTGGTTGGAAAGTAGATGCAGCCCAAGAAGGGCGAGCTGAAGTAGTTTGGGGCATTGCCTCACCTGGGAAGTTCAAGGGGTCAGGGAACTCCCTCTCCCAGCCAAGGGAAGCCATTAGTGACTCCACCGTGCACCCTGGTCCGGATACTGCGTTCTTCCATCCTCTTTGCAACCTGAAGACCAGGAGATTCCTTCTGGTGCCTACCCCAACAGGGCCCGCAGTTTCCAGCACAAAACTGGGCGGCCGTTTGAGCAGACACTGAGCTAGCCACAGGAGTTTCTTTTTCATACCCCAGTGGCGCCTGGAATGCTAGCAGGACAGAACCACTCACTCCGTGCAAAGGGGGTCGAAGCCAGGGAGCCAGGTGGTCTGGCTCAGTGGGTCTCACCCCCACAGAGCCCAGCAAGCTAAGATCCACTGGCTTGAAATTCCCATGCCAGCATAGCAGTCTGAGCTTGACCTGGGACACTCGAGCTTCGTGGGGGAAAGGGGCGTCTGCCATTGCTGAGGCTTGTGTAGGCAGTTTCATCCTCACAGTGTAAACAAAGCTGCCAGAAAGTTCGAACTGGGCAGAACCCAACGCAGCTCAGCAAGGCCACTGCGGCCAGACTGCCTCCTCTCCGGGCAGGGCATCTCTGAAAAAAAAGGCAGCAGCCCCAGTCAGGAACTTATAGATAAAACCCCCACCTCCCTGGAACAGAGCACCTTGGGGAAGGGGCGGTCGTGGGCGCAGCTTCAGCAGACTTAAATCTCCCTACCTGGCAGCTCTGAAGAGAGCAGCAAATCTACCAGCACAGTGTTTGGACTCTGATAAGGGACAGACTGCCTCTTCAAGTGGATCCCTGACCCCCATGTATCCTGACTAGGAGACACCTCCCAGTAGGGGCCGAAAGACACCTCACAGAGGACAGCTCTGGCTGGCATCTGGCAGGTGCCCCTCTGGGAAGAAGCTTCCAGAGGAAGGAACAGGCAGCAATCTTTGTTGGTCTGCAGCCTCCGCCGGTGATACCTAGGCAAGCAGGGTCTGCAGCAAACTCCAGCAGACCTGTAGCACAGGGTCCTGACTGTTAGAAGGAAAACTAACAAACAGAATAGTATCAACATCAACAAAAAGGATGTCCACTCAGAGGCCCCATCCGAAGGTCACCAACTTCAAAGACCAAAGATAGATAAATCCACGAAGATGGGGAGAAACCAGTGCAAAAAAGCCTGAAAATTCCAAAAAACAGAGCATCCATTTTCCTCCAAAGGACCACAACTCCTCGCCAGCAAGGGAACAAAACTGGGTGGAGAATGAGTTTGATGAATTGACAGAAGCAGGCTTCAGAAGGTGGATAATAACAAACTCCTCTGAGCTAAAGGAGCATGTTCTAACCCAGTGCAAGGAAGCTAAGAACCTTGAAAAAAAGTTAGATGAATAGCTAACTGGAATAACCAGTTTAGAGAAGAATATAAATGACCTGATGGAGCTGAACAACACAGCATGAGAACTTCATGAAGCATACACAATTATCAATAGCTGAATGAATGAAACAGAAGAAAGAATATCAGACACTGAAGATCAACTCAATGAAATAAAATGAGAACACAAGATTCGAGAAAAAAGAGTGAGAAGAAACAAACAAAGCCTCCAAGAATATGGGACTATATGAAAAGACCAAACTTAAGCTTGAATGGTGTACCTGAAAGTGATTGGGAGAATGGAACCAAGTTGGAAAACACTCTTCAGGATATCGAAGAGAACTTCCTCAACCTAGCAAGGCAGGCCAACATTCAAATACAGGAAATATAGAGAACACCACAGAGGTACTCATCGAGAAGAGCAACCCCAAGACATACAATCGTCAGATTCATCAAGGTTGATATGAAGGAAAAAATGTCAAGGGCAGAGAGAAAGGTTGGGTTACCCACAAAGGGAAACCCATCAGACTAACAGCGGATCACTCAGCAGAAACCCAATAAGACAGAAGAGAGTGGGGGCCAATATTCGACATTCTTAAAGGAAAGAATTTCCAACCCAGAATTTCATATCCAGCCAAACTAAGCTTCATAAGCGAAGGAGAAATACAATCCTTTACAGACAAGCAAATGCTGAGAGATTTTGTCACCACCAGGCCTGCCCTACAACAGCTCCTGAAGGAAGCACTAAACATGGAAAGGAACAACCAGTACCACACCATTGCAAAAAGATACCAAATTGGAAAGACCATCGACACTAGTGAGGAAACCGCATCAACTAACAGATAAAATAACCAGCTAGCATCATAATGTCAGGATCAAATTCACACATAACAATATTAACCTTAAATGTAAATGGGCTAAATGCTCCAAATAAATGACACAGACTGGCAAATTGGATAAAGAGTCAAGACTGATTAATGTGCTGTATTCAGGAGACCCATCTCACTTGCAAAGACACACATAGGGTCAAAATAAAGGGATGGAGGAATATTTACCAAGAAATTGGAAAGAAAAAAAGAGCAGGGGTTGCAATCCTAGTCTCTGATAAAACAGACTTTAAACCAACAAAGCTCAAAAGAGACAAAGAAGGGCATTACATAATGGTAAAGGGATCAATTCAACAAGAAGAGCTAACTATCCTAAATATACATGCACCCAATACAGGATCACCCAGATTTATAAAGCAAGTTCTTAGGGACATACAAAGAGACTTAGACTGCCAGACAATAATAGTGGGAGACTTTAACACCCTAGTGTCAACATTACACAGATCAGTGAGACAGAAGATTAACAAGGATATCCAGGACTTGAACTCAGCTCTGGACCAAGTGGCCCTAATAGACATCTACAGAACTCTTCACCCCAAATCAACAGAATATACATTCTTCTCAGCACCTAATTGCACTTATTCTAAAATTGGCCACATAATTGGAAGTAAAACACTTCTCAGCAAATGGAAAAGAACAAAAATCATAGCAGTCTCTCAGACAACAATGCAATCAAATTAGAACCCAATATTAAGAAACATTCAAAACTGCACAACTACATGGAAACTGAACAACCTGCTCCTGAATGACTACTGGGTAAATAATGAAATGAAGGTAGAAATAAAGATGTTCTTTGAAACCAATGAGAACAAAGACACAACGTACCAGAATCTCTGGGACACATTCAAAGCAGTGTGTAGAGGGAAATTTACAGCACTAAATGCCTGCAAGAGAAAGCAGGAAAGATCTCAAATCGGCACCCTAATATCAAAAATAAAACACCTAAAGAAGTAAGAGCAAACAAATTCAAAAGCTAGCAGAAGACAAGAAATAACTAAGATCAGAGCAGAACTGAAAGAGATAGAGACACGAAAAACCCTTCAAAAATCAATGAATCCAGGAGCTGGTTTTTTGAAAAGATCAACAAAATAGACCACTAGCCAGAATAATAAAGAATATAAGACAGAAGAATCAAATAGGTGCAATAAAAAAATGATAAAGGTGATATCACCACCGATCCCACAGAAAGACAAACTACCATCACATAATGCTATAAACAACTCTACGCAAATAAAGTAGAAAATCTAGAAGAAATTGATAAATTCCTGGGCACATACACTCTCCCAAGACTAAACCAGGAAGAAATCGAATCGCTGAATAGACCAATAACAAGTACTGAAATTGAGGCAGCAATTGGTAGCATACCAATCAAAAAAAGTCCAGGACAAGATGGATTCACAGCCGAATTCTAACAGAGGTACAAAGAGGAGTTGGTACCATTCCTTCTGAAACTATTCCAAACAACAGAAAAAGAGGGAATCCTCCCTAACTCATTTTATGAGTCCAGCATCAACCTGATACCAAAACCTGGCAGAGACACAACAAAAAAAGAAAATTACAGGCCAATATCCCTGATGAATATCAATGTAAAACTCCTCAATAAAATACTGGCAAAACGAATCCAGCAGCACATTAAAAAGTTTATCCAGCACGATCAAGTCAACTTCCTCCCTGGGATGCAAGGCAGGTTCACATATGCAAATCAATAAATGTAATCCATGACATAAACAGAACCAATGACAAAAACCACATGATTATCTCAACAGATGCAGAAAAGACCTTCGACAAAATTCAACAGCACTTCATGCTAAAAACTCTCAATAAACTAGGTATTGATGGAATGTATCTCAAAATAATAAGAGCTATTTATGACAAACCCACAGCCAATGTCATACTGAGTGGGTAAAAAACTGGAAACATTCCCTTTGAAAACTGGCACAAGACAAGGATGCCTTCTCTAACCACTCTTATTCAACATAGTATTGGAAGTTCTGGCCAGGGCAATCAGGCAAGAGAAAGAAATAAAGAGTATTCAGTTAGGAAAAGAGAAAGTCAAATTGTCTCTGTTGGTGGATGACATGATTGTATATTTAGAAAACCCCATCATCTCCACCCAAAACCTCCTTAAGCTGATAAGCAACTTCAGCAAAGTCTCAAAATACAAAATCAATGTGCAAAAACCACAAGCATTCCTATACACCAATAACAGATGGAGAGCCAAATCATGAGTGAACTTCCATTCACGATTGCTACTAAGAGAATAAGATACTGAGAAATCCAACTTACAAGGGATGTGAAGGAACTCTTCAAGGAGAACTACAAACCACTGCTCAAGGAAATAAGAGAGGATACAAACAAATGGAAAAACATTCCATGCTCATGGATAGGAAGAATCAATATTGTGAAAATGGCCATACTGCCCAAAATAATTTATAGATTCAGTGCTATCCACATCAAGCTACCATTGACTTTCTTCAAAGAATTGGAAAAACCTACTTTAAATTTCATATGGAACCAAAAAAGAGCCTGCATAGCCAAGACAATCCTAAGCAAAAAGAATAAAGCTGGAGGCATCACACTACCTGACTTCAAACTATACCAGAAGGCTACAGTAACCAAAACAGCATGGTACTGGTACCAAAACAGATATATAGACAAATGGAACAGAACAGAGGCCTCAGAAATAACGCCACACATCTACAACCATCTGATCTTTGATAAACCTGAAAAGAACAAGCAATGGGGTAAGGATTCTCTATTTAATAAATGGTGTTGGGAAAACGGGCTAGCCATATGCAGAAAGCTGAAACTAGATCACTTCCTTACATCTTATACAACAATTAACTCAAGAAGGATTAAAGACTTAAATGTAAGACCTAAAACCATAAAAACCCTAGAAGAAAACCTAGGCCATACTATTCAGGATATAGGCATGGGCAAAGACTTCATGACTAAAATATGAAAAGCAATGGTATCAAAAGCCAAAGTAGAGAAATGGGATCTGATTAAACTAAAGAACCTTTGCACACAGCAAAAGAAACTATCATCAGAGTGAACAGGCAACCTAAAGAATGGAAGAAAATTTCTGCAATCTATCCATCTGACAAAGGGCTAATATCCAGAATCTACAAAGGTCTTAAACAGATTTATAAGAAAAAAGCTAATATCCAGAATCTACAAAGAACTTAAACAGATTTACAAGAAAAATAAACAAACAACCTCATCAAAAATGGGGGAAGGATATGAACAGACACTTCTCAAAAGAAGACATTTATGCAGCCAACAAACATATGAAAAAAAGCTCATCATCACTGGTCATTAGAGAAATGCTAATCAAAACCATAATGAGATACCATCTCACGTCAGTTAGAATGGTGATCATTAAAAAGTCAGGAAGCAACAGATGCTGGAGAAGATGTGGAGAAATAAGAACACCTTTAGACTGTTGGTGAAAGTGTAAATTAGTTCAACCATTGTGGAAGACAGTGTAGCAATTCCTCAAGGATCTAGAACTAGTAATACCATTTGACCCAGCAATCTCATTACTGGGTATATACCCAAAGGATTATAAATCCTTGTACTATAAAGACACATGCACCCGTAGGTTTATTGTGGCACTGTTCATAATAGCAAAGACTTGGAACCAACCCAAACGTCCATCAATGATAGACTGCATAAAGAAAATGTGGCACATACACACCGTGGAATACTATGCAGCCATAAAAAAGGATGAGTTCATGTCCTTTGCAGGGACATGGGATGAAACTGGAAACCATCATTTTTAGCAAACTTACACAGGAACAGAAAAACCAAACACTACGTGTTCTCATTTATAAGCTGGAGTTGAACAATGAGAACACATGGATACAGAGAGGGGAACATCACACACCCGGGCCTGTCATGGGGTAGGGGGCTAGGGGAGGGATAGCATTAGGAGAAATACCTAATGTAGATGATGGGTTGACAGGTGCAGCAAACCACCATGGCACATGTATACCTGTGTAACAAACCTGCATGTTCTGCACATGTATCCCAGAACTTAAAGTATAATAAAATCTTTTTTTAAAGTTCCTTTACTCATACTTCTATCCTGATGTCTAGATCAAATGTGTATTGACCTTAGAGAGAAGAAAAAATCCTTTCTCTACTCCAGTTCAAAACCAGATGTCTTGACTGATTCAGGATGATTGAGAAGGTAAACTTCAGTCTAAAAAACTAACATATAGGGAAGAGATAATGATACTGTCAATATCTGCACCAACAGCAATAAGTTTGTAATTGTGGTACATTTGCCATTCAGATGATTTTCTCAAACTTTTTCAAAGATAAAGTAGTATTTCCATGACCAGAGATGGAAACTACTGATAACTTGTAAATCAAATTTATTTTTTCTTAAATCAAGTTAAATAATTAAGCCCTACTAGGTATTCCTTTTTTTTTTTTCTTTTTCTTCTTTAGCAATGAGGTCTCATTGTTAAATGAGTTCCATGGTGCAATTACAGCTCACTGCAGCCTTGAACTCCTGGGCTCAAAGGATGCTCCTGACTCAGCCTCTGAAGTAGCTGGGACTATAGGTACAAGCCACCATGGCTGTCTAATTTTTTCACTCGTAGTTTTTGCAGAGGTGGAGTCTCAATATGTTGCCTAGCCTAGTGTCAAATTACTGGGGTCAAGTAATCCTCCAGCCTGAGCTTCCCAGGTAGCTGGGATTATAGGCACAAGCCTCTGCAATGAGCATCCCAATTTTCAATTTATGTATAACATTGATTTTTTTTGACTTTTACTTAAGGAAGCTCCAACTACAAACCATGACAACAATTTAAATGTAATTGTCTTTTAAATTTTTTTCCCTTCAAGAAATCAAACCCTCTGAATACAATCTCATCTCTATCTCCTCTGTCCTCTCTCCTTTAATAAATTTTTTTATTATTTTTAGTCATGATGACCTCAGTCTTTCCAATTCTTTTAGCTAATCATTTCATTTCTTCACTTCAGGCTGCCCCCATAATCCCTTGAGTCTGGTATCTGTCTTTACCACTCAACTAATATGTTGTTTTGAGTATATGCAATCCTTTCCTAGCCTTCTTTCAGTTCAGAAGTATATTTAAAACTCAGTAGTCACACCACAGAAAACAATCATGAAGCACCCTAGTGCTAAGCTATGTGTTTCCCTTCCTTCCTTCTCCTTGTGCTCTACTCCATCTGCATAAGGAGTCCAGCCTCAGCTTGCTTGTCTCTGTCCACCACCACTACCAACCTCAGAAGGTCAAGAGAGAAAGGAACCTGGTATCCAGATTGCAGGGGACCAGAGTGCACATCATCCTCCGCGTGACTATGAAGAAGAAACCAACCATACTTTACAAGCCAACATAAAGCTTCTTCTAGTCATCTTTACTCTCCCATATTTTCACCCCTATAGTCTGCTTTTCTTCATTCCAACTGTTTTTTTTTTTTTTTAGGTTCGGGGGTACATGTACAAGTTTGTAACATAGGCAAATTGCCTGTCAAGGGGGTTTGCTGTACAGATTATTTCATCCCTCAGGTAATAAGCCTGATAGGTAGTTTTTTCATCCTCACCCTCCTTCCACCCTCCACCCTCAAGTAGGATCCAGAGTCTGTTGTCCCCTTCTTAGTGTTCATGTCAAACATACAACTCAAACTTAAAATTCTTTTCTTCATACTGGACCCCTTTACTAAACCTGGGCCTTCTGAAATTCTCTCTCTCTGTTTGTCTGTCTGTCTCTCTCTCTCTCTCTCTCTCTATATATATATATATACACATCTCTCTCTCTTATATATGTATATATATAGAGAGAGACAGGGAGAGAGATATATATTATATATATATAGAGAGAGGTGTATATATATCTATGTATGTGTATATATATGTGTGTATATATACATATATATGTATGTGTGTATATATATATGTATATGTGTGTATACATATATACACCTACATATGTGTAGGTCTATATATGTATACACACATATACATATATATACACATATATATACACACAAACACGTATATGTGTGTGTATATACATACATGCACACACCCACATTGTATATATGCATGAGTGTATGTTTCTTTTTAATAACACTCTCCTAAATTATTCATATCTTTGCCAAATGCTCCTTTTGCTTGTGGAGCCTAATGTAGCCTGGGTGTTTCATGAGAATTCTACTTCTCAGATAGTTCTCTGAGGATGTGGTTTGATATGGTTTGGCTCTGTGTCCCCACCCAAATTTCACCTTGAATTGTAATAATACCCATATGTTGTGGGAGGGACCCAGTGAGAAGTAATTGAATCATGGGGGTGGGTTTTTCCCATGTTATTCTCATGATAGTGAATAAGTGTCAAGAGATCTTATGGTTTTATCAAGCGGAGTTCCCCTGAACAACCTCTCTTGCCTGCACCATGTAAGACGTGACTTTGCTTCTCCTTTGCCTTCTGCCATGATTGTGAGGCCTCCCAAGCCATGTGGAACTGTGAGTAAATTAAACCTCTTCCCTTTATAAATCACCCAGTTTTGGGTATGTCTTTATTAGCAGTGAGAGAATAGACTAATACATGGTGGCTGGCCTATCTTCCCTCAGCTTGCACCTCAGGACCAGGAAGTAGAATAGAGTCTTCATTTTTCTTTCATTAGACTTCTAGACATTTTGTGTGTCTATAAGGAGGAGAATGGTTTCCTGCTATGGGCAGAGACTTCCACAAGCCTAGCACTCCTGATCTGTCTCTATCATCTCTCTTAATTCTCCCCAGGTGGAGGAGATATAACTTATTTCTAAATTAGCCGTAGAAACGGACCCTTTCCTCTTCTACTTCCAGGAAGCCAGTGTGCAGGCAGGAAGTATGCATTCTGATTTCCACCTCCATTTTATTTACTTTATTCAAGAAAGTCCTTAATTGTAGAAGAAGCCTGAGGCAGTTCAGTGCTATCTGTAGCTGAATGAGTGAATCTAGTTTCAGGCTAATTTTTGGAAGCCTGTGTTATACACTTCGGTCACATTTTCCAAAGACAACCAGACTCAGACAATTTTAATCTTGAATATGTCATTAACTAGCTATGTGAGCCTGAATTGCTTCATGTTTTAGTTGGAGAAAATTGTGATACTTTACCCTCTTGTGTTGTTGTGAAGATAAAATGATTTAGTAAAATTTAAAATACTGTTCAATGTGCTTCACTGGTAGTGATTCCTGGCTGATATTAAAAACTAATGGGATATTTTGATCTTCTTATACCATTTAATCTATTTACTTATATCTAGCTGTTTCATTCAGAGAAGAGGAGTTGGATTTATTTCATCTCTCCAAAAACCCCAATACAGGTCATATTCCTCCAGTCTATTATTAAATTAATTAAACAAACAAAAATCCTTTGAGGGTCATGCTATTTGACTGTCACATCCTCAATTTTTTCTTGTCCCTACCAGCCCCTGGCTTTCTGGATAGTCCTGCTGCTTCTAGTGAGTTATCTGGTTCAGAAAATATAATTTGCTTTATTTGTTTACTTAATGTTAGTGGCTATGCCTCTTAAGACAGCTAGGCATATACTTTTTCTTTTCTTGGACTGCCTCATTCATTTTTGTACCAAATTTCAAAACTTACTTCTAAAAAGAAGCCTCTTCCAAATGAACCAGCCCACCTCTAATTCTTCTTTAACTCAAATTTTAGTTTCTACAGTATTACATTATGTGTATTTCAATTTGTTATTTTAGTTTATTTTCTTACAGTTGCTTCCAATTTTTATGAGGAATGCTTTCTGAATAAACAAATAATAATATTGTAAAGAGCAATGAAAGTTTTCTCACTTTTTTCCTCCCCACATCTTCAAAGAAGTTACTTTCTCTTTTTAAAATAGTGGATGTTCAATAAATTCTATTATCTGACATGTATAAATGTGTGATAACATCTTATTTCTTTTAGCTTTGAATTATTGAAAATGAATTGTTCAGTTATATTTTACAAAGATTAGTTTTTGATATGTGTGTGTGTGTGTGTGTGTGTGTATTCTCACCCCCTACTGGGTAAAGATTTAGATATGTTATCATGACTTTTACAAGACCTGAGGAATAGAGCTCCCTCTAGCAACGTATATAATAATCTGATTTACAAGAAGAGGAGCTTCTCAGATGCAAAAGCAACACTTTTGCTATTCATCAACACACTTTTCTAGACAAGGGCTATATGGAGAATTACATTGGACAGAATCTTAGTGTTTTAAAATTTTATGTTGTTTTAAAACAGTAAAGGCTCAATTTGACTTTGATCATTCTAACTGCACTATTGAATCAGGGAGGTGAATAACAACATTTTTTCATTAGCTTCTCCCCAAGTCCCCATGGGCTATAATCTGCAATTCAGAGCTTTCTCTTCCATTGATTTTAGTACCAAGCCATGCTAGCAGGTGAGAAAATCAAAGTAACGGTAAACTTGAAATCTATCTGTAATAGTGTAGCTGAAATAGTTCTGTTTGAATGATTCTGTTAGTCAGTCATCTGTTAGACAGGTTGTTTCAAATGTATCCTTCTAAAAGTCATACTCTAAATTCCATGGTCTGCTGTATCTTACTGTCAAATTTCAGGAGTACTGGTTGACTTTATGGTAATATGTAATTAGAACATTTCTTCTTGGTTATAATGCTTTATTGCTATTATTGCAATATTGCTAATATTGCTAATATCTCCTTGCTATGTTATTCTTCCAGTTAATTAAGATGGAAAATTTATTTTTGTGCCACCTGAAATCTATTTATCTATCTATCCTGTTCTTAATTAAATAAAGGGGACCCCAGGATTTTTTTAAAAGAGTCATAGACTCATTAGTTTTTGTTCACTTCTTTAACCCCTTTAATAATTGTACCTCCCTTCAGTGTATCATAATAAATATCAAGAAGAGTCTCCAAGTCCCCAAGCAGATTCCAGAATTCTAGTCACACCCAAATATTTTTAGATTTTTTTTTTTCACTAATCATCCAAGATGGTCCATAGTCTCAGACTTTGCTTCCTATGTTTCTCCAGGCTAGGAGCCTTTTGCTCCAGGTGTTCTTCTGTACTGTGTCTGCATGCCAAGAAGCCATTCAACAACACCTAGGAGGGCGATTCCACATACCATACATTGGAGCTACTCAGGGCCTCAGAAACCTACCATCAGTAATCACCTTTCTAATAAGCCTTTTCTAGGTGTATGTTCTAGAAAGCAAAAGTGAATGTGTTTCTACTCTGTTTTACACTCCTAGTTGGTGCCCCATGTCTTGCACTATAAGATCCACACTGCAGTCAAAATAAACTCTGAAAACTCCAAATGACCACTTACTTCTCTCCTATTCAATCACTTGCAATTGCTTACCCCTGCCCTTGGAATCAAATCTGAATTTTTGTCCAATTCAGGTTTATTTACCCTTATTTTTAGTACATGGAACTTTAGCATGCTTCAAAAGAGAAAACTACAAAAATGTGACACTCAGAGAAGTCTCACCCCTCTTCTGTGGAATTCTTGCCATTTCTAACCCACTTTTCTCCTTACAAGTCACCAATTTCATTGCTTCTAGTCCATGTTTTCTATGTTTCTTTTTGTGAAACTAAACAGATATATATGTGTTTTGCTATTTTTCTTCTTCCTTACATAAATTGTAGCAAACTACATGTAAACTTTAAGCTTTACTATTTTTACAGTATTTCCCAGAAATGCCTCTGTAGGAGTCCTCCCTATCATAAATGTAATGGCTGATGCTCCTATAACAAGAGACAAGTTAAGAAGAGAAAAGCCCAGCAGATGTATTTAATTAAAGTTTTACATGACACGGGAGCCTTCAGAAATGAAGACTCAGAGACTCAGGGAAAATTGTCCATATTTATGCTTGGGTTCAATGAAGAATGGACAGCTGTGTGAAAATATGATTAGATGAAAAGGGAATGATCTAATTGTAATAGAATTAGTGGGTAAACCCAGCAAGGCATGTCTGTTCAGACTCTTCTTGGTCTCTTTGTGTGGAATTCCTTCTTCCCACGCATAGGGCAGGGTCCTTTCTGGAATGAGGGTCTTATGAACGACTATCAGACAACGTAGGTCAGAGAATTTCTTTATGGCCAGCTCCTACACAGTAAAGCTGGGGAAGTTTAGAGTCATATTTCTAGTTTCTATGACCTTTCTTTGGGAAGAAGAATTCTAGTTTCTATAGCCTGTCTTGGGGAGAAAGGGAAGCAGGAGACAAAAAAAGGCAGGAGAAGGTCAGAAATAGACTTTATTTCTGTGGTCCTTCCAATGGCCTGTAGTTCAAAGTACTCAGCAAGCCAAAGTGCTATACAGTGGGGCAACATTTTCTGAGTCCCAACAACTCCACATTACTTAAATGTAATTTGTTGAAATTTTTCTATTCCTAAGTATCTTTGGACAGAGATCTCAATTGAGGAACATTCTCTTTGACTGAATAATACAATTCACATTTTCTAATAGCTGACACCAGTGATGGTGGTATAGAGAGAGCTTGTCATGTCTTGTTCTCTTTCATTTTTACATGTGACTTTTTTCCTTTTCCTTCTTTTTTTCCCTTCACCTTCACATCTTCAAGAAACATCATTTCTGCTATATTTATCTCATTCTCCCCCAGAGAATTGCAGCTCCAAGTCTTCGGCTTTTTTTTTTTTCATATTTTCTTTGAAGTCTTATTCTATGGTTTGTGCTGTGAACAACTCAGTCTGAGATCTATGTTCAGTATTTTAGTACTTAGTGTTGGACTTTTTTTCAGAGGGTTTCTTTTTAGTGCTACATCTAAGGTTTCTACTCTACTCTTCTCTTTTCTTAGTCTCTTAAATCCTCCTTTGCCCACTCTCCACACACACACGAGCTTGCAGCCATGGTTCATGCACCAGCATTAGCTCTGTCAGGATTTGGAGTTCATTTCCCTGCTTAACAGTACCTTGAAATCTGTGAAATTTCTCATATTCTAATGATGTGGAAGGCATGGGTTATGTGTGATTTTCTTTGCATTTGCTGCTGATTATATGTATAGTTTTGAGAGAGTTGTGCAAAAAGGGTCAGGTGTAGGATTTTGTCATTATCCTCCAAACAAGCAATGCTTAATATTTGAACTTTTAACATGATCTGCACAGTGTTTCATAGTCCAGCCCTGTTTCAACTTCCTCCTGAGACCCTTTGTTTGTTTGCTCTTTCTGCTCTGGTAATGCTCGAGTTCTTTACATTTAGGCTGTCCATTGCCTTTTAGCCTTTGAATATCCTTTATGTTACAATCTAAACTTCACTTCCTTAGAAAAGACTCTCGTTACCCTCAAATATAATTTGGCTCCCCTTCCTATATGGTTCTATAGTAACTGACATTTTCTCTTAACCTTATTTAGAACACGGGTACATTTTTTAACTTACCATTTAAACTTATTAGGTTAATGTCTCTCTCACCTGCTTTTCATTAAGCTTAGTTTGTTTTACCGCCGTTTCCCTAGTGTCTAGGAGAGTAGTACATTTTTAGTTTGTGTTCCCAGAAACAGGTTCTACTAAAGGCTTTGAATGCATGCTGTTTATTTGCAGTGGGATCCCAGGAAACATTGGAAGGGGAGTGAGGAAGTGAGGTAGAAAAGAGAAGGCAGCCAATAAGTGATTATTAAGTGGTTTAACATTTCAGACAACTGAAACTTAATCCCACTAGGGAAGTCTTGGAATCAGCACAGAACATGTGGCTCAGTGGGGTGAAGGAGCTGGGGATTTTTGCACTAGTTCCCGTCAGTCATTTGCTGATGATTGCTCTTGGGAATGTGGTAATTCCCTGGCACTCCTGGCCTGCTATATAAGTGAACAGAGGAAGAGCCAATGGCCAGAAAGAAGCCGAGGCAAAGATGAGAAAAAGCTGGAAGTAGAAACTTCTGGCTGCATGTCAACACTGTATTAGGAAGTTTTCATGTAACATTTTATTTCAATCTAAAAATAAACTCGTAGAAAAAATAATTTTATTCTTATTTTAGAAGAAACGTTAGGCAGTTCTTGCCCAAGCAATAATGCCATGACCTTTCTTCACTCAAACTCATAGTTTAGGAAATGAGAATGTCTCAAACCTTTATTGTAAACTTTAAATAAATTGATGCATAAAGATTGTTTAACACTGTTCTAGGCAAGAGCTCAATGAATATTACACATATATTCCAAAGGCTTTGACGTGAAATTTATTAAACTAAGAATATGAAAAGACCCGAGTAAATAACTAAAATACATTATATACACCTATAAAAATAATGTTACTTTAATCTTTATTTTGATATTGCTGGTTGATGCTACGTTTAAGGTAAGTAGAATTAATCCATTCTCCCTTGTAGCATGGTTATTACTTCTTCTCTCAAGAAAATACATGCTCAATTTCCCTTCCTTAAATATCTATTCATGATTTCTTACCATTTACTTATATGATTAAAACTAATGTATGCTAACCATGAATTTTCTGATGTCTGAAATACCAGTATCAAACTAATAATTTTGAAAACATATAACTAAATATATATATATCTTAATTTTAGAAAGCAAATTTTCTTTTTCCCCATTGAATTTTAAATTCTAGTCAATGAAAAAATGGCAGTTAAAAAGTCAATGCTTTTTATGTTGGTAATATATCTGTGGCTTAGAAGAACCAGCATTTATATAATACAGTAATAAGAATAATTATTCAGTCTCTTTTAAAAAAGTTAAAAACATGGGAAATTGGATTGGATGTGCTAACACCATAATTCATTGGTCAGAATACAGTAGATACGCTGCCATTATTTATACCAATAGACTCATTAAGGAGCTAATGATTTTTCTCCTTGAGTTATTGTGCTCCTCTGAACAGTCAATGAAGCCTTGGGCAATTCTCTTGATCCAAACAATCTGCCTTTGCTTCTCTGAAGGAGCATTAGACAAATTATCTTAGAGAAATTATAGATACTGAAAAAGAAGCTTTCATACTCTTTAATATAATCACTTCTGAATTATTTACTATGGAATATTGTATAATATTATTGGTAAGAAGAGTTTTAAAATTAGAGAGACACAGGTTCAAATCCAAACCCACTTCATATTCTCGAAAGTATGTACGTTCATACATTAAAGAGTTATTTAGTCTCTGTAATTTTCAGTTGATATACTGTATGATAAAGAAAATAACAGCTGTCTTGTAAGGGCATTATGGGAAATGGTAAATTAATGTATACCAAGCTACTCCTAAAGTAACTGAAAACTCATTGAGACTTAACAAAAACGCTATTGATATTCTTCAAATTTCTTTTAAATCGGAATGCAAATTAAGGTAGCTGTTTAGGGGCAACATAATTTGAAGTTGCTTAATCTTTGTACCATAACGCTCCTTAAAAATTTCTCTGTATGGGTAGCAGAATTTAAAAGGAGTCTTATAATTCATCTGTAAATGTGGCTGTTTTAAAGTAGTTTAATTAAGTATACAATAGAAGGAACTTTTCCTGGTTGGGCAACTTCAAGTATTAATTTGCAAGTGTGTCTTCTCAGGCCCCTTATGAGACACAGTGGCTCAGAGAAAGCAACCACTCAGTCCTGAGAGACGTGAATCAGAGTTCTAAGTGACTTCACATTGAACATTCATTAATGTGTGTCTGCTACTGTCCTAAGCACTTTCAAATGCAATAATTCATTTAATTTTCACAGTAACTTTCTGAGGTAGCATAGTAGAAAATATCGGTGGCTTGATTGGTCACCTTTACCTGGCTGTGCCTTTACCCTCTAGCGGCTGTGAATTTTGAGTGCCAACTGTTCACAGATGCCTTCATCACTGGAGAATTATTTTCTTTCTCACTAAGGCATCTTGCTAGAGGGATTAGCAAGGTATAAAAGTTGTTTCCTTGCCACAAGGAGAGGCCAACTCTGTTTTTCCCCCAATAGATTCATTCTGAAATAGGCTCCCTGGTGAACACACTTTTTTTGGTATTTACCTATTAGTGTGGCCCCCTTCTATATTGAATTTGGGATAACCCTGTGTAACCAATAGAATGTGGCAAAAGGGATACTGCATGATGGTTGGTTATAAGAGGCTTTGAAGCACCTGCAAATGTCTCTTGCAATATTTGTTCTGAGGAAGGCAAGGCAGGATGTAACAAAGCCTGCCCATTCTTTGGGGGCCATGCTATGAAGAGCTCAAGCCAGTCACAGAGAGAGATGTGTAGACAGACAGAGAAGAGCTGGCCCTCAGGTGTTCCAGCCCTCCCGGCCCAAGTGTCAGACACGTGAGTGAAGAAACCATCTAGGCCATTGCATCCCCAGTAAATGCCACATGGAACTTAAGCCTCCAGTCATGCTCTCTCAGCCACCTCCAGCTGTTTGAGCCACTTTATCTCACACGGTGGAGCAGAGACAAACTTCACTGTACCCTGCCCGAACTCCTGAACCACAAGAATCATGAGACAATGTAAGGATTGTTGTTTTACTCCATGAATTTTTGGGTCAGTCTGAAGCAATTGATGATGAGACACGAGGGGAGGTCATGTGCATGCTCTGCTTTCCCCCGGGTCCATCCTGTTCCTCACTTCTCCCTGTTTTCCTCAGCACAGCCCTTCAACAATTTACCTCCATAAGAAGCTTTTTCTTAGCTCTTCTTCTAGATCATTATGCCTAAAACAGGTAGGTTCTATTAGCTTCACATTTTAAAGATGCTCAAACTGAGGCACAGATGAGTAAAGCCAATTACTCAAAGTTACACAGGGAGGAATTCTGAGAGCTAGAGTTTGAACCTGGTCCCCCAGCCTTTTTTGTTTACCAGAATGGTCTACTGCTCCTGACCAGAGTTACTGCTGCTTACTATGGCCAGGAAATTGTGTTGGGCGATTATGCTAAACCTTCAAGTCAAAGAAGACTTAAATATAAAGAGCAATCATTAACTCACTTTCTGATTTTTTTTTTCTTACTCCAAGGGTCTGTGTCTTCCACTGTGAGACGGAATCCACTGTCTTGTTTAGCATGTGAGCCTTCTGTGCGATGGCAGGAGGACAGCTCATGGGGCTGGCTGGCTGGTAGCCAAGTGCACCGGTGTTCTGTTTGCACCATGCCAATCCTTTTGTCACTTGTTAAAAATTCAGTGTTATCTCCTCTCCTAAACATTGCTACCATCTGCCTACACATGAATTTGACAATGATTTTGTAGTAATTGCAGCTGTGTGTTGGATACCAATTATTATTATATAGACTGACCAATACAAATTCACTTTTAAGCATCTATTTTTTTTAACTCTACCCTTCTAATCTTCCCCACCTCCCTGTCTCCCCTAAGCAGCTTGTTGAATCTTTTGAAAGTTTGTGACGGTCTGTCTTGAAAACTATTGATGTTTTCTGCCTCAATAAAGAATAAAAAGTATCATACAATTTTTTTCTATACACCCATACAACACATTAAAATAGTTCTAGGGGCTAATTTTTTAAGATCACAATAGAATTATAATGTGGACTGGTAAAAGTGTTCACTTAAATTTGTTAAATGAAGCCAAGATAACTCGTTAGTTTTACAGCAGCATTTTCCCAAACGTGTACTTATAAGTAAGTCAGTGCTTGCATTTATGGATCTCAAGCTTCTTTTTAAATTTCTTAGGAAATAATACATAATTTAAAATAGTACGTTATTTGCTAGTGCTGTCTGAAAGGTTTGCTAGTTTCTCTTTAAAAAGAAATTTTTGAAATAGCAAAATGTTTTTAACATCATGATTTTGCAATGTCATTAAGTGCATTGTTCATCTCCATCTCCACACCGCCTTAGCTGTACATATCAGTTAACATTTGTCACCTTTTTAGAGTAATAATAAAAATAATTTATATATGCACTTTTCAAGCAAAAATCTTTCATGTGAAATGGCTGGCAGGTTTCTTAAGGGAAAACCATGACTGGTATAAAGCTGCTCACAACTGGAGGCAGGAGAGTCTTATAAATGTAAGAATGAAAACAAGAAAATAAGACTTACCTTGAAAGGAAAGCAAAGCCATAAATAATGGTATAAAAATCTCTTGGTATATATCCTGGAGGTTTTGGCAATTAGTTTCCAGGTTCCATTCAGTGAGAATCCTGTGTCAAAAACTTGAAGAAGAGTGTACAGGAGAAAAAGAATTAACTCCCATAGCGTTTTAATTAGAATGGGCCCTTGTTACAAAAGGCAGATTAACGAGAAAAACAGAGGCTTATCAACATGTATATTTCATATATACAAGTGAGACACCTAGAGTATGAGTACTGCCCCGTGAGGTAGCTTTGAATTTCAGATTGTATAGTATTTTTTAAGAAAAAAAACAGGATCTTTTTAGAGATGTAACAAGACATAGAGAAAAGTCCTCAAATCTATGGGCAGCAACTTTGGGGGAAGGCAAACAAATGCCAGATAAAGTTTAGTTAATCAACTTGTTAATATAAATTCTTCTGGTATCATCTCAACGTTGATGAGAGTCTAAAGCTGTCTTCAGTGTTTAACCTTTGTTCTCTCTGGTTGATATGCTTCCAGGTTTGGGGAGGGGGGCGGTATTTGGAGAGAACGGGATAGCTTTTGTCTCTGTAAATCTATATTCTACTTTTAGGCAAATAGAGAAAGGGCAGAGAGCATTCCTGCATCTGCTTCATCCCAATTACTTCAACTCAACAATTCTTCATATTTTGGGGAGGCATACTCTGGACTCCCAAAAAGTGTTAAAAGTCAAAACACAAAGAAAGTAAATAGTCAATGCAAAAAGTACTAAATAGTATTAGCATTAGTAATAATAATATTGCTATTATGAATACCTTTTTTTAACCAACAAACAAAATTCTTAGATATCACTCTCCCTGAAAATCCTACCTGGTACCACAGTTGGATGAGTTTCAGTCAGTTTTAGTGATCATGCCTCTGCTTCCCCCTTAAACTGTTCTGTCATTAGCATCTGACTCACTACCACTCATTCTTCCTATTAGACATTACTTCTTCTGAACCCCTCCAATCTCAGTAAGAGGTCCTTCTTAGTTTTTCCATAATGCCATGTCCTTCTATCCTAACACTTGTTTTCCTGTAATTATCTACTTGTTAGTTTTATTCACAATTGTATGCCCAATGCCTAAAATTAAACATTAGGAACATAGTAAGTGGTGGGATAAACATTACTTTATTTCAATTTTTATTGAGCAGCTACTGCATTCTGGGAGCTATGTTATGTACTAAAAATGCAAAGGAAAGCCGAACACTGTTCCTGACATTGTGGATCCTCCATTCAAATGTAGGACATACACAGTAGACACTGTTGCTTTTGGGTCACTGAATTTCATAGTTTTACTTCAATAATTGTTATATCTCACCAAGAATCCATTCATCCTGCCACATCTTCCCCATTTATTAATCTCCTTTTGTTTTTACCTTCTTCTTACCCTGCTTAGATTTCATAATTCATTATTGTAGTCATCCCTTGCCTACATTCTCTCCTCCTTTTCCCCTCTGTAACACTTGCTTGGCAAACATATTCTCCACCTACTACTTTCCTCTAGTGCTTCTACATAGCTAAGCATGGCTACAGAATAAAATACAAGCCTGCTGGCTAACGCTATTTTATTTATGAGTACAAATTTCAAGCTGCTCAAGAATTCTACTCTATTTACCTAATCAATTCACCCTCTTACCTCTTCATATCTCCCCACCCCATCTCTCTCACATTATCCTGACTTACCTTTCTACTAGCTTCATTACATCATCACACAAGCATGCTGTAACATCCACCATCTTAAAACACACATACACACAGAGAGAGAGAGAGAGAGAGAGAGAGACAAAAAAGCCCTTACTCTGCAGCTACTTCTCCCATAATCATCTAGCTTTTCTAGTAAAATTCTGCCAAACAATTCTTTAGACACACTGTCTCTACTTCCTGTTTTTCCCTTCTCTCTTAATCCCACTATAAAGAGCCTTTCCTTTGTCTTGTCAGGATCACCAATTACCATCAGGTTACTAAATCAAGCTGACTCTTCTATGTCTTGAGATTACTCTAATGCTCAATAACACTTGACACTTTCTCATTCCTTCTGGGATGACTCCCTCCCCTGGTTTTCTTACTTTCTCACTTTCCAGCACCCTTGTCTGGCCCCTCTTCTTTGATTCTTTAAACTTGGTAGTGTCCTTTGCAGCTCTCATTCCTCATCTCTCTTCTTCAAACGCACTTCCTGGGTGACATCACTTAGGTTAAAAGTTTTATTATATGCTGATGATTCTCAGATTCACATTTCTTTTCCAAACATTTCCCATGGGCTTTAGACTCATGCATACAACTACATATTAATACTTCCAGCCGGGTGCAGTGGCTCACGCCTGTAATCCCAGCACTTTGGAAGTCCGAGGCGGGCGGATTACGAGGTCAGGAGATCGAGACCATCCTGGCTAACACGGTGAAACCCCGTCTCTACTAAAAATACAAAAAAGTATCTGGGCATGGTGGTGGGTGCCTGTAGTCCCAGCTACTTGGGAGACTGAGGCAGGAGAATGGCGTGAACCCGGGAGGCGGAGTTTGCAGTGAGCCGAGATCGCGCCACTGCACTCCAGCCTGGGCGACAGAGTGAGACGCCGTCTCAAAAACAAAAACAAACACAAAAACAAGCAAACAAAAAATTTCTGCTTGGAGTTTCTAGGCCTCAAACATATAGGCTACTCAAACTCTTAATCCACAGAATGAGATGCTCTCTCTTCATCTCTTCTAACATTTTTCTTCATGTCATTCAAATCAGACTTAAATATTTTTTCAGAAAATCCCATTGTAACCACCCAGTCAAACCCTCCCAATTGTATATTCCTTTACTCTGCTATATTTTCCTTTGGAGTGCTACCTGTTTATTTTCCATCTCTCCCATTAGAAAGTAAGATTCATGGGGATATGCATTGCTATATCTTTAGAACCTATAATTCAAACTTTTTGATAAGTGAATAAATAAAATAAGAAAATAGATAAAGTAATTACAGCTATATATGCTCTGAATGAAAAAAATAGATTGTTGTGTTTAAAACAAAATAACAGTGGAGGTGTGAATAGGATTATCAGAGATGATCTCTCTCTGAGATTTTGATAAGGACTTAAAGAATGAGAAGGAGTCTGCCATGCATAAAGCCAGGAAAAACACCTTCATCAAAGACGGAATAGGAAATAAAAGGGCCTACAATGTGAAAAAGCTTGCCAAATTCTAGGAATTATTGAAAGACTTTGTGAGTACAGTACAATGAGTGAATGAGGGAGTGGCTTGAGATGGGGATGGAGAGATGAGCAAAAGCCAGCTCACAAAAGTTTTTGAAGACCATGATAAGCGTCTTTAGTATTACTCTTAGCGAAAAAAAAAAATGCTGCAACATTTTATGCAAGAGGGTGAAATGATATCATTCTACTCAGTGGATAATGGATGAACAGAGAGTAATATAGTAGTAAAAGCAATAGGAAAAGCAGTCATGTGGCTATTGCAATAGTCCAAGAAAGAGATTGCTGCTGCCTGGTCTGGGGCTGTGATGATGACATGAAGAAAATGACACAGATTTGAGGTTTATTTTCAAGGTAAAATTGATAAATCTTACTTGTAGACTGAATCAGGGAAGGGATAAGAGAAAGAACAAAATTAAATATGATTTTCTGTTTGCTGACTGAATGATATATATGAGAACAGAAAGCCTTGACGATTTCTGATATAAAGAAGACTTGTCAGGATAAGGTTCATGGAGGAAAAGTCAGACTCATTTTGTTTAGATTAAATCTGAGGGGCCTATGAGATATGCCAGTGGAGATGTCTGGACTCCAACAAAGTTCAAGTAATGGAACTTCTTAGGTGGTTTTACTATATTCCCTATTTTATAAATAAATTTACTAGGGTATAGAGAAGTTAATTAGTTTCCCCAAATTCCTTCAGCAGAAATGGAAAAGCGAAATTTATATTAAGTCCATCTCATTCTGAAATTGTGTATATAACTCATTAAGGTTAGAACATTTGGGAAGAATTCTGGTCAAGAAAATACAGATTCAGGAGTTGTCAGCCTGATGGTATTCTAAGTCTACAGGTGTGACTTCTTTGGAAGAGGAGAAGGCTGAGACCTGAGGTGTATCAACATGTAGAGGCAGGCAAAGAAGCAAAGGACACCAAGATGGTACAACTAGTTATGTAAGAGGAAAATCAGGAAAGAGATTTTGTGGCAACAGAGAACATAATGTTACCAAAAGGAAGGAAGAGGAATTGAGTTGAATTTTTGAGAATCCAAGTAAAATGAGTACCAGAATGACCACAAATGTTTAATAAACAAATAAATACATGATTAAGTACCTTCAAAATCTATTTCCCCTCAGAAACTCAGCAGTCTCTTTTTCCCTTCAAGTTTTTGTTTGTTTGTTTGTTTTTGAGATTTTTTTTTTTTTTTTTTTTTTTTTTTTGAGACGGTGTGTTGCTGTGTTGCCCAGCCTGGAGTGCAGTGGTGCGATCTCAGCTCACTGCAAGCTCCGCCTCCCGGGTTCACGCCATTCTCCTGCCTCAGCCTCCGGGATAGCTGGGACTACAGGCACCCGCCACCACGCTCGGCTATTTTTTTTTTAATAGTTTTAGTAGAGATGGGGTTTTACCACGTTAGCCAGGATGGTCTCGATCTCCTGACCTCGTGATCCTCCCGCCTCAGCCTCTGAAAGTGCTGGGATTACACGCGTGAGCCACCGCTCCCGGCAGTCCTTCAAGTTTTAAAAACAATAATCAGACTGAGATCACAACAAAACCATAAAGTACAGAAAAAAAAATGAAACTAGAAGAAGAAGAATTTGTCGTGTGACTTTGGACTAGTCAGTAGTCTTTTTGTGAGATTCTAAGTCCTTGCTGTAAAAAAAGAAAGGTTAAGTCTATTCTGTTTTCTTCATAAGTTTTCTTGGAAATCAAATGTGGTGATGTAGTGTTAAAATGCTATGGAAACTGTTAAAGTGTTAAGAAATCTTGGTTCCTGTTATACATATGTGAACATTTACATTTGTCCTTATTCTAGTTCTTCCTTGAATAGTTAACGTCAAAAGACTTCAACTTATACTATTTCCTTAGTTTGGTTTGGCCTAGTACTGTATAGTGTGTTTTACAGGATATAAAACATGTCAGATCAGATACTGTCTTTCAGATGCCCTCATGCATTTTGTAATAATAATAATCATTATTATTATTCATCATCATACAAACATTGATTAGTGGTCAATTCAGTCTTCTTTCCACATTATTTTCTTCTGGAGATGTAAATAACACTTTTCTAAATTTTTAGGTATATATTTATTCCTGTTGTAATTCACATAGGACAAATACAGTAAGGCTATGAGAGATAATCTCAAAGTTGAGGGCTTTCTTGGTCCTACTCCATAGTTGCCAATTTAAAATTTTAAAAAAAGGAAAACAAGAAAGAATACCAGAGAATCATTTTGAGTTTCCTTGTAGAAATCTGTGTGTATAAACATCTTTCTAGCTCCTATCTGTTTTGCAGCCATTACAAGGGGCCCGCAGATACCATGATTTGAGAGATAAACAAAAAGAATAACAATACTAGCAATAATAACACAGATTTTAAAGTTTAATTGGACAGGCTAAGCACAAAAGCAGTCTGAAAATGTCAGCAACAGCATATCTGAAGAGGCAGTGTCAGTGTAGAAGGTAATAACAGATCATCAAAGAAAACACGGGGCTGAAAAAATTGCCATTGATAATAGAAAGCAAAAAAAATTACTGCCTTTATTATCTGCTAGCTAATTAGTTATAAATTTAAGCTTTATAGTCAGTAGATGTTATTACCGGACCAGAACCACCTTTTCACAGTAGCCACGACTATTCGGTGCCTTACAATAACTATACAAAAGCAAATCCTGGCCTGGAATTTTTGTAAGCTAATTTTGTCTTTTCTGGCCAAGCTTCAAAATGATCTTTCTGAACAAGATTTACAAAGACCATTATAAAGCTCATATATACTCCTACTGCAATATGACAGCAGCCACTACCATTTTCAGTTCCCTCTCCACATTCAAAGGACCTCCATTCTGTGGTGGAAAATGGGGAAAACACTATCAGGAGACACTGGAGAAAGCAATTTGGTTTTGTGACCTTTAATTTGGAATGAGTATACTGAGTTCTTCTTACCTACTATGGACTAGGGGGACTTGAATTATGAGCCCTAAAAGAGTTCAGGCTTTACTTATCTTCCTATTGGTACTTGCCTTTGGCTTTCTTCTTCAGATGGATAGGTCAAGCAAAAGTCAAAATTACAGAGATACCTAATAAGTAAAGACAAATTGTAAGGCAGGTGGGTTTTAGTTCATACCTCCAGGAAATACTATTTCATAGATGTGGAATGCAGGCATTTAGAATCACAATGGAAAAAAACCTTCACGTCGTAAAACTGGGACTCTGGAGCCATTCAACTTAAACAGAATCCATAATAGTCAGCCATACCACCTCAATTCAGAGTGATTCAACCTTTAGCCAATTTATAATTTACATTTTAAAATTTAAGAAATGCTCAAGATATTTTACTAAAAATTTATATTCCAACTCTTTTGCACCTAATGATTATTAGAAAGGGACAGCTTTTCAAGGGCCCTATAAAAGAAAAATGGCATGGACAGAGTTAAACAGGCAAGGAAAACTGTATTCAAGACTGTTGCAATAGGGTAGAGAGGTTGAACTTAACTTCACTGAAATAAAAGTTTTTACGTGCTAGGGTGAGCTACTGGAAAAGTACTGGAGGATGTTAGGAGAAAAATTAATTAATTTGACTAGGCCATCTGTGTTTGCTAATTGGCACTTGTCAAAGTTAGGTTCCTACCTTCTCACAGAGACTGGGAGATAGAGGTGCTATCATTTTTTTAAAAACTTCCATTTTAAGTTCTGGGTATAAGTGTAGGTTTGTTACATAGGTAAAATTGTGTCATAGGGATTTGTTTTACAGATTATTTCATAACCCAGGTATTAAACCTAGTACCCATTAGGTATTTTTCCTGATCCTCTCCCTCCTCCTACCCTCTGGTGCTATCATTTTTGATGATTACATTTCTTGGAGAAGATTTTGTATTTCAAAGAAGCACAGACATATTTACAATTTCAGGTTTTCTAAGTAACTGCTCTAGGGAAAGGTCATGGGTCTATAGTCAGGAAGGAACCTGTCTATCATTTATTAAAGCAGAGGGGAATACTGAAATTGTCTTTGACAACAGTTATAGAAATGACATTCAATACAGACACTGCCAAAATTGTCTCTAATGATGCACAAACTTAAAGCCTGTATGTTATTCAAGGAAATATGCAGAGATTTCTGGGAAATTCAGATTAAAATTTATGAACTTCGAGTTCTGTGCCATGGTTCTACCCCTCACCTGCTAAGACCTCTCACATTGTTTGCAAAAAAACCCTCAGCTTTACAGTACAGATACAGAATCAAAGGATGCTGTGCTAAGGCACAAATGTTATTTGCCTCTTCTTCAGCCAGCAGGCAATCCCTGGAGAGGGTGTTGTAAGTAAGAAGGCTAGAGGTGATGTTGAAGGGAAAAGCAATTGCTTCTGACTGCTAATGTTTAATCTGTCCCCTACAGAAATGAAAGCAGTCTTTTATCTTTGAGTAGAATAAGGTGATTTAGAAGGGGAACAAGATGACACCACAGCAGTTGATGCTGATGCCTTGGCAGTAAATTCAATTCAGCGCATGACTTATGCGAATTTCAAGACTGAGATAAACTTTGCTAATGTAATGGCTTTTGGGGAACAGTTCAGAATTTCTTCTAAGTCTCTTAAGCTGTTGCTGCTTTGCTATTTTGACTTACATACTAGAGGCAGTGTTTGATCTGTTGCATTTAATGGCTTACCATCATTTCTACATCTTCATAGATGTATGCTCCAGGCTGAAACCTGACTCACAAGTTGAAGGGAACTCATAATGTATTTTTTCCCCAAATCTCAGAACTTCATAATTCAATATAAAACAAAAGAGTAACACATAGAGTGTAAACACTTTCATAAATGTCTGCTTTATAATCAATTTGTTTATTCATTTTATTATTCAAAAATTAATATCTGTAAAATCTGGAGACTGTCTTGAATTTTAGTCAATTTGTATTGAATAATACAAACATGAGTGTTCTAGTATGTTTAAAATACATTTATTTTTATCTCATGACAGCACCACTGTGTATTTATGATTTTAATGCTCTTTTCCACATTGCATTCACATGAAATCTTATGAAATAATAATATTTATAACTTTAAAAAGCAAAAATTGTCCTAAAACAGTTTCACCACAGTATAACTGAAATTTAATAAACTGCACATATTTAAAATATACAATTTGATGAGTTATGACAAATATATATGATACAGTTTTGCCGTCTCCCACGCGAAATCTCATCTTGAATTGCAATGACCATAACCCCCATAATCCCCATGTGTCAAGGGCTGAACCAGGTGGAGGTAATTGGATCATGGGGGTGGTTTCTCCCATGCTTTTCTCCTGATAGTGAGTGAGTTCTCATGAGATCTGATGGTTTTATATGTATGTATCTCACATTCCCCCTGCTTGGTCTTCTTCTTCCTGCCGCCTTGTGAAGAAGGTGCCTTGCTTCCCATTTGCGTTCAATCATGATTGCTTATCCTCTGCCTTCTGCCTGAGGCATCCCCAGCCATGATGAACTGTAAGTCAATTAAACCTCTTCACTTTATAAATGACCCAGTTTCGGGTAATTCTTTATAGCAGAATGAGAATGGACTAATAAAATACACAAACATGAAAATGTCACCATAATCAAGAAAATGAGCATCATCCATCACATCAAATTTTCTTATTTCCAATATTCTCTGTTCTTTCTACTTCTAATCTTAAGAACTCTCTGCTCCTAATCTTGAGACCAAAATCAACCTCTGATCTACTTTCTGTTATTATATATTGGTTTGACTTTTTAAGGATATTATATAGATGAAATTATACACTATGTACTTTCTTATTCTGCCTTCTTTTATTCATTCGTTTTGAGATTCATCTATTTTTTAATGTATATGAATAATTCATTCTTTTTTGTCTAGACATATTCTATTATGGGTTATTCCAGTTTGCTTATGCATTCACCTGTTAATAGACATCTGGGCTATTTCCAACTTTTGGATATCACAAATAAGCTGCTACAAACATTTGTGTAAAAGTATTTAAGGTCATATTTTTTTCATTTCTATTAGCTTAATACCCAGCAGTAAAACGATTGGATTATATGATATATGTATGTTTAACTTTTAAAGAAATTTACAAAATGTGTTTTACAGTGCTCATACCAACTTTCATTCCTACTGGCAGTGTATGAGAGTTCCAGTTCTTCCATATCCTCACCAATGATTGAGATGGACAGACTTTTAAATTTCAGTCATTGTAAATTAGGTGTTAAGTGGTATCTCCTTGTGGTTTTAATTTTTATATTCCTAATACATAATGATGCTGAGCATCTATGTATGGGCAATGCTTGTGTTATACATATATCTTCATTGGTGAAGTGTCTGTTCAAATCTTTTGATGTGTCTACATTGAGGATGCATGTGTTCAAATTTTTATTTTTTGTGGTTTGATTTGCTATTATTGAGTTTTTGAGAGTTCTTTGCAAATTTTAGATGAAAGCTTTAATATTGTATTAGCATACAATATCCTAGTGTGTGGCTTTTTATTATTTTAACAGTATATTTTTAAACAGATGTCTTTAGTTTTAATGAAGTCCACGTTGGCAATATGTTCTTTTATGGATCGTGCTTTTTGGCTAACCCAAGGTAGTAACATTTTCTCCTAAGTTTTCTTTTAAAATTTTTGTAAGTTTGAATTTTGTATTTAAAACTCTAGTCCATTTGCATTAAAATTTAATGTCTTTTGTATACAAAGATTTTGATTTTTGCTTATGTTTTTCCAATTGCTCCAGCACCATTTGGTGAAAATAATATCCTTTTCCCATCGTATTGCTTTTTTACCTTTGTCAAAAATTTGCCATGTGTTTGTGATCTATCCTTGGACTCTCTACTCTGATATGTCCATCTTTATGATAATATTATACTGTCTCGATTACTACTGCTTTATTATAAATATTGAAATCAGGTAGTGCTAATATTCCAACTTTGTTCTTTTCAAAATTATTTTGGCTATTCTAGGTCTTTGCATTTTTGTATACATTTTAAAATCAGTTTTTCAATTTCTATAAAAATAACTGATAGAATTTTACTGTGAATACGTTGACCCTAAAGACCAACTTAGATAGAATTGACATTGATATGGTTTGGCTCTGTGTCCCTACCCAAATCTCATGTTAAATTGTAATCCCCAGTGTTGGAGGAGGGACATGGTGGGAGGTGATTGAATCATGGGGTCAGACTTCCCCCTTGCTGTACTTATAATGCAGAGTGACAGAGTAAGTTCTCATGAGATCTGGTTGTTTAAAAGTGTGTAGCACTTCCTCCTTCTTTCTCTCTTTTTTTTTTTTTTTTCTTTTTGAGACGGAGTCCCACTCTGTTGCCAGGCTGGAGTGCAGTGGCACAGTCTCGGCTCACTGAAACCTCTGCCTCCAGGGTTGAACAAATTCTCCTGCCTCAGCCTTCTGAGTAGCTGGGCTACAGGCATGCACCAACACGTGCAGCTAATTTTTGTATTTTTAGTAGAGATGGGGGTTCACCATGTTGGCCAGGATAGTCTCAATCTCTTGACGACGTGATCCACCCACCTTGGCCTCCCAAACTGCTGGGATTACAGGCATGAGCCACCACGCCCAGCCTAAAAGTGTGTAGCACTTCCCCCTTATTGCTTTCTTCCTCTTGCTCCAGCCATGTAAGACATGTCTCCTTCCTTTTTGCCCTCCATGATAATTGTAAGTTTCCTGAGGACGCCACAGCCATGCTTCCTCTACATCCTGTGGAACTGGGAGCCAATGAAACCTTTTTTCTTTATAAATTACCCAGTCTCAGGCAGTTCTTTATAGCAATGTGAGAACAGACTAACACAGACATTATAACAAAACTGAGCCTTCCAATCTGTGAACAAATTATATCTCCCTATTTATGTAGGAGTCTTTTAATTATCTCAGCAATGTTTTCAGTGTAAACCTATTTTGTACAATTTGTAAAAATCTATTCCCAAGAACTTAATATTTTGAATGCTATTTTAAATGATGTGTTGATTTTAAATATTTTAGTGTTTTGTTTTGTTTTCTTTTGTTTTTTTAGAGGATGTCTCACTCTGTGGCCCGGGCTGGAGTTCAGTGGCATGATTGACTCTGGCTCATTGCAACCTCCACCTCCTGGATTCAAGCAATTCTCCTGTCCCAGCCTCCTGAGTAGCTGGGATTACAGGTGCCTGTCCCCACACCCAGCTAATTTTTGTAGTTTGTAGTAGAGGCAGGGTTTCACCATTTGGCCAGGCTGGTCTCAAACTCTGCACTTCAAATGATCCACCCGCCTCAGCCTCTCAAAGTGCTGGGATTACAGGCACGAGCCATTGTGCCCAGCCAAAATTTTAGTTTTTAATTGTTCATTGCTATCTATAAAAATGCAATTGATTTTTGTATATTGGTATTATATACTGAGATTTTATTAGTAATAGCTTTTTTAAAGTAAATTGTATTGCATTTTTTACGCAAAAATTGATGTCTGTGAATAAAAGCATTTTGTTTCTTCCTTTCTGATCCAGATGCCTTTAATATTATGCATTGTATTACTTATTTTGCCTTAATGAACTGATTAAAAGTCCCTATGTTATGTTAAAGAAGTGGTGACAAAAATATCTTTTTCTTGTTTCTGATATTTAGGAGAATGCATTTTAATCATTTTGTGTGACATTAGTTGTAGGTTTCCTTAGATGCCATTCATCAGGGGAAGTTTACTTTCTAGTTTGCTAACATTTTCTTTTTTTAATTTTATCCATGTGTACTGAAGTATTCAAAATATTTTTCTTTTTTAGTTTTTTAATGTGACAAATTACATTGATTTTTCAAGTGTTAAAGTAACCTTGTGGGTTTGTTTGTTTGTTTGTTTTTTGAAACAGAGTCTCACTCTCGTCACCCAGGCTGGAGTGCAGTGCCGCAATCTCGGCTCACTGCAACCTCCACCTCCTGGGTTCAAGCAATTCTCTGGCCTCAGCCTCCTGAGAAGCAGGGATTACAGGTGCCTGCCACTACACCTAGCTAATTTTTGTACTTTTAGTGGAGATGGTGTTTCACCATGTTGGCCAGGCTGGTCTCGAACTCCTACCTTCGGGTGATCCGCCTGCCTCAGCCTCCCAAATTACTGAGATTACAGGCATGAGCCACTGCACGCAGCTGTAACCTTGTGTTTTTAAGATAAATCCTTAGATTTGGGCATGACATTTTCCTGCTTTTTGTTTCCATTTATGTGTTTGCATCCATGTTCATGAGAGATTTGTACTACTTTCTTTTTGATTTTTGGAATCGATTATATGGTATTGGTATTTTGTTTTTCTCTAAAAGTTTAATAAGATTTACTAGTAAAACCATCTGGACCTGTAGTTTTCATTTTTTAGAAAGATTTTATGTAGAAATTCAATGTTTTCAGTATATGTATTCAGATTAGCTATTTCTTCTTGAACAAATTTTGGTAGTGTATGTCCTTCAATGGATTGGCACTGTTTTCTCTGTGTTGTTGAATTTCTTGGCATAAATTTGTTCATAACATTGTCTACTATCATGTCAATATTCAAAGAATCTGTATTAAAGTCATCTTTCTTTATTGAGATTGGTAATTTTTATATTATTTATTCATGATCAATCTTGGTAGAGGTTCATTAATTCTGCTTATCTTCTCCAATAGTATTTTTTTCACTAATTTTTCTATTTTTTTCTTTTCTATTTCATTGATTTCCAACTTTTATTTTTTAATATTTTCTATTTACTTATTTGACATCGAATTTTTTTCTTTTTCTAGTTTCTCAGGTAGAATTTATTAATTTTATGCCTTTCTTATTTTCTACATAGTCCTTTAGTACTATAAATTTTTCTCTAAGCATTGCTTTTGTGTCATCTCACAAATTTTGCTATAAGTTTTTCACTTTTCTTCAGTGAAAAATACTAATTTGCTCTTTGATTTCTTCTTTGCTCCATAGGTTATTTAGAAGTATCTGAGGAATTTCCATAAATGATTACTTTTTTATTTCTAATTTAACTCGATGTGTTCAGAGAATATACGTTGTATGATTTGGGTCTTTGAAATTTACTGAGACTTATACTATGGTGCAGATTATGGTCTATTTTAAGTTTGTCTGAAAGGAATGTATATTCTGCTACTGTTAAATGGAATACTCTATTTATGTCAATTAAAACAATTTGGTTGATAGTGTTGTCCAAATCTTAAATATCCTTACTGATTATCTCTCTACTTGTTGTGTTAATTATGAAGAAAGGAGCATTAAAGCACCTAAATATAATTATAGATTTGTCTTTTTCTCCTTGAAATTTTGTAAGTTTTGCTTTATGTGTTTTGAAGGTCTGTTATGTGAATAAACATTTTGATAGAATGATCTCCTTTATCCTTGGCAATATTTTTTTTTCTGAAATCTACTTACTGTAGTGAAAATATAGCCACTCAAGATTTCTTCAGATTAGGTTTAGCATATTTTTCTCTTTTCATCATTTTACTTTTAACTTATTTGTGTTTTACATTTGAAGTTATTTTCAAGTTTATTTTTGATGGACCGCAGATATACAGGGTTTGCTTTTTTTAACCAATCTGACAATCTCTGCTTTTTTTTTTTTTTCTTTCTTCAGACAGAGTTTCACTCTTGTTGCCCAGGCTGGAGTGCAGTGGCACAATCTTGGCTCACTGCAACCTCTGCCTCCCGGGTTCAAGTGATTCTCCTGCCTCAGCCTCCCGAGTAGTTGGATTACAGACGCCTACCATCACACCTGGCTAATATGTGTAGTTTTAGTACAGACAGGGTTTCACCATGTTGGCCAGGCTGGTCTCAAGCTCCTGACCTCGTGATCCTCCTGCCTCGGCCGCCCAAAGTGCTGGGATTACAGGTGTAAGCCACCGCACCCAGCTGACAATTTCTGCTTTTCCAGTCATGTGACAATTAATGATGGGAATAAATTCTGAGAAATGCATCATCAGGCAACTTTATTATTGTGCAAAAATCATAAAGTATACTAACTTAAACCCAGATGATATAGCTTACTACGTGCCTAAACGAAACGGTACAGCCTATTGCTCCTAGCTTACAAACCTGTATAGCATGCTACTCTACTGAATTCTGTAGGCAACTGTGACACTATGGTAAGTATCTGTGTATCTAAACCTATCTAATCATAGAAAAGGTATAGTAAAATTCATTATGATGATCTTATGGGACCATCATCACATACGCAGTCCATTCTTTACCTTGTCTGAAACTTTGTTTTGTGGCACATGACTGTATTTGTATTTAGTCATTTACATTTATTTCAATTATTCATATGACTGGGTTTAAATCTATCTTCTTCTTGTCCCCTTTTTACTCTGTTGCCCCTTTTCCTTTTTTCTGCTTTATTTTGGATTAGTAAATATAGCCAGTCAGTTGCAAAGACTTCTTAATTCTGCACATGCAGTGGCTCTCATGTAATCCCACTGGTTCTATTCCTATAGCTTTCCATGCAAATTATCTTTCTCTTGATTAATTTTATTAAGTTTTTTGGGCTTTCTGATTCAAAATTTTCTTTCCAATATACTTTCCTTTTTCTTCTTTCAAGAAGAATAATTTCAAATAATATATCAGTCTTTTGTATTATAATATTTATGACTCAAATTTGCTAGTTTGTAACTCACTATAATGTATCAAACTTACATTGAGCTTTATTCTACTATTTTGTTTCTCATGGTTGCTTCTGAATATTAGCTTACTGTGTTTACTTGGCTGTTTTAAATTACGTAATTTCTTTCTCCTCATTTCATCTATACTACCACTGCCTTCCCTACCAACACGTCTAAAAATTTCCTGGAGCCTTATCTGATTGTGCTATCTAGAATAAATATTTCCACATCCTAAGTTATGATCATGCTTAATATTACTTGTTTTTATATTTTATATCTCCTATTAGACTGCAGAGTAATATTATTCATCAATGCTTTTTACTAAGTACTTATTAAAGGATTTACTTATAGTAGTCTCTCAATGAAAATGTAAAAATAAATTATATAAATAAGTTAATCAGTGATATGGTATAAGAGCCACCTCATTCCATACATAACAAACAAACACACATAAGCACTCTCATTACATTTTAGGATACCTCTGCTTGGATACTTCCAGTGATGGAATAAGTTCATCTAGGCAATTTTCCATTCTGTTGCTGGACTATCCTATTTACCTAAACATTTTTTATTTTAATAATCTAAAATCTGGCTTTTAAAACTTAATAACTAAAAATTACGAGAATAGTAGTAATGATTGCTTCAGAATTTTGTATTAAATTGTAGCTTATAAAATATTTTTACATAAATAAATTTCAATAATTTCCCTGAAGATGCACAGAAGGAATATACCCTTTTTTCTGCTTTTCTGTCTCATATATTATCACTCTTCCCTAATTGTTAACCATGAGCAAAGCTCTTCTAATTACTTTTCTCTAAAATTAGCATTAAAACCCCTTTTGGATATGTCAGAGAAAGGGTTAATATTGCTTAGCTAAAAATAGCTCATATAACTGGAGTTTCAGTAAGCACTGTTATTCTAAAAACAGAGAAAGGACAAAATCGATTGAAAAATTAAATAAGATAATCTACATAAAGCTCTTAGTAGCATATCACATATCTTTTTAAGGAGAAGATGCATGAAATAAATTATTATCATTATTGTTAAAATAAATAATAAATATTTATGGTGTATATAGGAAAAGTTGTCAGCATCTCTGACAACCAAATAAATATAGTTAAAATAATGTATATATATGAAAATATTCTATAATAATTATAAAAATTGCCAAGAACCTCATAACAGAGATATAGAAAATATCCTATATTTGCTTTTAAAATAATGTATATGTTTTCTTTTATAATTTGAAATGATTTTTATTTGACTGTTAAATATCTACTTTGGTTGCCTTTCATTTTTCACATATCAATTTATTCTGAACCTAAGCCTTCCTGGCCCTCTTCTTTCATATTCACAAATCTTCCTATTTTTGTCCTTTAATAGGACTTCTGTTCATATACTATACTAGCCTATGCCATTTCCAATCTAATTAGTGACCTTCTTGTGCATTTATATTAATTTATATGACTACATTTATTTTTACTTTCAAGTAAAAAACAATTCAAGATTATTTTTAGAATAAAATTACTGGATCATTTATTCTTAACTATTTCTGTTCTTAAACATCCTTACTCCTTTGATAACCAGTCCCACCAATACCAATGACTTACTGACAGTACCACAAACTAGGGATAATATAATCTGTGTATGTAATATATAATAGTCTGTGTCTTTGTATGTGTGTGGGGGGGAGTGGGAGTAGTTAAGATGATTCCACAAGTAATCTTGATAAACTTGCCTTCAACCTCTCGTTGAGACTGCTCCAAGAACTCCCATCAATCTGAGACATTTAATTTTGCTGGTATTGGCTGTGGAACACTAGAGAGGTGGAAATGGTCCTGGACTTATCAGATGACCTAGGTTAGAGGTCTTGCTCCATCATTTACAAATCTTGCAATCCAAGACAGTCACTTAAGCTTTCTCATTTCCCTTCCTTGATTTTAAAAGAGAGATTAAAATATCTCATAACAAACTTGCCAGGATAAAATGAGTTAATACCAAGGCCTCTGTAAGATAAAAAGAGTTATATAATCAAAGGCATGTGTATTACTGTTATTTCTTTTAACTTTGAAGTGTGCTTGCTTAACATTAAGAGCTCCTTCACACTATGCTCTCTCAGCTCTTTCGTTATTTTGAAATTTAATGTTACAGGCTCTTTTTCAGACTTTTTCACATTATTGATTAGTTCCAATTGGGTCTTCCTCATTGGTCAAAGATCAAGTCTGCATTCATGTTTGTGTCTAAAGATTGATACATGATGAGAAAGTTTGGAGAAGGTAGGCTAATACGTATTGTGATAGAAGTAAGGTCACCAAAGAATGCATTTAGAAGGAGTTTAAAAGTTATTTTCTCAGCTGGAAGCAGTGGTTCATGACTGTAATCCCAACACTTTGGGAGGCTGAGGTGGGTGTATTGCTTGAGCCCAGAAATTTGAGGCCAGCCTGGACAATATGGTGAAACCCCATCTCCACAAAAAATACAAAAATTACCTGGGCATGGTGGTGCACTCCTGTCATCCCAGCTACTCCAAGGCTGAGGCATGAGAATCACTTGAGCCCAGGGGGCAGAGGCTGAAGTAAGGTGAGATGGTGTCACTGCACTCCAGCCTGGTGGACAGAGCAAGACCCTGTCTCTCTCTCTCTCTCTCTCTCACACACACACACAAAAAAAAAAAAATAAATAAAAAAAAGAAAAGAAAAGAAAGAAGGAAAGAAAGGAAAACGCGAAAGAAAAGAAATATCAGGGGAACAAGCCCCCAATATTTCAATGTAGGTCCTTTCTACTTTCCCTAAGTGTCAGCCAGTCTGAGAAATAAAGAGAAAGAGTACAAAGAGAGGAATTTTCCAGCTGGGCCTCCAGGGGTGACATCACATATCGGTAGGTCTGTGATGTCCCCTGAGCTGCAAAACCAGCAGGTGTTTATCCAGGACTTTAAAAGGGGAGGGGGTGTATGAACAGGGAGCAGGTCACAAATATCACATGCTTTAAAGGGCAATAAAGATCTCAAGGCAAAGGGCAAAGCAAAGATCACAAGGCAAAGGGGAAAACTAGAATTACTGATAAGAGTCTATGTTTGGCTGTGCACGTATTATCTTGATAAACATCTTAAACAACAGAAAACAGGGCTTGAGAGTAGAGAACTGGTCTGACCTCAAATTTACCAGGGCAGGATCTTTTCCCCACCCTAATAACCCTATGGGTAGTGCAGGAGACCAGGGCGTATTTCAGTCCTTATCTCAACCACATAAGACAGATACCCCCAGAGCAGCTGTTTATAGACCTCCCCCCAGCAATGCATTCCTTCCCCAGGGTATTAATTATTAATATTCCTTGCTGGGAAAAGAATTCAGCGATATCTCTGCCATTTATAGGCTCTCTTGCACACCCATTTATAGGCTCTCTGCAAGAAGAAAAATATGGCTGTATTCTGCTCGACCCCGCAGGCAGTCAGACCTTTTGGTTGTCTTCCCTTGTTCCCTGAAAATTGCTGTTACTCTGTTCTTTTTCAAGGTGCACTGATGTCATATTGTTCAAACACACATGTTTTACAATCAATTTGTGCAATAGTGGTTCTGATGTGATGTACATTCTCAGTTTATGAAGATAACAGGATTAAGAGATTAAAGATGGGCATAAGAAATTATAAAAGTGTGAATTTTGGAAACTGATAAATGTCCATGAAATCTTCACAATTTATGTTCCTCTGCCACAGCTCCAGCCAGTCCCTCTGTTTGGGGTCCCTGACTTCCCACAACAAAGAAAGAAAGAAGAAAAAGAAAGAAAGAAAGAGAGAGAGAGGGAGGGAGGATGGGAGGGAGGGAGGGAGGGAAGGAAGGAGAGAGAGAGAAAGAGAGAGAGAAAGAAAGAAAAAGAAAGGAAGGAAGGAAGGAACGAGAAGAAAAAAGAAAAGAAAGAAAAGAAAATTATTTTCTCACTACTTTGAAGGATGCTATAGGTAAAGGCATCCCTAGAGAATATGACAGGCATGATTTTTTTAAAAGATCATTAAGTGCCCTCAAAAATCCACTACATTGTCTTAAACATGTGCAAATCATTGAAATAACAGATGTTGTGATAGGAGTAGAGACACCAAGAAACATAGAAAGTACAAATTAAAAGCAGTATTAAAATTAAATGTGGTAGATAAAAATAGATCAACGTACAATAAGGTTATTTAATATAAACTGAAAACAACCAGAATGATTTTTTAAAATACATAACATAATACTGCTGGTTAAAATTCCTTAATGGCTTCCAATGCATTTAGAATCAAGTTCCAACAATTGGAGTTTTAGTTGTTTAAAATGACTCTGTGTGTCTGTGTGTGTGTGTGAAAAACTGTGTGTGTATGTATTCTATGAGTTCTCTACTTTATTCTCATAATTAGAAAAGATATTTCATTGTTTACGTCAATAAGCATTCAATAAATGTCTTTATTATTTTTATTTTTCATTTCAATAGTTTTGGGGGAACAAGTGTTTCGGATTTTATAGAAAAGTTCTTTAGTGGTGATTTCTGAGATTTTGGCACACCTATCACCCAAGCAGTGTACACTCTACCCAAAGTGTATTCTTTTATCCCTCTCCCCACTCCCAACCCTTCCTAAAATCCATTAATAAATGTCTTTTTTTTAAATTGATAAACTCATAATGGGCCTTGACATTTTAGAGACTTAAAAAAAATTATTAACTACTGTGTTTTTAAAAATAGCTTATTTTTTAGTTAAAAAATAAACTCTATCAATAACCAAATTAAATTTGATAATGGAAATGACATTACTTTTTTATGCTTAAAATGTTATTTATTTGGTGGAATACAAACATGTACATGTAGACATATATGTATTTACATGCATATATAAATCCTTAGCAATTAATTAAAAAGCTATTTTGGAAGTCTAATATCTAGTAACTTCTCCATGCATTCTTGTTTCTTTATTTCTGTTTTCTTTGTCTTTCTTCAAAATAGCATGACTTTGTGATAACTGTAAAAATTTCCCAATTAGGAATTCTAGAAATTGCATTTCAATATTACATTATTCATGGATAAGTGTAGGAAACTGTTTCTCATCTCCAATTAGTAGGTGATTTAAAAAAAATCAGTAGGATTTAAATTTTAATGATGGTTGTAATAGAAGCAGAGTTCTCAGAAATAATGATAATATGCTATGCTCAAGTCCCGTGTTATCTAGTGAATGCATGTGAAGAGCTTTCTGGCCCTTCCACATTCTTTTGTTAATAAAAATATCTAGGGAACTTAATGAAACTAATAAGTCTTATATTTATTGTTTTTTGTCTTTAAAAAAACAGAATTAATTAGAAGAAACTGAGGGATAAGACTTAAGGAAAACATATGAAGATAACAAAGTAGGAATAAAGAATCCATGCTAGCAGGTGAAAGCGCTCAAGGAGTTAAAAATAATTACAAGTGACAAATCTTAAAGGTGTGGCCTTTCACCCAGGGTTTGAGCCTAATTATATTTTGTAATCTATTTTAATAATGACTAATCCATGTTTTCAAAAATATCACAAGTTTTTCCTAAACATGCAAACCTAGTTCTAGTGTGGTTTCTAATTCATCTACTAATTAACAGAAAATATTGATATAATAAAACCCAAAAGCTCATATCATTCTTAGTTATAATTGCCTATCATATGAATACAGTTCAAATGTAATGGATGAGAAAGGATTATAAATCTTATTAACATGATTGTTATTTGGACCTGGCATAATAATTTTAATAACTTTAGATTTACTCTCAAATTAGCTATTTATGAGAGGTGAGGAGAATGGTTCTCACAACTAGAAATATTTCTTAAGATAGAGAATTTAGAGAAAATATTTATTTTTTCTCTATTTTTCACCTCCCTTTTGCTGCTAAATTACCGAGCATGTTAAAATCTTATCTTCCCTGACTCTTGTTTTAAAGCAAACAAAACTCTTCACTATTTTAAAAGATTAACAATGTCCCAGATAGATTTATTATTCGTTCGGTATACAGCATCACTCTGTTGCCATGTTTGACACTTCCAATTTCAATTTATTTCCTCACCTCAGGGTAACCTCAGATCTTAGATCAATGTCATTTGATAACAGAGTACAATTCTGCATGACATATTCTCAGTTGCCATAGACAATGCTTTGATGAACGCCTTTAAAGTAGAATAAATCTCTTATGCTATAAAACAAATGGCCTTGTATACTTTTGCAACAATAATGAATACTTTTCAGGGGTAAAAATGTCAACAAAAATTTCCAAGGGCAATGAAAATAGGACAGTGGTGGTGTTTTTCTCTGCATTAGATGCATCAGGACTATTCTAACTGGTTCCCACTGATGCCACCTTTCTTGGAGATAACAGAGATGAAGGTGCAAATGATGAATACATGTGCAAATATTCAAGCCAATTCTTCAGTCATCAATGCTGCAAGAATACTGGGCATCCCTAAATTAGGTAGATTTTACTTCTGAAGATTAAAAAAAAATCCCATTAATTTAGACCATTAAGTTAGAGTTCTATTATATTTTGAGCTGATTATGATAAAGTAATATTCTTTATGAGAGTTGTTCATCAAAATTAAATTATAAATCACTACAATATCGATTTTCCACTGTAGTAATTCAAAATATTTTTATATTGACATGTTTAAGTGATATTCAAATGATCAAGAAAACAGCCTTACATATATGTCACTCTGATTTCATAATCATAGCCATGCTCTGTGAAATTCTGTTTTTTCAAAGACGAGATACAATGTTCTCAAATGGTACAAAACTTAATAGTTTAAATCAAAGGAAGAATGGTTTAATTCAAAATAAAGATTTAAAATAAGAATAGTACTAAAGAGCAAGGTTCTAATTCAAGGTATTTCAAATCCTAACAAGACACTGTGTTGGTGATAGGCACGTGATTCAGGTTTGTGTTAGTAAGACCTAAGAGTGCTGGACAAGAACAGGCGTGTGATATTTGTGTTTGTTTGGATCTATCTAGCTAGCTAGCTTTATTTCTGGAAATAATTTTGAATAAATTTTTTTCTATTAAATATTATCATGGTATCACTATTTAGTTTCCCCATCAATTTTTAGGTATAAAGTTTCTTTGTAGTTATTGATTAGCATATACACACATATACATATAAATAGATATATTTATATAGACACTTACGTGAACCCAAACAATCTGTATGCCACTTTGGAACTCCTCAGAAGCTACTTCAAAAGCATATGTAGTAGAACCTTCAGTCTCATCTGGTTGACCTCTCCTGTCTAGGCACATAGAAGACCATCCTTCCCAGACCACTTGTATTTAGATAGGGTCATTTGACTCATTGTGATCAATAGACATGAGTGGAAGGGATGGGATTATGTTAGGACGAAGGTTGTGTAAAATCTTTCCACAACCCTCTAGCTTTCTCATTTCCTTTTTCAATGCTCAGAGAGTAACATTTTTATGATGAAAAAAATCCCAATATGAAAACCAACCAGATATCCCAAGACACGACTTAGAAAACTTTCAGATTTATTGAACCCCTGCAGATTTTGCATTAACAAGATATAAGCTTCTATTTTATTAAATCACTTAGATTTCAGGACAATTTCTTATTTAATCACAAACTAGTATTTATATACATGAAAATTATTTTTATTCTATCCGTCTTGAAGTTCAAGGTGTGTTGAGTTGGATATTTAAGCATATGATGTGCACCCTGGAATGTTCTTATTGATTCACATAATACTTATTAACTTTCTATCTTGCAATTACATTTTGCCAGGCACTAGGAATACAAAGTTCCATATGATATCACAATCTAATAATAAAAAGAATATGAACAAGTAGTTAAAATTCTGTGATATTATTAGTGCCATTGATGCTCTATTAAAAGATAGAAACCAAGAGCTAAAGAATATTTGAGAGACAGATAGAGGGAAAATGGCTGATAGGAGGCAGGACTAGAGTGCAGCTCCCACTTGGATGGACAGAGAAGCATGTGCACACTCACATGGTGAACTTTTGCTCCAAAACTACTTCAGGAATACACCAGGAAAGGTGAGAGAATCCACAGACTCTCTGAAGGAAGTAGATTGCTCCTGAAGGACCCAGGAGACACCCCTAATGCTGTGAGTGCCCAAGCTGTGTAAGTGGGAAAGGGGGATCGTCCACCCCTGAACACAGACCCTTACTGGGAAACGTGAAGGTATAGATCACGGGAGAAGAATTTGACCTTACCTGGACTTGAGTCAAATTAGACAACCAAGCGAAATAAAGGTGTAGAGGAAGCAGCAGGAAAAGCCCCATGGGCTCTCTCGATCCCCAGGGAAGCAATTTCTGCCTTGTCTTACAGGGGCCCTTGGGGAGGGCTGCCAGAGGAACAGGAAAAAGACCACATGAAGAAATAAACCTCCAGCTAAACTTTGTAACAATTCCAACCAAACATGGCATCTCCTGGCGAGAACTCATGGTAAAGTGTGAACCGAGTTTTCAGATGTGACAGTCAGGAGGCACAGAAGCTCTGTTTGCTTTCTCAGCTGGGAGGCTGGTAGCCTGGGGCAAGTTCTCTGCCCAGCTCACCCACTGCCTGGAAGCACACTCAGTGCTGTTGGCAGGGGCACAGTGGGAGTGAGACCAGCCTTTTGGGTTGCATGGGAGCTGGGTGAGACCTGTAACTGCGGCTTTTCCTCACTTCCCTGACAACCTGCATGACACAGGGGAAGCACCCATAATCCTCCTAGGAACATAACTCCATTGACCTGGAAACCACACCCCCATCCCCAACAGCAGCCGCAGCAAGCCTCACCCAAGGAGAGTCCGAGCTCAGACACGCCTGGTCCATCCCTATCCACCCTGGTAGCTGAAGACAAAAGGCATATTCTCTTTGGAGTTCTAGTGCCCCACCCACTGCCTGCTCTTCCCTATACTACCACAGCTGACGCCCTCTTGAAAGTGCTACCTGCTGGCAGGAGGTCAACCAGCACAAAAATAGTGCATTAAACAAAACTAAGGACCCTCACTGAGTCCATTTCACTCCTCTGCCACCTCCACTGGAGCAGGTCCTGGTATCCATGGCTGAGAGACCTGAAGACAGTTCACATTACAGGATTCTGTGCAGACAACTCCCAGTACCAGCTCTGCTGGGTGGCTAGATCAAGAAAGGAAATAACAATCACTATAGCTTGGCTCTCAGGAAGCCACATCCCTAGGAAAATAAGGAGAGTTTTACATTAAGGGAACACTCCATAGGACAAAAGAATCTGGACAGCAGCCATGAACCCCAGAGACTACCCAAATGAGAAGGAATGAGAAAAACAATTCTGGTGATATGACAAAACAACGTTCCTTAACAGCCCTCCGAAAAATCACACTAGATCACCAGCAATGGATCCAAACAAAGAAGAAATCTTTGATTTACCTGAAAAAGAGTTCAGAAGCTCAATCATTAAGCTAATCAAGGAGGCACCAGAAAAAGGTGAAGTCCAATGTAAGGATATCAAAAAAAAAAAAAACTGATACAAAAAAATTAGGGAAGAAATATTAAGTGAAATAGATAGCATAAATGAAAAACAATCACAACTTCAGTCAATAAAGGGCACACTTAGAGAAATGCAAAATGTTCTGGAAAGTCTCAGCAATAAAATCAGACAAGTAGAAGAAAGAGCTTCAGAGCTCAAAGACAAGGTTTTTGGATTAACCCGATCCAACAAAGACAGAGAAAAAAAGAATTTTAAGAAATGAACAAAACCTCCAAGAGGTTTGGAATTATGTTAAACAACCAAACCTAAGAGTAATTGACATTCCTGAGGAAGAAAATAAATTGAAAACTTTGGAAAACATATTTGATGGAATAATCAAGGAAAACTTCCCTGGTCTTGCTAGAGATCTAGAGATTCAAACACAAGAAGCTCAAAGAACATCTGGGAAATTCCCCACAAATTCCTAGGCACATTGTCATCAGGTTATACAAAGTCAAGACAAAAGAAATAATCTTAAGAGCTGCGAGCCAAAAGCCCCAGGTAAACTATAAAGGAAAACCTATTAGATTAACAACAGATTTCTCAGCAGAAACCCTACAAGCGAGAGGGGATAGGCCCCTATCTTCAGCCTTAAACAAAACAATTATCACCCAAGAATTTTTATCCAGAGAAGCTAAACTTGATAAAGGAAGGAAAGATACAGTCTTTTTCAGAAAAACAATGCTGAGAGTATTCATGACGGCCAAGCCAGCACTACAAAAACTGATAAAAGGAGCTCTAAATATTGAAACAAAACCTGGAAACACATCAAAACAGAACCTTCTTAAAACATAAATATCACAGGACTTATAAAACAAAAATGCAATTAAGAAAAACAAAGTATATGGGCAACAAATAGCACAATGAATGGAATAATACCTCACATCTCAATACTAGCATTGAATGTAAATCGTCTAAATGCTGCACTTAAAAGATACAATATTGCAGAATGGATAAGAATTCACCAGCCAAGAATCTGTTGCCTCAAGAGACTCCCCTAAAACATAAGGACTTGCACAAACTTAAGGTAAATGTGTAGAAAAAAACATTCCGTGCAAATGGACACCAACAGCAAGCAGGAGTAGCTATTCTTAGGTAAACCAAATTTTAGATCAACAGCAGTTAAAAAAGACAAAGAGGGATATTGTATAATGATAAAAAGCCTTGTCCAACAAGAAATGTCACGATTCTAAATATACAGAAACAAAGATAAATAGGTGGGACTTAATTAAACTAGAGTTTTTACATGGGAAAAGGAACAGGAAAAGAAACAGCTGGCAGAGTAAACAGACAACCCACAAAGTGGGAGAAAATCTTCACAATCTATACATCTGACAAAGGAATATTATCCAGAATCCACAAGAAACTCAAATAAATTAGCAAGAAAAAAACAAACAAATAAACAAACAAAAAATAAATAAATAAAAAAACAAACAAATAAATTAGCAAGAAAAAACAAACAATCCCATCAAAAAGTGGGTTAAGGATGATTCTCAAAGGAAGATATACAAATGGCCAACAAACATATGAAAAAATGTTGAACATCACTAATGATCAGGGAAATGTAAATCAAAACCATAATGCAATACCACCATACTCCTGCAAGAATGACCATTATCAAAAAAATAATTAAAAAAAAAAAGATGTTGGCATGGATACAGTGAAAAAGCAATACTTCTACACTGCTGGTGGGAATGTAAACTAGTACAACTACAATGAAAAACAGTGTGGATATTTCTTGAAGAACTAAAAGTGGAAATACCATTTGATCCAGCAATCCCACTACAGGGTATCCACCCAGAGGAAAAGAAGTCATTATACGAAAAAGATACTTGCATACACATGTTTATGATAGCACAATTCTCAATTGCAAAAATGTGGAACCAGTCCAAATGCCAATCAATTAACAAGTTAATAAAGAAACTGTGGTATATATATGTGTATATAGGTATATATGTGTGTATATATGGGTGTATATATACACACATATGTGTGTGTATGTATATATGGGTGTATATATACACACATATATACACACATATGTGTGTATGTGTGTATATATGTGTGTATGTGTGTATATATGTGTGTATATATACACACATATGTGTGTGTATATATGTGTGTATATATACACACATATTTGTGTGTATATATGTGTGTATATATACACACATATTTGTGTGTATATATACACACATATTTGTGTGTATATATGTGTGTATATATACATACACGTGTGTGTATCTGTGTGTATATATACATACACGTGTGTGTGTATCTGTGTGTATATATACATACACGTGTGTGTGTATGTGTGTATATATACACACACGTGCGTATATATGTGTATATATGTGCACGTGCACGTGTATGTGTGTATATACGTGCACGTGTGAGTGTATGTGTGTATATACGCACACGTGTGTGTATGTGTGTATATATGCGCAAGTGTGTGTGTATATATGTGTATATATATGCACGTGTGTGTATATATGTGTATATATGTATATACATGTTTATACATATACATATGTGTGTATATATACATATGTGTGTATATATATACGTTTATGCATGTATACATCTATATAGCACATATGTGGTATGTATATATACATATGTATATGATGGAATGAATTAATGGCATTCACAGCAACTTGGATGGTACTGGAGACTTATTCTAAGTGAATTAACTCAGGAATGGAAAACCAAATATTGCATGTTCTCACTTATAAGTGGGAGCTAAGTTATTAGGATGCAAAGGCATAAGAATAATACAATGGACTTTGAGGACTAGGGGGAAGAGTGGGAAGGAGTGAGGAATAAAAACTACACATTGAGTTCAGTTTATACTGCTCGGGTGATGCATGCACCAAAATCTCACAAATCCCCACTAAAGAACTCACTCATGTAACCAAATACCACCTGTTCCCCAAAAACCTATGGAAATAAAAAACAAACAACAAAAAAAAACATTTGAGAGATATTGAATGTTCAGTAGCACAAGACACACATTTCATACAGAGTAAATGGAGACTAGTTGCCAGTGTTTAGGTTAAAGAGTGAATAGGGATAAGTAGTAGAAGATGGTACCATGGATGTAGTTTAGTTGCATCCTGTCAACAGTGAAGAAACACTGACAGAGGAGAGGACATGGAGACAGCCGAAAATGCATTTGGTTATTGAAATAGTGAAGGTAAAAATAATTTGGATTTCTACAGTAGTGGCAATAAACGTGGAGAAAGTGATGTAAATTTTAGAGTCCTTGGTAGAGACAAGGGCTTGTCATCTTGTGGGATATCAGTGTTACAGGAAGATGGATGGGTAGAGATAACAGTGAAGCTTCTAGTTATAAAAATAGAAAGTGATGTTTTAATGCCCAGAGGATCCAAAAGGAGGGAAATGTGATAGGCTGAATAATGACCCCATAAGATTTCCAGATCCTAGTTTCTGAAACCTGTAAATGTCATGCTACATAGAAAATAATTTGTAGATTTGATTAAGGATTGAGACAGCCAGGTGGGAAGGGTTCCCCAGAAAAACTCCACTAGGCCTGCTCCATGGGAAGAGTTCACACTGGAGTGGAGCTGCAGAAGTTCCCTCCATTTGCAGTGGGGAGGACACCAGCCCCTCCTCTTCCTGGGTGGAACCTAGGATTTAATCTTTGAGGTGGGAAGCACACTAGCAGGGACTCTGGCCTTGGGGAGAGTCTCCGTTTCCCTCTTTTCCTTCTCACCCAATAAACCCTGTCCTCCCCACCCTTCAAATTGTCTGCAAGCCTAATTTTTCATGGCCATGTGATAAGGACCCCCATCTTTAGCTGAACTAAGGAAAGAGTCCTCCAACAAGATCATGAGATGGGAAAATTATCCTGGATTATCCAGGTTGACCTTCAGAGCAATCACAGGTATTCTTGTAAGATGGAGGCAGAGGGAAATTTCAAACAAGGAGAGGGCAATGTGACCATGGATTGTTGTGATGCCACCATAATTCCAGCAGAAGGATTCCAGCAGAAGGATTCCAGCAGAAGCTGGAAGAGGCAAGGAACTGATTCTCCCCTGTCATCTCCTGAGGGAGCACAACTCTAACAACCTGTTGATATTGGCCCAGTGAAACTTATTTAGGACTTCTGGTTTCTGAAACCATATGAAAAGAAATTTTGTTGCATTAAGACACTAAATAAATTTGTGAGAATTTTTTACAACAGGAATAAGAAATAAAGACATAAGATTAGCCTATAGTTTCTAGCTAGGACCATGTATGTATGTGTGTATACACACACAGACACACACACACATATATATATATACACACAAAAATATATATATATATTTGATATATTTGTATGTGCATGTGTGCTTGTGAATTTTGTGTATGTGTGTGTATGTAGGTATGTTCACATGTGAACTGATGAAAATATAGAAGAAAGGAAAGGCTAAAACTGAAATAAAATTAAAAAGGCAACATGGAACGCCATGTGTTTCTCACTTCTCTCCACTAATATTGCAGCCAAGATACTAGATATGAAAATATCAAAGGAAGTTAAGAGAGGAAGATTTTAGACATGCCAAGAAAATTATCCCAGCTGGTAGATAAAGTGCTGTCAGGAGGGCTAATATAGACTTTATGATTCCCTGTCTGGTGCTGTAAAGTTTAAACTCAACACATCACCATATCTTGTATGCCTATATACCAGGTCTGCCTCTTCCACCATCCTTCCATTAATGATTTTCAAGAAAAAGATGCTAAAATAATTTCATGAAAATCACTTAAGACCTCCAGATGGAAAATGGTTGGTGATAAACATGATATTTATAACAACCATAAGCTGGTGCCCCAACACCCTCCCTGTACATCCAGCCATGTGGAATTAGTAGAATTACGAAAATCATACCGGACAATGCTTCTCTGAATTGAGCAGAAAAAGCTCTGGAAGCCCAATAATACTTTCTGAATCCCCTTTGTATGAGTTTCTGTAATGAGCAGATGATAATTAAACATCGACTGAGTCAGACACTGTTTCAAGTGACTTTTCATGTGTCATCTATTTGTTTCTCATAATGCCACCATGATATAGTTCTTATGTGTCTAATTATCTCTCTTGCATAGACTGGAAAAAGGAGTCCCAGAGAGTTTAATTCCTAGTCATGAAGCAGTAGAGTCAGCAGTCAAACTGAGTACACATTCTTAACCAGTGTGCTGCAGATTCTACTGAAAGTCATGTGGCATTCAGGTTCGTTTTTTAGGTCTTCTATTCAAGCTTTCTAATTTTAAGAGAGCAGCTGTCGTGCTGCTCAGTGCCCTATAGATCATTATAGATGATCTTTGATATATGTGTTAGATGCAGCAGCAGCAACAATAACAGTGTGGGGTCAAGCAGGTTTGGAGGGCCTCCTAAAAATCTCAGGTTTTACTCATGCTTCTGGAGCTCTGGCTTTTTTGGAATTAAATTACTGAAACAGATATTCTGTACCTCTTCCTCTTACACTTCCATTCTGTCTTTTTTTTTTTTTCCTCCTGGCAACAGATCCTAATAATTGTCAAGATATCTGCTAAAACTTTCATGCTCATAGGCCTAATTAGAACAAGTTTCTGATTAAGATGTGAATATATAGATAATAATTAATTGGATAGATTGTGAAACAAAACATTGTGGTTAAGTAGAAAATAATTTTTTACATACTTGTTGAAAATTATCCTTACCTATATAAGACACTTCTCTTTTTGATAAAAAGCTTTTATATTTTTCATGGCCATCATTTAAAATTGGCAGTCACATTAAACATGAATGTTGCTAAAGAAAACAGAGAAACCCACACTAAATATATAATAATCCCACCATGTAAACTGAATTTACCATTGTAATTTTTAATTACTGTAAATAGCTCATTTTTTGTAATTCATATTTTGTTTCTCTAAATGCAAAAGATAAAAAAGTAAAAGTCACATATTTTATCAATTGAGCTTATTAAGAAATAGATTTTTAAATTAAGCTACATTTAGGCCCCTATTATAATTTTTCCATGTAACCTATAAATGTTGAAAAAACAGTATGGCAAAAGTAAATTATTTTAATAATGTGAAAACAAACTTTCTTAAAAAACCATTCATTTTCATTTTTATTGTTGTAAAATTAGGACATGCAAAGGAAATACATTCCACTTACTGAAAGACAGTCAGCGAAAGTCTCTGTCCAGAATATTTGCCCACTCTAACTCTTTCAGTGTAAATAGTTTTTTACTGTTTTTGATTTCAGTGTTTCTGTTGGTTATCTACATTATATTAATTATAGGCTTATGCTACTGTTTCTTGATTGATCAACTATGGAGCATTAGCTACTGACTTCATTTACTCAAGATTAATTGTGATTAACTTCAGTTAATCTCCTTTCCCCTTTTCTATACGGAGTCTCGCTCTATCTCCCAGGCTGGAGTGCAGTGGCACAATCTTGGCTCACTGCAGGCTCTGCCTCCCGGGTTCACGCCATTCTCCTACCTCAGCCTCCCGAGTAGCTGGGACTACAGGCGCCTGCCATCACGCCCAGCTAATTTTGTTTTTGTATTTTTAGTAGAGATGGGGTTTCACCGTGTTAGCCAGGATGGTCTCAATCTCCTGACCTCATGATCTGCCCACCTCGGCCTCCCAAAGTGCTGGGATTACAGGCGTGAGCCACCACGCCCGGCCTTAAAACTCTATTTCTTGATTCATTAACCTCAGTACCTCGACTTCCCCCATCCCCTTCCCACTCTACCTCCCATGTCTGTCAGCATTCCTCCACGACATCAAAAAGTTCTATCATTTGCATTCTGGTCTGTAATTATTACAGATTTCCATGATTTCTCTACAGATTGACTGTGAAACTTTAAAGCTGAAACTTAGTGTTGGCCATATTAAGATTATGGAAATACCATTTATTTCAAAACCAGGTAGCTCCTCAGAGGAAATATGGATCCATGCCACTGAACTTTTACAACTAAAAAACCTCTTGAGGATCCAAAACTATTCCCCCTTTTATACTTTATCCATCATTCAAAATCATTTTATATTTTAACTTGTTTTGCACTTTCTTTCTTACTTAGAGCTCTACATTTTCCCGTGGATTTTCTACTTGTATTTCTGTTTTTTTGACCCAAGAATTATGTGCCTTATTAAAATCAGTTAAGGTGGATCAATAATGGTTGCTTGAATGCTCTGATACTGACTCCCGCTTAGACTTGCTAAATAGGTTTTGGTCTGGGAATATCATACGTACTCCTTTCTAAAGCACACGTCTAAAACTTCCATGGATAATTTATTTTTCCTGTAGTTTATATTATTTTTTCCAGGAAAAAAAAACATGTGGGAGGTAAATTTTCTGCATCTTATTTGCTCTCTGTCCACAGATGGGATATAACATCTTTTAGTGTCCAATGGAGGCTACAAGAAACCGAAGGTTCATTGTAGGGCATTTGCTTTTTCTCTCTGGAAACTTTTAGGGAATTTTTCCCTTTCTCCCCACCGTAGATATTTTTATATGACATCTCTAGGTAGGAATAGGCTTTTAAAAATTCAACCTTCTTGACACAAGGTGGGCATTTCTAATCTGAAGACATATGTTTCTATTTTCCACTCTGAAAATTTTCCTTCTGTTATTTCCTTGGTAATTTCTTCCCCTCTTGTTTTTTCATTCTTCCCATACTTAAATATTTTATGATTATTCCTCCATATTGCTAATCTTTTTTGTGCCATGTTTCATCTATTTGTCTTTTTAGTTCTATGTTCTAAAATAGTTCCTTACTTCCTATTCCAAACATTTTATTAGATTAAATATTCACTAAGCATATTTTAAATTTTATATAACTGTTACCTAAATTCCCAGCAGACTGTTATATATTTTATTGAAGCCATCTTATCTGAACTGTCTGAAGATTTTAATTAAAAGTAGTTTATTATTTATTTGTTTATATTCTATTCTTTAACCTTAATTCTGTTGCTTTACCTTCAGGATTAGCTGTCTCATTTTTTGATCTTAATTGGTCATTAATAAATGTGAATAAAGGACCAGATAAATTATCTTAAGTGTCTTGCAGAGATTTTTCTCTGCTGTTAATGGGCTGTTTCTTGAATGAAAGGGATGTTTGCTTTCTTTGTGTGTGTGATGTTTTAAGGTTTTACTGTGGTATATCCAGGAGTGTGTTATATGTGTAGAACAGGCCAACAGATGGGTTAAGACCCATTCAAACACCAAAACAAGGCCAGTCTGACTAATGACAGTACACCCTCACTCACTCTGAGAGCCATGGATCTTCCTCAACATACTCATCAACATATATCTGACCTTAAACACTACTTCTTGATGCACAGCAATGGGAGGAACCTGAACATGCACGTCTTTCATATTGACTCTCCCTTGGTCATCATCATTTCTGCACCTCCTCTCATACCTGCTGTCTTTAGCTCTTGACTCTAGGGATCTGTGCTGTGCAAAACACTCCTAGCTCCACTGCAGCGTTTTTGCTGTTGAATATACTGAGAGATGCCTCTTTTTATTGTAATATATCCATCTAGGTATTCCCATCAGTCTTCTGTCTTTCAAAAATGTATTCTAATCTGTTGACTGCTGGTGTTTCTCTGCTGTCATTCTCAGAAGCTCTTTGGATTTACTTACTTTTGCATTTCTTCACAGAACACTCAATGCATTTTTGAGATAGAGACAATTTAATGAGATTTCTGACTGTAATAACTTGAGTCTTGAGAAGTTTAAAATATTATCTTATAAAGGAAAGCAATTAGCTTGTTTTAAGTCAATATCAAAGTAATATTCCCATATATATAGACACATGTGTATGTATATATACTGAAACTTCCATGGATAACATATTTCTCCTGCAGTTTGTATTAATTGTTTCCCAGAAAAAATACATAGGAGGTAAATTTTCTGCATTTTATTTGCTCAATCTCATAGATGGAATACACATATTTGTGTATATATACATACGTATAAAAAAGTCATATTCTCCATTCAACAATATTAACACAAATCTCCAAAGATATGGTAAATGAGTGAGAAAGAATTCAAGGAAAACCATTCTATAGATTTGAAAATGAAAAAAAAAACTTTAAATAATATTGCGTTTTCAAAAGCATATTAAAATATAAATGACAGGCAGAAAATACAATTTCAATGTGGATAGCTTAAAAAGAGTTGATAACTTTGTCATGTATATCATCCTTAAAAAACACTTATATTAAATTGAGGAAAATATTAAACCTTACAACTGGAAAAAAGGGTACAGGATATGAAGAGATAATTTAAAAAATGAAATAATAAATGTTAAACATTTTAAAGTATGGGTAAAAATTTAAATTTTTAGCAGATAATATGACTGTTCCAATGCAAGTGTCAAAAATATAATTTGAAAAGAAAATTAAGCTAAAAGAGAGTATATTGAAGGGATAGTGATTTTGTTTACCGAGTCAAAGAAGAGTTGCAGGCCCCAGTATGCATCTGGGGATTCTAAGTGACCCAGTGACTCCAAGATATTTACTCCCTCTGAGTGACCCTCATATATCCAACCTTACTTGATTTACAAAAGCAAACATGGCAATTGATTCTGACAATTACGTTCACTTTATCTACGGACCCCGGAGAAGAGCTGTGCTCATTAGGAAGGATTCTGACCAACCTTTACACACGTATCAGATATGAACAAGTGAGTATAGCCAGGGACATTGGGCACTGTGATTGAAGCATCCTGGTTCACGGACTAAGCCCTCTGGTCAGGGGTTGGTGACTGAATTGGTTACCAACAAATAAAGATAGAAATATTTTGTTGGCCAAATGAAATAAGAGCTATACAGTTGTGTAATGAGTTGAGGAGGTTTTGTTTAAAGAAAGATGTTGCAAAACTATGGAACAAAATGTCCCTGAAATCATTCTTCATGGTCATCTCTACCCATAAGTATTTGTAGGATGTTCACTTACTAGGAAGAGTAGTAAATAAGAAATAAATACCATTTTGCTGAGGGTTTGCTGAGCCCTTGTGGACCAAGGTTTTACTGGAAGAAGATAGATTGGAGCATGTGACGTTACCTAAAGACCAATAAGTAACTGAATTTTTACGGAGTTCTAATTTCATTATCACCAAAGTCCCATGTGGTGAAATTGGACAAGCACTTGAGTGGTCCTGTGAGAATAATAAAAAGAGAAGAAAATCAGTTAAATGGGCTCCAAGGGGTCCTGACTCACTTCCCTCATCTTAACACATGAAAACAATAGAAGAAGAATGGGTCCACATCGATTCATATGATTACTTATTACTAATGTGGCCCAACCAGTGAACTGGAGAATTTTGTCCCATTAGAAAACAAATGACTTAGAGGAGGAAGCAAAGAAGTAGGGGAGAGAAAGGAATGGGCACTCCTTTGCTGTAGTATGCAGCTAATCTAAACTGAAGTTTTTGAAACCCATATTATCACCTAAAACTCAGTAATGAGTTTTCTCTTTAGGACATACTGGCCTTAATTCATAGAGCTTAAGAACTGGAGAAGAATTTAGAAACTAAGTCCAACTGCATTATTTTATAGCAAGCTGATACTCTGAGTAGATATATAACTTTTTGGGATCAGGTTTCCTAATGTACAGCTGTGTCTGCTTTCTAACATACGTGGCTGTCCTTCTACCATTAGGAAGCTTGTTCTTTATTGAAAAAATCTATTTGTCTATGTCTACATAATCTATCATCTATCCATGTGATCTTAAGAAAAATTATTTACTCTGTAAGATGCTCTTTAGGAATTAATTTCCATCTATAAGTTAAAACTCAATAAATTTATATCCAATCTCTTTTTTTGTTAAATATATATTTATTTCCTGAATATCCCCCCTTCATGTGTAAGTTCATTTCAAAGTTTAATATACTATCTTTCAGATAAATATTTCTTTATGTTACTGAATATCTTTACTTTTTAACTATTTAATTAATTTCCTACTTTCTTATGTAGTTTTCATATCAGGTAGACTTAATAGAACAGACAGACACAAAGATACATAAACACATGTACACATACACACATATTCTACAGAAGCCTTGCTAGTATGGCATTTTAAGTTTTCAATTTTTAGTTTGGGAGTGGTGAAATAGGCATTGATTTTCTATAGATCACCCTGAAATTTGACTCAGAGTGATATATGATATCATGCTATAATTGCCTCTTTCTTGTCTAATGACAAGAAAATATATAAATTTAAAAAACCTCATGTTTGAACAATGGCACATCTCATCAATTTAGTTCAGTATCACATAATATAAGTAGGAAACTTCAGCTATTGGATGTAATGTTAACTATGCATATTCCTGTAGAACCTAAAAAGTTTGGATGTGTGTGTGTGTGTGTGTGTGTGTGTATGTGGAGAGAGAGAAAGAGAAACCGAGAGAGAGAGAGAAATAACTACTTAACTATATATTGGACCCTTCTGGTCTTTATAGTACACAGTGACATACCAATTTACCTTTATTATTTAATTTTTGTACACAAACTTAGTCTTGTATGTAATTTGAAGGTTCAAAATTTTATGTGATACATACTGCAGGTGCCATATAATGAAACAATCAAATTTATAATAAAACCAGTATGGATCTAGTAACCTATATTATACCACTGTTTAAACTTAATATTAGCAGCAATCAACTTTATTAAAATGCTTGGGAAAATATTTAAAATATGTTTTTTAACTTGATGAATTTGGAACAATTTAGTAGTCAGTATATTTTTTGATTAGCTATTAATAATTTATTTCATTCTACCTTGGGGTAAGTTAAGCATATCAGAATTAACTGCTGAATTATTACACTTGTCATTGCATAGAGGATGAAGATAGAAACAAGCATAAAATAATACATTTCTAAAAAAGAAAATATCACACTTGATATATAAGGAAAATAGGAAAACATGTAACTAATAATGATTTATGTAAGTAAATTTACATATGTAAAAGAAATTGTCTAGAAATAAATACTTGTTTTAGTAACATAATGCTAACCAAACTTCATAGGGAATATTCAAGAAAAATGCAGCTTTAATTTTAATATGCACATGATATCAATTAATATATTCACATATGCAAATATGAAGGCAATGACCCTGATTCTGAAGCTTGTTATTTCTGGAGTTGGCATATGGCTCTTTCTAACAGCAGACATAATGATTTCAATAAATTAGCTGCTAATGCCATGTAATGAACTCTGATTTGTGTTAATTTGGCCATTACTTAGTAATTTTATGTTAATTTTTTTAAAAAATCAGTTTTGAAGGCAGTATTAGAATTTCATTTTCCATCTAACATTTTAAAAATAAACAAGAAAAAGATTTTGATTCAGATGTTAAATAAAACAAAAGTTGTTTTACAAAGTAAGAATGCAGAATATTACTCAGAGAGTTTCATAGAAATTTGTTTATAATCATCCAATTTTTAAAAATTCCATTGAACAATAATCATGTCATAGAGTTGAATAGGGCTATTTTAGTCAAATTTTAAATAATCATTGCTAAATTCCCTTGCTGAAGTCTTATCCACCCCTACCATTTTTATTTGTTGCAGAGCATCATAAGGTTTGTCTTGTTACATGTGATGGTGAAGGTAGTGGTGATGGCAGTAATATTTACATATATGTGTAATCTATACATATAAGCACGTACATATTATATGTAATTGCATATATTAGGTTATTTATTTAAATAAAATCATTAGAAATCAAATTTGCTAAAGGAGAAAACATTTTTTTTTCTCTCTGAGCCATGCCAAGTAAAATACAGAAGATTTTTCTCATAAGTTTGGTTTTGCACAGATAGATTAATGTTGCATATGAGCTTACATAAAAGCTAAGAAACTTGAATATTTTCTATTTGATTTTTGTTGGAGTCTAAAAAGAGTACAATAGAAGTTAAAGTCATTCCTACTCTTATGTGTATTATTCTTAAAATCTCATTTAACTTTATACAACTCCTTCTTCTCAGGCAGGAGTGGGATAATGGTAATTTACTCATACATCTCTGATGGGAATTTAATGAGCTAATATATGTGAAGTGTCTGGCAAATGGTAAAGGTTAAAAAATGTTGGAAAGAAGTACGACTTACATGGATAATGTCACTTAATCGAGCACAGGTATCCCTTGCTTACATCTTTCAGTCCATTCTCTATGTTTCAGTCAGAATGAAATATAAATCTGATTTTTGTTATGACTACTTTGCTTGAAAATCTTTTATGGATATATCTAGGATAAAGGCCAGAATCTATGCCATGGAATCCAAGGCACTTCACGTTTTGGCTTGTGTAATTTTCTTCTGCCACCTCTCTATCTTGGTGGTTCACGTTTGTCAGTCTATCCACACTGAACTCTTTGTATTTACCTAAATGGATCCTGATGTTGAATGCCCTCATGCCTATTTAAATAATATTCTTTCCTTCTGAAATGCTTACCTTAACGTTATTTGCCTGGGAATTTCCTACTGATTCTTCTAGACTCTAGGATGTGATCATTAATACTCCTAAGTGAGTCATTTTAATCTCATTGTTCTCATAGTTTCTTAAATACCTCGTACTTGAGCATTATGCTGTATATAATATATATTTATTTGCATATATTGCTCTCCCTCATAGATTCTTGGCATCACAGTGACTAGTGACATGTGTAATATATCTTTCAACACATAGTGCTCAATATCCTATCTAGCATTCAGTGAACTTTTAGTGACTATTTCTTAAACATTATGTTGAAGATAATGCAACAATTGTGTTCATAAAATGATCTTCAAATAAGAGAAACTTATTTGAAGTATCCAAGATTTATTTATTATTTATTATTTATGAGCTAACTTCCTGTTTCTTAGCAGCTGTATTTTTATGTTCAATTTCATGAAATTCTAAATTCATCTGCATTCAATTATAAATATTAGAAACATTGCTTTATTTTACATAACACAATCTTTCTGATTTCCTGCAGTGGTGTCCATGTCACATTCGCTCGGGTAAATTTCTTACTTCATGGAAAGAACAGAAGATATGGCAAATTCATTCAGTGCTAATTAGGAGTTGGACATATTGATGATTTACTTCTTTCTCTAAGACAAAGTTAGAACTGCCAAAACAGTGACTTGTGTCTTGTGAGTCTTTTTGCTGATTTAAACATACATGGGAGATTAGAAAATACCCATGGCCCATGTACAAGTAGGTGAAAGATACTGAACTACAGTATATTTAAGAACATGAGATCTTAAACCTCATTTTTCTGATATTTGCATTGGAAATTTTAGGATGGAAAATTGCATGCTGAACCAACATGCATTCTATTGTAGCTGAGGAAGACACCTTTCTGTGTGAGAAACCCCAGCATTTCCCAGAGATTTGCACATGTGTTCACATTGCTGTAAAGTTCGTTAGAACTTTATTACTAAGTATCTGTGGCACATATCATCATTTCAATGAGACATTAAGGTTTTGGTTCTTATCTACTTTGACTGTTAGTATCAGATAATAGGCTTTCCATGTAATGCAGGGTGTTCTAACATTCCATGTGGATAAGTGGCCTTTTTAGAATTTTTTTCTAGACAAAGTATCATTTTTTAAAATTATACACACCATCTCTTCTTACATCATCTACAGATGCATTTAATGCTTTTTATTTATTTTATAAACATTCTAAATAATAGGAAAAAATGGCTTGCTTTATCAAATTATTCACAAATTTTACATATCATAGTACATGTGTATACCACTTTAGAGCACTTGTTAACTAGATGTTGAATCATTACAAAATTTTTTTTTTACTAATTCACCATTATGTGGCATTAAAAAAAAATAAAACAAGTTTGAGTTTGGGTGCCTATCAGGATTAAGATGTGTTGATCCAGTAACCTGGACCAAGAACCTAAGCGGAACAAGACCTGCTGACGTATTTGAATGCATGAGATCGAGGAAGGCATTTCAATGATTGGAGAGTATCATTGGGGTATAAAGAAAACCAGAGTGAAATAGTCCAACTCAGACATTAGTCTTAAGAGGCTAACATATATAGGAGTAGGCAGCTTATCAATTAAGCTGTATTAATAATAACAAAAGAGGAAGATGTTGCCTCTGAAAGAGGAAAGATAAAAAGGGTTAGTTTTACTGTTTAGTGTTACTTAGGGAAACAGAACAAATATATTTTATATACTCACACACATATATATTTAAAATATATATGTATATATTTTATTACATATATAAATATACAAATAAATTTTTATGTATAGAGGTTTTATATTATATGTATAAAACCTGACTAATGTTGTTGCATCCTGATAAACCCATTATAGGTTGAACATTATTAATTAATATACATTTAATTATTATAATATATATATTTAAAGAGAGAGAGAGATTTATTGTAAAGAATTGGCTCAAGCAATTATGGGATGGCAAGTCCTAAGATCTGCAGGGTGAGTCAGCAAGCTGGAGACCCAGGAGAGCCATTGGTATAGTTCCAGGCCAAGTCCAAAGGCCTGAGGATCATTTCCAGTCTGGAGTCCAGCAGGCTTGAGATGCAATAAGAGAAGATGTTTTAGTTTGAATCATGACAGAAAAAAATGTAAATGTCATAGTTCAAAGGCTGTCAGGCAGAAACAATTCTCTTATTCACCTTTTTTTCTTTATTAAGGCTTTCAACAGATTGAATGAGGCCCACACACATTGGGGAGGGCAATCTGCCTTACTCAGTTTTCCAATCAAATGTTAATCATATCCAAAAATACAGAGACATGAGAGTAATGTTTGTCCAAATATCTGGGCCTCCAGTGACCCAGTCAAGTTGACACAAAATTAACCATCACATTTGTAGAAATGTATTTATGAAATCAGTGAATTAATAAATCACAGATCTCTGACACCTTGTGGAAATCAGACAAAATGGCCATACAATTTAATTGAGCCTTAGACAGAGCTGTTTTGGATCAAACTGAATAGAACATTTACTGTGACAGAATTGAACAGGTAGAATTCTCAATTGTTCAAGCAATGAGGCTCTCTCCCCATTCCAATGGCTTTATGATGAGAAAAAGAGAACACACATACTCACACAAGGAAGTAAGCTATAATTACAAGGAGAGATACTTAGGGTCTACTAGCTAATTTTACCCTGGGAGAAGGTCTTAGAAATTTGAGAGGGGGTTATCATGAAGTAAAAAAATTGGGAAATTTTCAAAAAGATTAACTTAAGCTTATGTACTCATAGTATTCATGTAAGACTTTGTCCTACTGACTTCGTTTATTTGGTTTTATAACTGTATTATATCACCAAGTTTTTTTGTCAGTCTGTGAGGAACCTTAGAACTGGGGAAATACTGAAGCTTATTGTTTCCATATTCTTTTTAACTTGTTTTAGGATCAGGGACATTGTAGAATTTGGCGTCTTAGATTGCCCTTACCATTGCCAATACTGTGATTAGACCCCATTAGGAGAGATAGCAGAAATGGAATAGGGAGTGAGAACTGATGAGAAGCACCTGTTTCGAATCCAAAAGGAACAAATCAGGGTGAATGAGATTTTATGGTAGTGCAAAGCAATACACATTCAGTAGAAACTACTTCGAGTACCCATACAACCATTTCGTTTTTCATGTTCAGTACCTTATCCAAAATTTATGTTAGATATTAAACACTTTATTATGAAATAGGATTGTATTGGATGATTTTGCCAAACTGTAAGCTAATGTAAGATAAGTTAAATTAAGCTATGATGTTCAGTAAGTTAGATGTATTAAACACATTTTTCACTTACAAGTTTTTCAACGTATAATGGGTTTATCAAGATGTAACAACATTACAAGTCAAGAAGCATCTGTATTTGTTTTATCATAAAAAGTCTTAACTGACCTTTACTTAACTCCTTAATTAGTTAATTATGTAGAAGAATGCCCATTGCATACTGAAGTCCTGGCTAAAAGCCAGTGTGTTTGTACCATTTAAATTGAATCTTTACTAAAAAAAATCATTTTTATTCATTTCCAAACCTATCCATTTCCATCAACATTGTCATTGCAATCATCAACTCTAAGTATGCATGTTCAGATGAAATATGAGTGTGAAAAAGTGTTGATGCTTGTATAAAAATGAAATTGAATGGCTAGGATAAATTTGATGAGGATGAGAGGAAAAGAAAATATGCTGAACTATGTATAGGCAAAAATTGCAAAAAATGAGAGGAAATCACAAAAATCTGCAGACATTCTGTAATCACATTGCTTAGCAACTGTCTTAAATTTCAGTTCGCCCTGAAGAAACTCAAGCTGAAATTCACACATTAGATTGTCATTTATGCAAGAAAGATAGCTCAGAACTTTAAACGTTTATAGATTTTAATGCTATCTTAAAAATAATTGGTTGACAGATGTGCATTTTACACTTTGTGTTAAATTTAAATGTTTTAGGTATTTATAGGTTTTATAACTAATATAAGTAAATAGTAATTCCGTTTTTAATCAATTTATTGACTAAGCAACTATGCTAATATTTTTGGTTATGAAACATCTACATTAGTTAATTAGCCTTTTCAGCATAAAATTTGAATGAATTCATCATTATTAACTACATTCCTTGCCAGTTAACAATATTTGGGCCTTGTGGCTAATATACATAAGCATAACAGTCATCAATTTCCAAGAAAAGATTTGCATCCAATTATGGAGATGAGATTTTACTTATGTGATTCAGTAGACTAGAAAGTCCTCAGAGAGGAGGTGGGACTTGAGTTGGAAGAAGCAAAATGAAAGGAGCATTAGAGGAATGTGGCGAGTGGAAGCCAAGTTAGTCAAAGAGAAGATTAAAGGATTAAAAAAAACCCAGAGGCTGTAAGGAGGACAGCTTCAAGCCATTTCCTGGATCCAAAAGTCTCACTGAGGAGTAATAAATGATTAACCTATAGAATAGAGACAAGTGGTGTCAGCTTTCAATGCCATGCCGGAGTATATTATGATTTATTTATTTGTGTGGAATTATTAAATGATTTTAAACAGCAAAAATGGCAAAGAGTAATCACATAATTGACGTCATATTTTATGTAAAATCAATTCATTATATCTAATGATAGAAGGGGTAGAAAGATGAAAGATGAAAGATTTGGCAACCATCAAGATTATTATGAACAAATCTGAAATATTTGGTCTTCAACACTAACTCTCCATAATTACTAATATAAAATATGAAGATTTCTTACTAATTTGAATCATAACTACTCTTTTATTATAATTCTTTGGAGTCACTCGGACTTTTCTAGCCTTTTATTTAAAATCTTTTTAACTAGATTATATTATACATATATACATGCATATATAATCTATTATGTGGTCATATATTTACTTTATAATTTTATAAAACAAACATAATGATATGTTTTGAATGGTTTGTCCTGACTTGTCAGTACAATAGTCTCTGAAATATTCTGACAGTTACAGATCAGCTGGCTTGATTCAGTCAATTCCACAATATGAGTTGCTTGACCTTGATATATTTTCTAATGCTATTTCTATCTACTCCTCAATTTCTCTGACTTATATGTCTTCATTGTAACCCATGTTTTATCTCTCCTTAGCTGATTTCATAAATTCTTGTCTTCTAGTCACCTGTCTTATACTATCTCAGTATACCATCTAATAGAGGATGCCCATTAATAGCAGTAGAAAACTCTAAACTGCAGTAAATTATATGACTAGCATTTTTATCTAGGCTTTTCTCCTCATAAAATATGTGTTTTTCCCCATGTCCGTCCTGAATAGGCTTTGTCAAATATGAACAGCACATAAATATTTGATTTATTACATTCCTATCCATAGCACCAAAATTGAAATGCCAAACCTAAAGCACCATTTGTCATCAGGGTGGTAAATATTCAACCAGACCATTGAATTATTTTTCATGGGCCTAGCTAGAACTAGAATTTATATGGCCAAAAACACAAAACAAAATGAAACAAAAAGCTGAAAGCAATTATACAGGTTAGTGTTTTGGCTGAATGAATATACTTCCCCTCTCATTATTAAATGGCAAATATGCAAAATAAACAATAATTTATTCCACTTATAATCTCCAAACATCATTTTGAGCAATAAAGTCTACTTTCTTACCAAGAAAAACTTAATAGAGATAACCATGAATATCACGTTTAACAAAAGTTCATATATATATATAAAATGTATATATATAGTCTGTCCTCTATGAATTTATGTATAGCGCACCCTACTATACGTAACTCACCTCTGTGAAGGGCCTGCTATGGATCTTATATTGCACTCTCTGTGTTTTGGAGATGGATAAATGTATAGTAGAAGTATGCATATCATCATTCTGTACTGTAATTGGATGACAGAATAGGCTATGCCCAAGACAGAAAATGGTCAATGGATAGACAACAATTTACTCCCTTAGCATTTATTGAGCTTTTACTGTGGATTGTTTGTTGTTCTACTGGGTCTGAAGTTATAAATTTGGCTCCAGGTCACCCCTCACTTTTGGTTTTCCTCTTACTTTACTGTACAGTCCTTCTCTGATTTCTTTGCTGGATTCTCCTCTCTTGCTTAAACTCTCATTGTTGGAGTGTACAAGGACTCATGCTTTGGTTTTCTTCTCTGATCTGTTTAGACTTCCTTTAATGTCACAAACTGTCATGACTTTAAGTACTAGTTACGTGCTGATAACAATAAAATTTATATCTACAACCCTAGACTACTATCCTAAATTCTAGTCACATATCTAACTGTTTATGCAATATTTCCATTTGGAGTTGAGAAATTAAAATAAGATCCTAGCTGCTCAACGAACTGAACAAATTTCCTTTGAGTGAAGGGGACCCAAGAGAAAACTTGAAAACTGAGTTCCTGGCCGGAATGGAACACAAGGTTGGACACTCCTCAGTATACCCCTTTCCCTATTACTCTTCAACCAGAATTATTTCCTAAGGAGGAAGTAGAAACCACCTCTGGACAACAAAAAGTGGATAACTCATTCCTTTAACACGTTTAGCCAATCAGCTGAGGCCATGACATGAGTCCCCCTCCCTCTTTGCAGTTTTGACATAATAGCTCACCAGTTTTACAACGCATCCCATCCTAAAAACTGACCACTCTCTCCAGGCCAGCTTTGGCCATCTTGTGGAAGATGCACAGCAAGAGATTTTATGCCCTTGGCTTCACTTTTTGACCAAAAACTTCACCCTTAGGTCATGTTAATGCTACTGTAATCCATTGTTTGCCTGATGTGCAGCAAAGACACCATAACAAAACATCAAGGATTGTAGCTGTGAAAGGAAAATATCTTGGGCCCCCCAAATCACTAAGCTAAAAGGAAACCTCAAGCTGGAAACTGCTCAGGGCAAACCTGACTCCCATTCTATTCAAAGTCATCCCTCTGCTCACTGAGATAGATGCACATTCTGATTTCTTCTTTTGGAAAGGCTTATCAGAAACTCAAAATGATGCAACAATTTGTCTCTCACCTATCTGTGACCTGAAAACCCCTCCCTGCTTTGAGTTGTCTACGCCTTTCTGGACAGAACCAATGTACTTCTTACGTATATTGATTGATATCTCATGTCTCCCTAAAATGTGTAAAATCAAGCTGTGCCCCGACCACCTTGGGCACTTGTCATCGGGACTTAGTGAGGCTGTATCATGGGTACACATCCCCAACCTTGGCACAATAAACTTCCTAAATTCACTGAAACCTGTCTCAGATTTTCTAGGGTTACACAGCAGAGAAAGAATTTAATAATTGTAAGGCAGTCAAATAAGGAAATAAGAGGAAACCTCAAATCTCTCTCTTTGAGGAGTTTGTGTCTAGGAGTTTCAGAGTGGGCTGAAGTGTTGGAATCTTGGAGTGGGCTGAAGTGTTGGGATCACAGATTGATCAAAGAGTGCAGGGTGAAGAGGGTGAAGTCTTGGGATATGGAAATGAAGATATTGCATTCTCATGTTGATTTAGTTCCTCTGTCAGGGTCTTTGACCTGGTTGACATCAGCCATTCCACCAGAATTCAAGATCTAAAGACATCTTAAGCAATTCTTAAACAAAAAGCCTTATGATTATTACATCAGTGAACCTATCTATAGCAATAATGGGGAAGCAACTGGTCGGTATCTAGTGCTATGTGGCTTTTGGTAATAAGGAAGTGGGCCAAAATGAAGCCTAATTAATGTTTAATTGTAAATAAATTTCCGCCCAGAACCCAGCAAGTAATTCTTGTCAACCCTTTGAGGATGGCTTCACTGTCATTTTATTGAACATGTAACCCATGAAAAGACATGAGGCTCAATTATGCATGCACATATTTCTCCTTTCATAAACATTTATGACTGATGCTGTAGTTTATTAAATATGTAATTCAGCCACCACATTCAGCATATCCTTCCCTCCTTCAAAGTACTTGATCTCAGCTTTTGCCAGAGGCTGTGCTTCCCAGCCTGAAGGATGACCAGCATGCAGGCTGCAAACCTTTATGAGAAATAAAGCTCTTCTTTTCAAATTTTTGAACCTTGTGATTCTTCAGTTGACAGAGTCTATGATACTCTTTGAACCAATATGTCCAAAATCAAACTCATGGCTTCTCAAAAACTTTATTTCTAACCTTCTTATTTCAGTTGAGGGAAACTGTATCCTTTTAGGTACTCAGGTCAAAATCATTGGAGGTACATTCCTTGACTCTTTACTTTTTCTTATAGCTTTGCATCCAATCTGTTAGGAAATCCTGTCATCTTTCCTTTCAAATTATATTCAGAGTCTGACTCATTCTCACCACTGTGGAAGCCAAGGGAAAACTTCCCCTTTGCCCTCTGAAGGTTCACTGAAAATCAACAGACAAAAGGTAAATTAATAGAAGAAAAGGCATATAAATATATTCATGGGTATGGAAGTCTTACAAAATATAAAATCCCCAAAAAATTGCCCAACAGTTGACACTTTCGTACCTTCTTGAGAATACAGAAGGATTGGGGGCTTGGAGCATGGCAAAACTGGTTATGGTGAAAAAATAGGTTATGAGAAGAAAAGAAGAGGAGGCCTGGCTAACAAAGGGTGGTCTTGTTATGTAGATGAAACATCACAGGTAGCAGCCCTCATAAAGAACAGATGGTGTTTCTTTGAGAAATATTTGAAATCTTTCAAATATTTTTGGGTAAATACTTTTGTTTCTTTCACCACCATTCACGTCTAAACCACCATAACCTTCCACTTAAAAAAAAATTCCAGCCAGAATTATGCTCTGCTAGAAGTGAGATTTATGTTATTTTGCTCAAATGGAGCTGTTTGCAAAAGAACAAAGTCATTTTGATGGCCTGTAACATCTGGTATAATCTGACTCCTGACTCCTGATCTTTCTTACCTCATTCCCTTTTTCTTTTCTTTCGCTCACACTTCCAGACACATTGGTTTCCCTGCTTTTCCTCAAACATCCCAGGCACACCCTCGCCTCAGGATATTTGCACAAGCTTTTCATTTCTACCTGAAGTTGATATGGGAGAGTTAACTGATTCTCCTTGCAGGACGTGTGACAGGGGTGTGGATCGCCTGCTTGGTTGCCCTGCAGCTCAAACCCCTAGGGTGAGCATTCAGACAGGCAGGTGCAGAGTCCAGGCAAGTGGTTTTGGGCTCCAGCCCACAGCAGTGCCTAGGGGTGGTATCTGACTCCTGAATTCCAAGTGGCCATAGGTTACAGAGCTCTTTCAGATTTGCCATCATCAGGCAGCTTGTGTATTAATCAGCTCAATGAACCCTCTGCCTTATAGCAAGGACAGAGGACCAATGTGACAGCCTTCTGTATCCCAAGCTCTTAACCAGTGTCCTGAAAGAATCATACCACACGCAGGCTCAGATGATGGGTGTAAGGTTTTATTGAGCAGTGGAGGTGGCTCTCAGTGACATGGATGGGGAGTGGGAAGGACGATGGAGTAGGAGGGTGGTCTTCCCCTGGAGTCAGGTAGCCCAGCAGCTGGACTCTTCTCTGACCACACCGGCCGACCTCCCCTAGGTGTCCAGATGTTCCTCTTTTTCTCTTTTTCTCTGCTGTGTTGTTTTGCCATCGCTGGTCTGCTGGCCTGCTGATCTCAACATTCAACTGCTTGTGTGTGTGCTCACTAAGGTCTCAGGTTTATATGGGCACAGGATAGGGGACATGGCAGGCTAGAGTGGTCTTGGAAAATGCAACATTTGGGTGTGAAAACAGGAGTGCCTGTTCTCACTTAGGTCCGTGGGGACAGGCCTGATGGTAGAGCCCTTGCCAGGGACCCTGTCCTTTTCTACCCTGCACTTCCCTGCACCCCCCATATCAAAGTGATCAACCACCAAATATCTACATGGAAAACCCACTTTGCTCATATGTCCTTATTGCAATTATTCCATCCTGTCAAACAACTCTGTTGATACCAGCAGTGAATTTGTAGCGCTCTGCAGCAAACTTGATCCTTGCTTCCTCGGAGGAAAAAACTTGGGTGAGGTGCAGAAGTAGGTTTAAGGTAGAGGGAAGGAGCAAGGCGGCTTTTAGAAAAGGAGTGAGAGTTTATTAAATAGTCTTAGAGCAGGAGTGAAAGAAAGCAAAGTAACTTGAAAGAGGGCCAAGCAGGCAACCTGAGAGATCCATGTGCCCCATTGAGCCTTTAACTTGGGGTTTTATATGTTGATATCACTCCAGGTTTTTGTTTTGTTTTGTTTTAATCCTCCACTGAGTCTTCCCTTGGGGTAACTGTTGCCCAACTGCAGCATCTGAAGTGTCGGTTAGCACGTTGGGATGGTGACCACATGCATAGTGCGTTTACTGAAGTTGTGCTCATGCTCTCTAGGGTCAATTTACCTCTACCGGTCAAATGCCCCCAGAGGAAAATCATATATCTGCCATTTTGCCTCTTAGTGCACATGCTTGAGCTCGCTTGTCCAACTCCTGAGATCCTATTGGGAAGCAGCTGATTTCCAGCTCCAGGTGTTTTCTTTCTACTGGGAGACTATCAGCCCCTGGCACCAGCTGTGACTAATTATTATTTTGGAATGACAGTTTAACAATCACCTGACTATCACCTGATGGTTGCTTGACATTCCTGGGTGGGGGCCCTCTCCTGCCCTGCTCATGTGTGTCTAGCTACCTACTCTAACACTATTACATATTATAACCACCTCTCTTTTCTACTTTTATAGCATATATAAATTTCTAACACACAATGTATTCATGTATTTGTATAGTTTTATTTTTTTTATTTTTTATTTTTTGCTTTTTTTTTCTTTCTGCAATGTACCTACCATGTGACAGGGAACTTATTTCTTTTTTCACTGATACATACTAGGCAACCAAATCAACACTTGGTATATATCAAATTATTTATCTTCTGAAATGCATATTTTTAAACTTGTTGAATATCTTTTCAAACTAAATGCACTTTATAGGTGATAGTAGGTCATAGATCAACTGAAAAAATATTTTTATTTTTATTTGTGGATAAAATAATACAGTATATTTTGCCATCTATGTGAAATAAATTGAAATATTTTACCGCAAAACATATGTATTTGATATGTTTTGAGATGACTCTTCAGATGGCCTGCCAACAGAATTACCCCTGCAAAGGGAGATTTGCATCTGAAGAAAACCTGCAGTGATGCAGCCAGACTTTATCTCAAACTCTCTCTTGGAAAGATTAACTGATAGTCTGACACCTTTAAAGGTCTGAAAGAAACACCACATATTCTCTCTGAGGGTTGCTACCTGTGAGATTTTATCTATATAAGGAGATCACCTTTTCCAGCCAAGCCTCCTTTTCTCTCCCCTCCCATAATGTTTTTGCCACCATAACCTGATTTACTATGTTTCAATCCTCTATTCTTTCTAAAACCTCAAGATAATATATAAACTTCTGAACCTTATTAGGGATATTGGGAGTAATCATTGTATGGTTCTTCCCTGCATGTGTGTTAATAAATTTGTATGCCTTTTCCCTGAATTATCTCCTTTTGCCAGCTGATTTTTCTCTGAACCTTCACTCTGACGTATGACATGCAAGTTTTAATAAAAGACAGCGGAAGACATTTTATATGTATTTGTTGAATGAAATAACAAGTGACTAAGAAAAAACAAAGCAGTTTTTCCCTTAAGGTGTTTGCACACTAGTTGAGTAGAAATATTTGTAAAGGTGCATTTATGATAATGGACCCTGCAAACTGTCATAAAGGCAGCATTGAATACAAAAAAGATTTACTATTATTGCTGAGTGAAGAATAGAAAAAGATAAGGAAAGCTATTGCCACCACCAGTAGGAAGGCAAGAAGTGTTGTTCATACGGGGTAGAAAATGGTAGGTCAGAGAGAAAAGAAGCTAATTTGGAAAGTGGTCTGTGGTGGTAATAGAGGGTCATCTGCAATGTAAAATTATTAAAGTATAGAAGTTTTCCTGTTTTCTTTTTGAATACTTTCTTAAGGTTATTACAGTAAACCTTTGTCCTAATTGTGCGTTGTATATATAAAATTCAAGTTTATGTTGATTTACTCATATGTCCTCTTTCCTGATCATGAGAGTTTGATTTTGAAATCTGGGAAATATGATTTCAGTTATTTTCGGAATAATTAGAAAATTAGTCATATGAATTTGTGACTATGTATTTCTCCAGGATGTCCTTAATGTCTGGAAACAGAGTTAATATATATATATATTCTTAAATTGAAGAGATGCTTGTTCCCTGACTTCATAAACACCCTCTAGAGATGTTTGCAGAGCTTTTAAAAGGTTAAAGCTGAGATGGTATGGGTAAACCCAGGTCACAGAATTGCAACCTCAAGTTTATTATTAGAGAGAAAGAAAGAAATGGGAGAAAAGTGCAGTTAGGATTTTCTTTGTCATTAAGTTTACTGTAAACAGTTTACCTTGTTATAGGATGATAGTGTGAGGCTATCTTTGTTGTTGTTGTTGTTGTTTTTGTTTTGGTGGAGTGAAAGTGAGTTTGAGAAACATCTTTCTACAGATAAAATTAACTGTCTAAATTACACCAAACTTTTAAATTGAGACCATAAGTTAGGCACATTGGAATTAGACAGAATATCAAACACATGTTGAAAATTTGGAGAAAGAACCAAGCACACATTAAATACACATAGCCCTGACTTAATGTGTTAAATATAGCAAAAAACAAATTATAAATATCACATAAATATGGAGAAAGAAAAATACTAGACGTGTTCAAGGTGCAGGAATAAAATAGTAAATATCTATAAACTCTAACTAGATTTAGCTTTAGTCGATTCATAAAATAATGTGAACAAAGAAGTATAAGATATATTACAAAATATCTTTTCTGAAGAAGATTAAATTTCATCTAAATCAGTCATATGAAATGAAATAATTGTTTTGACAAATCTAGGTAGCCCACCAATATAGAGGGTTGATGATTGTTTCACTTTTTTTTCGTAAAAACTGAAGGAACACCTCGTATTCTAACCACAGGACAATGTACTACATTAAATATGAAGTATATCTTCTTGGGAGAGCCTCTAGTTGACTGTAGCCTTCTTAAATAGACAGTTGTTTATTTTTTGCTATTGTTTATCACTAGAGCCCAATTATCTAGCACAGTGTTTGACACATAGTATGTAATTATTAAATAAACATTTAAGAAATAAATGTTGAATAATAGCCTGCTGTTAATATAAGTTTTAATGAGGATCTATGTTGGAAATTTTGAGATTAAAGAATTAATGCGGCCGGGCATGGTGGCTCACGCCTGTAATCCCAGCACGTTGGGAGGCCGAGGAGGGCGGATCACGAGGTCAGGAGATCCAGACCATCCTGGCTAACACGGTGAAACCCCGTCTCTACTAAAACTACAAAAAATTAGCCAAGCGTGGTGGCGGGCGCCTGTAGTCCCAGCTTCTCCGGAGGCTGAGGCAGGAGAATGGCGTGAACCCGGGAGGCGGAACTTGCAGTGAGCCGAGATCGCGCCACTGCACTCCAGCCTGGGCGACAGAGCGAGACTCTGTCTCAAAAAAAAAAAAAAAGAAAAAGAAAAAGAAAAAAAAGAATTAATGCTGACATTTATCCTTAACTTCACCATCACCAAAGCTCCATGTCCAACTGCTTCTTCCTATTACTGTGTGCCAAGGTATTGACATTTTCAACAAGACGATTGCAATGGTCTTTTAGCTGTTTTCTGCTTCCAGTCTTGTGCATACTTCCAAAAAGGCTAAGTTTGTTCTCCATACAGCATTCAACTTGATTATTTTTAAATTAAAGCACGTTATGTCATTTACCTTTAAGCAATAAAAGTAAAAACGTCCAATGAATTCCCATGACATGGAGAAGAATGTGTAAAGTTCTTACTACAAAACCCCAAGATCTGGCCCTACACTATCTCTCCATTTGATCTTCTCTCCTGGCACTCACTCATGACTGGCACAGCTTCACTGGCCTTGTCATCTTTGATCATGCTTAAATCTGCCAGAGCAACTGTTCTCAACTGCATGAGAAACTTTTTCCACTGCTGCTCCTGCAATGCTCTTTTCTCCAATGTTAATTTATTTTTATTCTCTTCTCTGTTCAAATGATGCCTCACTATGGAGGTTTATCTTGACTGCCCTATTTGAAAAAGCATCCCCATGTTACTTCTTCATTTAATCTGTTTTTCATTTTTTGTCTCTATCTCTCTTTCTTTGCCTAGACCATATTTATAGACTGAAAATAAAGGCATGGAAAAATACACGTTATGCAAATAGAAACCAAAATCATCAGGAGTAGCTATACTTATATCAGACAAAATAGATTTCAAGACAAAAACTATAAAAAGAGAAAAATAATAAATAAATGGTCAATTCAGCAAGAGGATATAACAATTATACAAGTATATGCACCTGGCCAGGCGCGGTGGCTCACATTTGTAATCCCAGCACTTTGGGAGGACGAGGCAGGTGGATCACCTGAGGTCAGGAGTTTGAGACCAGCCTGACCAACAAGGTGAAACCCCTTCTCTACTAAAAATACAAAACAATTAGCCAGGTGTGGTGGCAGGCTCCTATAGTCCCAACTACTTGGGATGCTGAGACAGGAGAATTGCTAGAACCCAGGAGGCAGAGGTTGCAGTGAGCCAAGATCACGCCACTGCCAAGATCGTGCCACTGCACTCCAGCCTAGGTCATGGAGCAAGACTCTGTCTCAAAAAAAAAAAAAGTATATATATATATATGCACCCAACATTGGAGCACCCAGATATATAAGGCAAATATGATCACAGCTGAAGAGAGAGATGGACCCCAATACAATAATAGCTAGAGACTGCAACACTCCACTTTCAGCATTGGACAGCAAATAAACAAAGAAACAACTGACTCAATCTTCACTATAGACCAAATGGACCTAATAGATATTTACAGAACAGCTGCAGAACACACATTCTTCTCCTCAGCATATGGATCATTTTCAAGGATAGACCATATAATAGACTACAAGTCTTAAAAATTCAAAAAAAAATAAAATTATATAAAGTATTTTCTCTGACCACAATGAAATAAAACTAGAAATCAATATTGTTAAAATGTGCATACTACCCAAAGCAATGTACAGATTCAATGCAATGCCTATCAAAATACCAATGGCATTCTTCATAGAAATAAGAAAAACAATCCTAACATTTATATGAAACCACAAAAGATTCAGAATAGCCAAAGCTATTTTAAACAAAAAGAACAAAACTGGAAGAATCACATTACCTAACTTTAAATTATACTACAGAGCTATAGTAACCAAAACGGCATGGTCCTGGCATAAAAACAGACCCATAGACAATGGAAGGGAATAGACAACCCAGAAACAAATCCATATACCAACAGTGAATTCATCTGTGACAAAGGTGCCAGGGACACACACTGTGGAAAAGATAGTCTCTTCAATAAATGGTGCTGGGGAAACTGGATATCCATATGCAAAATAGGGAAACTAGACTCCTGTCTCTCATCATATATAAAAATCAAATCAAAATGAATTAAACAATTAAATCTAAGACCTCAAACTGTGAACCTACCAAAAGAAAACATTGAGGAAACTCTCCAGGACATTGGAGTGGGCAAAGAGTTCTCGAGTAACACCCCACAAGCACAGGCAACCAAAGCAAAAATGGACAAATGAGAGTCACAAGTTAAAAAGCTTCTGCACAGCAAAAGAAATAATCAACAAAGTGAAGAGACAATCCACAGAAAGAGACAAAATATTTGTGAACTATCAATAGTTCAATAACCAGAGATCAATAACCAGAATGGAATATATACAGAGTAAAAACAGTTCTATAGGAAAAAATCTAATAATCTAATCAGAAAATGGGTAAAGTATCTGAATAGACACTCCTCAAAAGAAGACATACACATGGCGAACAGGTATATTGAAAAATGTTTAGCATCACTGATCATCAAAGAAATGCAAATCAAAACTACAATGAGACATCATTTCACCCAATTAAAGTAGCTTTTATCCAAAAGACAGGCAAAAGAGAATGCTGGCAGGGATGTGGAGAAAAGAGAACGCTTATACACTCTTGATGGAAATATATCTTAGTATAGTCACTATGAACACCAGTTCCTTATAAAGCTAAAAGTAGAACTACCATAAGATCCAGCAATCCCACTGCTCAGTATATACCCAAAAGAAAAGAATTCAGCCTGGGCATGGCAGCTCACACCTGTAATCCCAGCATTTTGGGAGGCCAAGGTGGGCAGATCAGGAATTCAGGAGTTCAGGACCAGCCTGGCCAAAATGGAGAAACCCTGTCTCTACTAAAAAATACAAAAATTAGCTGGGTGTGGTAGTGAACACCTGTAATCCCAGCTACTCAGGAGGCTGAGCCAAGAGAATTGCTTGAACCCGGGAGGTGGGGGTTGCAGTGAGCCGAGATAGTGCAATTGCACTCCAGCTCTGGGTGACAGCAAAACTCTGTCTCAGAAAAAAAAGGAAAAGAAATCAAAGAGCTATCTACACTCCCGTGTTTATTGCAGCACTACTCACAATATCCAAGATTTGGAAGCAATGTAAGTATTAATCAACAGATAAATGGATAAAGAAAATGTGGTACATATGCATAATGGACTGCAATTCAGCCAGAAAAAAGAATGAGATCCTGTCATTTGCAACAACATGGATGGAACTATGAGACATTATGCTAAGTGAAATAAGCCAGGCACAGAAAGGTAAACTTTACATGTTCTTACTTATTTGTGGGAGCTAAATATTAAAACAATAGAACTCATGGAGATAGAAAGTAGAATGATGGTTACTAGATACTTGGAAGGGTACTGGTGGGGCAGGGATGTAGGAGTAGTTGATGGTTACAAAAATGTAGTTAGACAGGATAAGTAAGATTTAGTATTTGATAGCACAATAGGCTGACTATGGCCAACAATAATTTGCTGTACATTTTCCAATAACTAAAATAATATAATTGAAATGCTTGTAACACAAAGGAATGATAAATGCTTGAGGTGATGGATACCCCATTTATCCTGATGTTATTATTATGCATTGTATGCCTGAATCAAAATATCTCCTGTACCCCGTAAATATACATACCTACTATGTACCCATAAAGGTTTTAAAAAGTTTCACAGGCAACCAAAAAAATTGATAAATGTTCATTTATACCTAGAACTGTAAATTATCTATCATGGATCAGTTTGAACCAAGTCAAGTTTAAAACTTGTTTTTGCAATAATAACAGTAAGGAATGTAATAACCATGGGTACTAAGTATTAGCACCTTAGCAGCTTATTAGGTGATATATTATATAGAATTCCAAGATTATATATTATATAGAATCCCAACATTTATTGGCTAAAATAAAAACAGTGGGCCAGAAATTCAGAAACACTTTGCTGAGTTCCTTTGGCTTAGATTCTCATGAAGTTGCAGTAATTATGTCATCAGGGCCCAGTGTCATTGCAAGACTTGACTACGATGGGGAAGTTTTCATGGTTTTGGCAGGAGGCATTGATTTCTTACCACAAAAGCCTCTCCATAGCCTCACTTCCTTTAAATGTGAGCCTTTGTTAAGACTGCTCATGCCATGACATCTAGCCTTCCTTGGAGCAAGTAATGAGAGAGAGGGGAAGAGAGAGAAAGAGAGAGAGAGAGAGAGATGTCTTCTATAATCAAGTCTCCAAAGTGACAAAAGACCACTTCACACTTGATTCTATTAGAGGCCAGCCAATAATTTCAACCCACACTCAGTGGAAAAAATATTAGGCTCTACCTCTTAAAAAGAGGAGTACCAAAAACTATGTAGCTATTGTAAAACTACCACAGGTTTATTAACATATTTGTCTTCAAGCCTCCAGGGATTCTCACTTTACTATTGTATTTTGATATTGTCACAACTTATATAGATTTTTAATTACATAAATAATTCAAGGTAATTGAAAGAAAGGTATGATGACTAGTAGTAGTAGTAGCAAAAAAATTAAACTTCATAAGCTATAGGGAGTGGGTAGAAAAAGTAAAATTGAAAATACATATGACAGAGCAAACAATAGACAGATCAGTGTTTTAAAGCAGATAAAGACAAAGGTTTCAAGAGAAAAGTTATCTAAGAAAAATTTGTCCTTTGATATTAAAATAAGTTATAAGAATCGTGAAGATATAAATGAATGTCTTAGGAGGGGTGGGGGAAATAATTATGTTTTGCTTAATGATGTCTATTTTCTCAGTGAAGTACAAATAAAGATTCTTTGTTGAGAATTAGAAGACCACTGGTTAGTAGAAAATGTGCAGAGATGGGAAGACATTTTTAACAATGTCGTAGGATAAAGGAAAGTTCTAGGATTAAAAATTAAACACTAGGGAAGCTTTCAAAGCTCAGTTGATGTTGTAATTCCTATATATGGTGGCATTTAGCATTTCAGGCTGTCATTTATTGAATGTTTATTTTGTGCAGTGTACCGAACTAAGTCCTGTGCAGATACTAGCAGGTTTATTCTCATCACAACCATTTGAGGTATGTGTTATTATTTTAGATAAAAGGGAAACTGGAAATCCTGGAGATATTTTACCTTCCAATGTCAAACAACTACATGCAGCATAGGCAAAATTTAAATCAAGGTCTATGTAACACAAATATTTATGCTATTAACAACTACTTTGGGTACCAGGAGGTACCTTGCTTCAGTTTAGGAGCAGGGATGTGGAATCATTCATCTGGAGCTAGATGCTATTAAATTTAACCAAGAAAGAAAGAATAGAAAACAAGGAAAACAAGGATGCTGATGATAATGTCATTTGGGATATTGATCATGAGATTCAAGTTAGATCCGAAAAGGAAATGAGAAGAGGCTTGATAGACTGAGGAAACATGGAAGGGGTCAAGAAAGCATCATCCCGTTTCCTGAAGCATCAATAATTATTGATTCACACTACTGCATACACATGAGACCCTGCTTCTCTACCTCAAACTGTCAGAACTAGAGTTATCCTAGAGGTCATCTAACCAGTTTCATAATTTTTGAAATAAAAATCTAACATTTAGAAATATCAGAGACAAGATTGTTGAAACTGAGGTTAAGTGGAATTTTTCTTGTTGCTTCATAATTGATACCTGAGTCTGCACTGGGACCTGATTAGTCCTAAAAGTTCATACATTCTTTTGTTTCTTTTTTTTTTTTTTTTTTTTTTTTTTGAGATGGGATCTCACTCTGTTGCCCAGGCTGGAGTGCAGTGGCGTGATCTTGGCTCACTGCAACTTTCACCTCCTGGGTTCCAGTGATTCTCCTGCCTCAGCCTCCAGAGTAGCTGGGACTACAGGCACACACCACTACATCCAGCTAATTTTTGTATTTTTTAGTAGAGACGGTGTTTCACCATATTGGCCAGGCTGGTCTCAAACTCCTGACATCAAATGATCCACCCGCCTTGGCCTCCCAAAGTTCTGGGATTACAGGCATGAGCCACCGTGCCCGGGCCTAGGTTCTTACATTCTAAGGACACCTACAATTAAAGACTGATGACCAAGTCCATCTCTTACCAAGTGTATCGGAGCAGAAAACTAGCACAGGAAGAAGTTAGAATAGGACGTTCGATGGGTCCAGGATTTACGAGCCTGGAACTCACATAATTTTGGAGTCCCACTTACAAATATACAAATACCTTTACTATTTGCACATTTTATAAATTCAATAACTAAGTAAATATAATTCTAGATCTTATCCTTTGCAAATAAGGGGTCCAGAAACTTAATCTTCAGGAATTTATGGTAAATTATTTCTTAGTAAGGAATCAGTCATATTATTATGAGTTCAGGATTTGTAATGAGAGGTGAAGTTCTACCATTTCTTGGTGAAAGAAAGAAGCTACATTGTCTGTGTTCAAACCAAATGAGAAGAAAGTCCAAAAAATATGTTCCATAACTAATAATAATGTAAGCAACAATATTGCTGATTTGCCCTGTATTTGTGTGTGCAGCGAATGAGAATGAGGAGGAGCCCAGTATTTTACATGGAAATTACAGTGCATTCAGTTGACGTATTGGAAGGTAATTGGGTTAAAACTGTCCTGTGAGCATTTCTTTGAAGAGGGGCTTTCCACTTGGTGAGCAGACACCAGCAGGAAGAGACTGTGAGATGAACCACCTTAAGACCCTCCAAATAATTCATACATGTGCCCCAGTGAGGGCCTGTATTTGGATGCTTGATACATGGAGGACACCTATTGACAAGAATTAGAGAAGCATCTAGGAGAAACAAGGAGGGTTTTACATCTGTGACCTTTTACATAAAGAGATGCTAGTGCCTTTTCTTTAATCTTTCTGTCTCTAGACACAGAAGAGTTAAGGGAGGAAATAAAAGAGAAGCTCAAAATCTCCTCTTTACATCCTCTTTAAATGGCCTTATTTGTCACAAAGAGATAAGTAAAAGGGTTTCACTAAAGTTCAGTAGAAAATAATAATGAGAGAAACACACACACACACACACACACACACACACACACACAAATTGTATCCCATTTTGTTGAAACTTC